>NC_000023.11:75189814-75492845 GCF_000001405.40 Homo sapiens | reverse complement strand
CAATTTTATATCTTTCCTGCTTTCTCTTGTGGGCATTTAGTGCTAGAAATTTCCCTCTACACACTGCTTTGAATGTGTCCCAGAGATTCTGGTATGTTGTGTCTTTGTTCTCATTGGTTTCAAAGAACATCTTTATTTCTGCCTTCATTTTGTTATGTACCCAGTAGTCATTCAGGAGCAGGTTGTTCAGTTTCCATGTAGTTGTCCAGTTTTGAGTGAGTTTCTTAATCCTGATTTCTAGTTTGATTGCACTGTGGCCTGAGGGACAGTTTGTTATAATTTCTGTTCTTTTACATTTGCCGAGGAGTGCTTTACTTCCAACTATGTGGTCAATTTTGGAATAAGTATGGTGTGGTGCTGAGAAGAACGTATATTCTGTTGACTTGGGGTGGAGAGTTCTGTAGATGTCTATTAGGTCCGCTTGGTGCAGAGCTCAGTTCAATTCCTGGATATCCTTGTTAACTTTCTGTCTCGTTGATCTGTCTAATATTGACAGTGGGGTGTTAAAGTCTCCCATTATTATTGTGTGGGAATCTAAGTCTCTTTGTAGGTCACTCAGGACTTGCTTCATGAATCTGGGTGCTCCTGTATTGGGTTCATATATATTTAGGATAGTTAGCTCTTCTTATTGAATTGATCCCTTTACCATTATCTAATGTCCTTCTTTGTCTCTTTTGATCTTTGTTGGTTTTATTAGAGCCTAGGATTGCAACCCCTGCCTTTTTTTGTTTTCCAGTTGCTTGGTAGATCTTCCTCCATCCCTTTATTTTGAGCCTATATGTGTCTCTGCACATGACATGGGTTTCCTGAATACAGCACACTGATGGGTCTTGACTCTTTATCCACTTTGCCAGTCTGTGTCTTTTAATTGGAGCATTTAGCCCATTTACATTTAAGGTTAATATTGTTATGTGTGAATTTTATCCTGTCATTATGATGTTAGCTGGTTATTTTGCTCGTTAATTGATGCAGTTTCTTCCTTGCCTCGATGGACTTTACAATTTGGCATGTTTTTGCAGTGGCTGGTACTGATCATTCCTTTCCATGTTTAGCGCTTCCTTCAGGAGCTCTTTTAGGGCAGGCCTGGTGGTGACAAAATCTCTCAGCATTTGCTTGTCTGTAAAGGATTTTATTTCTCCTTCACTTAGGAAGTTTAGTTTGGCTGGATATGAAATTCTGGGTTGAAAATTCTTTTCTTTTTTTTCTTTTATTTTATTATTATTATACTTTAAGTTTTAAGGTACACGTGCACAATGTGCAGGTTAGTTACATATGTATACATGTGCCATGCTGGTGTGCTGCACCCATTAGCTCGTCATTTAGCATTAGGTATATCTCCTAAAGCTATCCCTCCCCCTCCCCCCACCCCACAACAGTCCCCAGAGTGTGATGTTCCCCTTCCTTTGTCCATGTGTTCTCATTGTTCAATACCCACCTATGAGTGAGAATATGCGGTGTTTGGTTTTTTGTTCTTGCGATAGTTTACTGAGAATGATGATTTCCAATTTCATCCATGTCCCTACAAAGGACATGAACTCATCATTTTTTATGGCTGCATAGAATTCCATGGTGTATATGTGCCACATTTTCTTAATCCAGTCTATCATTGTTGGACATTTGGGTTGGTTCCAAGTCTTTGCTATTGTGAATAGTGCTGCAGTAAACATCCATTTTCATGTGTCTTTATAGCAACATGATTTATAATCCTTTGGGTATATACCCAGTAATGGGATGGCTGGGTCCAATGGTATTTCTAGTTCTAGATCCCTGAGGAATCACCACACTGGCTTCCACAATGGTTGAACTAGTTTACAGTCCCACCAACAGTGTAAAAGTGTTCCTATTTCTCCACATCCTCTCCAGTACCTGTTGTTTCCTGACTTTTTAATGATTGCCATTCTAACTGGTGTGAGATGGTATCTCATTGTGGTTTTGTTTTGCATTTTTCTGATGGCCAGTGATGGTGAGCATTTTTTCATAAGCTTCAGCAAAGCCTCAGGATACAAAATCAATGTACAAAAATCACAAGCATTCTTATACACCAATAACAGACAAACAGAGAGCCAAATCATGAGTGAGCTCCCATTCACAATTGCTTCAAAGAGAATAAAATACCTAGGAATCCAACTTACAACGGACGTGAAAGACCTCTTCAAGGAGAACTACAAACCACTGCTCAATGAAATAAAAGAGGATACAAACAAATGGAAGAACATTCCATGCACATGGGGAGGACGAATCAGTATCATGAAAATTGCCATACTGCCCAAGGTAATTTATAGATTCAATGCCATCCCCATCAAGCTACCAATGACTTTCTTCACAGAATTGGAAAAAACTACTTTAAAGTTCATATGGAACCAAAAAAGAGCCCACATCGCCAAGAAAATTCTTTTCTTTAAGAATGTTGAATATTGGCCTTCACTCTCTTCTGGCTTGTAGAATTTCTGCTGAGAGATCATCTGTTAGTCTGATGGGCTCCCCTTTGTGGGTAATCCGACCTTTCTCTCTTGCTGCCCTTAACATATTTTCCTTCATTTCAACTTTGGTGAATCTGACAATTATGTGTCTTGGAGTTGCTCTTCTCGAGGAGTATCTTTGTGGCGTTCTCTGTATTTCCTGAATTTGAATGTTGGCCTGCCTTGCTAGGTTGGGGAAGTTCTCCTGGATAATATCCTTCAGGGTGTTTTCCAACTTGGTTCCATTCTCCCTGTCACTTTCAGGTACACCAGTCAGACGTAGATTTGGTCTTTTCACATAGTCCCATATTTCTTGGAGGCTTTGTTCGTTTCTTTTATTCTTTTTTTCTCTAAACCTCTCTTCTCGCTTCATTTCATTCATTTGATCTTCCATCACTGATACCCTTTCTTCCAGTTGATCGAATCGGCTACTGAGGCTAGTGCATTCGTCACATAGTTCTTGTGCCTTGTTTTTCAGCTCCATCAGGTCCTTTAAGGACTTCTCTGCATTGGTTATTCTAGTTAGCCTTTCCTCTAATTTGTTTCAAGGTTTTTAACTTCTTTGCCATGGGTTCGAACTTCCTCCTTTAGCTCGGAGTAGTTCGATTGTCTGAAGGCTTCTTCTCTCAACTCGTCAAAGTCATTCTCCGTTCAGCTTTGTTCCATTGCTGGTGAGGAGCTGCATTCCTTTGGAGGAGGAGAGGTCCTCTGATTTTTAGAGTTTTCAGTTTTTCTGCTCTGTTTTTTCCCCATCTTTGTGGTTTTATCTACCTTTGGTCTTTGATGATGGTGATGTACAGATGGGTTTTTGGTGTGGATGTCCTTTCTGTTTGTTAGTTTTCCTTCTAACAGTGAGGACCCTCAGCTGCAGGTCTGTTGGAATTTTCAGGAGGTCCACTCTAGACCCTGTTTGCCTGGGTATCAGCAGTGGAGGCTGCAGAACAGCGGATATTGGTGAGCAGCAAATGTTGCTGCCTGATCATTCCTCTGGATGTTTTGTCTCATAGGAGTGCCCTGCCATGTCAGTTGTCAGTCTGCCCCTACTCGGGGGTGCCTCCCAGTTAGGCTGCTCAGGGGTCAGGGACCCACTTGAGGAGGCAGTCTGTCCGTTCTCAGATCTCCATCTGCGTGCTGGGAGAACCACTACTCTCTTCAAAGCTGTCAGACAGGGACATTTAAGTCTGCAGAGGATTCTGCTGCCTTTTGTTTGTCTGTGCCCTGCCCCCAGAGGTGGAGTCTACAGAGGCAGGCAGGCCTCCTTGAGCTGTGGTGGGCTCCACCCAGTTCAATCTTCCAGGCAGCTTTGTTTACCTACTCAAGCCTAGGCAATGGCGGGCACTCCTCCCCCCTGCCGCCTTGCAGTTTGATCTCAGACTGCTGTGCTAGCAATGAAGGAGGCTCTGTGGGTGTAGGATCCTCCGAACCAGGCGTGGGATATAATCTCCTGGTGTGCCGTTTGCTAAGACCATTGGAAAAGTGCAGTATTAGGGTGGGAGTGACCCGATTTTCCAGGTGCCGTCATCAGTCACCCCTTTCTTTGGCTAGGAAACGGAAGTCCCTGACCCCTTGTGCTTCCTAGGTGAGGCAATGCCTCGCCCTGCTTCGGCTAGCGCTTGGTGCACTGCACCCACTGTCCTGAACCCAGTTTCCGACACTCCCCAGTGAGATGAACCTGGTACCTCTGTTGGAAATGCAGCAATCACCCGTCTCTGTGTCACTCATGCTGGGAGCTGTAGACTGGAGCTGTTCCTATTCAGCCATCTTGGGTATTTTTCATTATGTTATTTTTTAATATGTCCTGTGGGATTTATGCTTTAAGGAAATTTTATTTTGGTGTAATTTGAGGTTTTATTTCAAGATATAGAGCTCCTTTTAACATTTCTTGTAGAGCTGGCTTGGTAATGGCAAATTCTCTCAGCATTTGTTTTTGTGAAAAAGCCTTTATTTCTCCTTCATTTATGAAGCTTAGTTTTGCCAGATACAAAATTCTTGACTGACAATTATTTTGTTTAAGGTGGCTAAGGATAGGACCCCAATCCCTTCTGGCTTGCAGGGTTTCTGCTGAGAAATCTGCTGTTAATCTGCTAGGTTTTTCTTTATAGTTTACCTGGTGCTTCTGCCTCACAGGTCTTAAGATTCTTTCCTTCATCTTGACTTTAGGTAACCTGATAACTGTATGCCTAGGGATGATCTTTTTGCGATGAATTTCCCATGTGTTCTTGGCTTCTTGTATTCGGATGTCTAGATCAGTAGCAAGACCAGGGAAGTTTTTCTCGATTATTCCCTCAAATAAGTTGTCCGAACTTTTAGATTTTTTTTCCTCAGGAACAACAGTTATTCTTATGTTTGGACATTTGACATAATCTCAAAATCTTTGAAGGCTTTGTTCATTTTTTAATTATTTTTCTATGTCTTTGTCAGATTGGTTTAATTTGAAAGCCTTCTCTTCGAGCTCTGAAGTTTTTTCTTCTCTTTGTTCAATTCTTTTGTTGAAACTTTCCAGTGTATTTTGCAATTCTTTAAGTATGTCTTTCATTTCCAGAATTTGTGTTTGTCTTTTATGATCTCTATTTCTCTCTAGACTTTTTCATCTATATTTTGTGTTGTTTTTTAATTTCTTTAAGCTGGTTTTCACCTTTGTCTGGTGCCTCCTTGAGTAGCTTAATAATCAACCTTCTGAATTCTTTATCTGCAATTCAGAGAGTTCTTCTTAGTTTGGATCAATTGCTGGAGAGCTAGTGTGATCTTTTGGTGATATTATAGAACCCTGTTTTGTCATATTACCAGAATTGTTTTTCTGGTTCCTTCTTATTTGAGTAGACTGTTTCAGTGGAAAGATTTGCAACTCAAGGGCTGATCTTCAGATTCTTTGGTCCCATGGGGTGATCCCTTGATGTGGTGCTCTCCTTCTTTCTCCAGGGATACAGCTTCCTGCAAATCAGACTTCAGTGATTCTTATTGTTCTTCTGAGTCTAGCCTCCCAGTGGGGCTACCAGGCTCCAGGCTATTTCTGGGGAATGTCTGCAAACAGTCCTGTGATATGATCCATCTTCAGGTCTCCCAGTCATAGATTCCAGCACCTGCTCCACTGGAGGTGGCAGGGGAGTGAAGTGGACTCTGTGGAAGTCCTTGCTTATATTTTTGTTTAGTGTGCTGGCTTTTTTCAAATACTGGTTATGCTAGCAGTGAAGTTGTCACAGGGACAGACTCAGGACCTCTAGTTAGCCAGGGTGTTGTAGGACATGGAATTAGCTGTTGTTTTCTCCTCTTTGGATCAGGGTTGTTCTGTTATGAGTTGCTGTAATGGCTTGAGTTGGCTGGCCTCCAGCAGGTGGTGCTTTGAAGAGAGTGCCTTCTGCTGTAGTAGAAGGGTATGTAATCTTGCCCTACATTGGCTAGGATGGGTACTCACGTTTTTCAGGTGATAGGTGGTGCCATAGATTTCCCAGGAGTTTATGTCTTTTGTCTTTGGCAACCAGGGCAGTTAAAGAAAAACCAGCATGTGGGGGCAAGGTTAGGTGAGTCTGAGCTCAGACTCTCCTTGGGTGGGGCTTGCTGCAGCCACTGTGGGAGATGGTGGAGGGGCGGTGATTCTCAGGCAATGAAGTTATGTTCCCAGGGGATTATGGCTGTGTCTGCTGCATCAAACAAGTTGCCAGGGAAGTGGGGGAAAGCCAGCAGTGACAGGCCTCACCTAGCATCCATGCAGCCAGCAAGGCCAATCTCATTCTTGCTTTGCCCCACCTCCCAACTGCACGTTTATATCCAGGCAGCTGGTGAGCAGGGCTGAGATCTTGCCCCAGGCTACAAGCCTCCCCAGTGAGAAAGCATGCAGGGCTCAGGCCTTACCCCTCCTTGCCTGCCTGCCCACCTGGTCAGCTATGGCTTCTATGCTTATATCTGAGCTTTCTGATCACTTCCCCCTACCAGGTTTCTGCTCATGAAAATTTATGCTCAGTTGAAATTATTACAGAGTTCAGCTAGAAGCTTTTTTCATTCTGTGGCCTCTCCACAATTCTTGCTGGCTGCCTTCCCTTCCCCAGGGACCTCTGTGAGATAAAGCCAGGAATGGCTTCCCTGGGCTGGAGCTGGGGACCATGAGTGCCTATAGGGCCCTTCCCACTGCTTCTTCGACTTTTATATTTTGCTTGGCTCCCTAAATCCATTTCAGCTCTACGTAAGGTTAAATCTTTCTCTGGTGATCTGGATTTTCAGGTTTCCCAGTGGGGATGTATGTTTGGAGGTTGACTTTTCTCTGTGTCATACTTTGGGAACTCAGTTTTTCAGCTGTCTCATGGCATTTGCAGCAGCAAGCTGCTTCTTTCAAAGGGTCTGTGATTTTTTTTGGTTTTCCTTGTATGTTCTTGCAGTGGGTCTTGGGGCAAAAGTTCACCATGTGAGTCACCAGATGCTGTTCTGTCTGTCCAAGTAGGAGCTGCACATTAGTTTTGTCTCCTGTCTGCCAATTTTCTATTTAACCATTAATGATCAACTTAAAACTGAAGCTTATTTTTTTCTTGATTATGAAAGTACTTGAACGTCTTAAAATGCAAGTAATACAGAAATGGATAACTTAGCGTAAGTTGTTAGTAGTCACTACAGAGTTACGGATGGAGTGAGCTTTGGTAGTGTCTATTGTATACATCACGTTTTAATTTTTTAAGTGATTTTTCCCCTTTACGTTTTGACAAGTCGCTTTTGATATAGCTACATCTAAATGTACCATTTCAAAGCTCTGCCTTTCCTATGCTTCAATACGTCTCTCTCCAGTGGGCTGGGCTGGACCTCCCATCCTCCTTTGCCTTTCCCAACATGCCTTGCAGTCTCCACTTGTATCAGGTTACTGATGGTGGGGCGTATATTGAGCCAAAATGATTATATATATATATACATGGAAACATCAACCACAGTGCAGCCAATGGTAGGTTTTAGAGTCATGATTTTGCTTCCCACCATAGCTGTGTACCTATCAACACAGCTTTCAATCCTATAGCCTGTAAGTCCTAACACATTTGAGTATGACTATTGAGGAAAATAAAAATATTAGACTGGGAAGTCAAGTTAGATAAATATGTGTCATCTTTTTTTTGCCAAATGTCAAAAAATCTAAGATGAAAAGACACCAAAGGTAAATATCTATTTTTAGATCTTTGTTTTTGTCAGATTTATTGAGATATAATTTATATGCAGTGTCACCATTTTTGAGTATACAGGTTGATAAGTTTTGACAGTAGTAAACAGGAATGTAAAAACCACCACTATACAGTTACAGAATATTTATATTACCCCAAATGATTCCCTTTACCCCATTCACAAGAAACCCTCTCACTCTTCATCCCTGACAACTGCTGATCTGTTTTCTGTCCCTTTAGTTTTACCTTTCCCATAGTTATATAAATTGAATCATACAGTATGGAGCCTTTTGTATTAGGCTTTCTTCACTTAGCATCATATATTTTTAAGATTCATCTGTGAGTATGTGTATGAAGTAACTTGTTTTTATTGCGGAGAAGTATTTCATATTACAGATGATCACAGTTTGCTTATTTATTCACCAGTTTAGGAACATTTGGTTTGTTTCCAGTTTGAAACTATTTTGAATAAAGCTGATAAGAATATATATGTATAAGCCTTTGTGGAGATATATGTTTTTGTTTCTCTTGAGTAAATACCTAGCTGTGGGATTCTTGGGTCATATGGTAAGTGGATGATTAACCTTATAAGAAACTGCCAAAGTGTTTTCCAAAGCAGTTCTACCATTTTGCTTTCCTATAATTGATATATGAGAGTTCTCCTTATTCCACATCTTCATTATCATTTAGTGTTATAAGTTTGTTTTTGTTGGTGGTGGTGATAGTTTCTTATATTCTATTCCATAAAGTATGAAATGGAGGCTCCTTGTGATTTTTAATTTGCACTTCTGTAATGACTAATCTTTTCATGTGCTTGTTTGCCATCTGTATATCTTCTAATGCGAAGTGTCTGTTTAGTCTTTTTCCTTTTTTTATTGAGTTGTCTTATTATTGAGCTATAACAGATCTTTAAATGCCTGAGTATAAGTCTCTTTGTTTTTAAACAAATCTGATTCCTCCCCATGGAGCAAAATTACAATCAATGGAAGGGAGTTGTGAGGAGGTATATATATACTTGATATGAGGAAAATGTGTCTAACAATTGGAGTTTTCCAACAATAGAATAGACTGTTCCAGGAGCTAAGTTCCTCCATTACTTCAGGTGTTCCCAAAAGCTGAGTAAGCAATTATTAGGGATAATGTACAGCAGATTGATGCATCTTCTTAATACATTAGATCAAATGGTATCTAAGTTTTCTTCCAACTCTGAAAATGTGTGAAATTAACATAAATTAAGTCAACATCATATTAATGAGATAGAGGAATTATTGGTTGCATCAACAAAAGGTAATACATTCTGAGGGAACCACGTTGTGATTGGTAGAATCCCTTCCACTTCCTTAGCAAGCAGAGAACTAGCTTACAAATCCGTACCCACCATATAGGCAATAGGGATTCTGCTTTGTGTGTGTGTGGGTGGGTGTGTGTGTGTAGTCTTCTGTGAATATCCCTGACAATTTGAATGCATTGGGCAGTACTTAATCCAAATTATACATGCAGAATAATGATATTTCAACTATCCATTTTAAACCAGGAAAGAAGCCAAAGATTATTCCCCAAGGCATATTGGCCTGTGTACTTTCTTATCCCCAAGATCAATGAATCAATGAAACTTGTGGGTAGGCGTTATCAACAAGAGGACTAGAAATAAACTATTTTCTTTTTTTAATTTAGTTTTTATTTTTTTAGAGACAAGTTCTCACTATATCACCCAGGCTGAAATGCAGTGGTGACATCATAGCTCACTGCAGCCCCAAATTTCTGGGCTCAAGTGATCTTCCCACTTCTGCCTCCCAAGTAACTGAAATTACAAGCATCTGCCACCATGCCCAGATAATTTTTTTTGTAGTGATAGGGTCTTACTTTTCTGCCTAGGCCAATCCTCCCATGTCAGCCTCCCAAAGGGCTGGGATTACATGTGTGAACCACCACGCCTGGCCCATTTTTTCTCTTTTTTAACAAACCCGTGGTTCATCTGCCCCTGAAATCTGTGTAATTTTTATCACCATGTCTCAGAAAACAAATCACTAAGATTTAAGAGGGAGTGAGAGGAAGAAAACAGGTTTATTAAGTCCTAAGAGTATGTCAGATACTTTCACACATTTAAGCCAATTAATTACCACAACAACTTTGACAAGCAGGTATTTTAATCATATATATATATATATATATACACATACACATATATATACACATATGTGTATATATGTATATATGTATGTGTGTGTATATATATACATATATATATATATACACATACACACACATATACATACATGTGATCATATATATACACTTATGATTATCGGCAAGGTTAACCAGCTTCTCGAGGACATATAGTTATTAAGGGCAAATCCAGAGTTCAAAACCTAGTCATCTGATTCCAAATCCATTGGATTTTGCACGACACTTCAACGCCCAAAACAGACCAAAAAGGAGAGACCTCGTCAGCATGGAACAAACAAAATCTGAAAGGGACTATCAATAAAGCTTATAAACATAAGAAGTTTATATATTTTGGTAGCTTGATGTCATTCACCAAATTCCAATACATGAGTACTAGAAAGCTCTTTGAAACTTAACAATGCTGTTTAAGACAACTAATATGAAGCCCTGCTTTGCATAGTGGCTGGCAAACTTATGAGACTCACTACTCCCAAAGAATTGGTATAGACTGATAATCTAACCAGCTTCATAGAAGGTTTATGTAAATTGATGAGTAGTAGATGCCTAATGGATAATTAGAAGAAATTAGGATACCTGGAAGACAACCCTAACTTTTGAAGTGGATATCAATGAGGAAAACTAAGCCATTTCAAAATGTAATATCATGTATTAGCACCAGAATTTGATCCCAGTATTAGAGATACTCCCAGTGGGTAGCCAGCTAAACATTGGATGCAACTCTTGAGAAAATCTTGAATTCTAGAGGGTGGCTAAATCATGGAAACAACTCTTTTAAAAAATAATTTCAACTTTTTTTGTAGATTCAGGGGGTACATGTGCAGGTTTGTTAGCTGGGTATATTGCATGATGGTGAGATTTGGGGTACAATTGAGCCCATCACCCAAATAGTAAGCATAGTACCCAATAGGTAGTTTTTCAACCCTTGTTCCCCACCCCCCAACACAGTAGTCTCCATCATCTATTGGGAAACAACTCTTGAGCAATTCTTGTACTGTCATGAAGAATGAGATCTTGGGCACACCTTATGGGCGTCTTACACCATTATCTTCATTCCTTCAAATAGCTGAAAAACAAGGTCTAGCTTTTTGTTAGAGTTTGTAAAGCAGAGAAAGTAAAGTGAAGCAATGAACTCAAATATTAGAATTAACATTTTATTGCTAAGTGTTAGGCTCAAAGAGAGATGTGACCGTCTGGCTGACAAACCTCCCCCTGATCTGCAGCATCTTAATAACCTTTATGGGTGGCTTTGATGCAGACTGAAATTTGAGAATCACTGCTCTGAGGAAAAGCACTCTGGACTGGGACTGAAGAAACTTGGATTCTGGTTCCATTGCTTCCATAACTTTGCTGGGTAATTCTGATCAAATCACTTGCCCCTCTGGGCCTCAGTTACTTCTCTGTAAAATGAGAGTGTTGAACCAAATGATCTCTATGGTCTCACCTTACTCTAAAATATTGGTATAGTTCCTATTTTACCGGTTTATAGAATAACCTCGACTTAGTCATTTAACCTCAAAATCCTTCATTTTCTACCGATTTATTTAACAGTACCCATAATTTCTATGAAACCTTGTAATGTAGGAATGGGAGCCAGCTGTTTCCAATTCCGTGATTGAACCAGTTGATGCGTAGTAGTACCTGGAACAAGTTAAAGTCCCACACTTCCCATCTCAATCATTGGAATTAAAAATACAGTTAATGTGCTTAAGATACTGCCAAGTGTAGGAGTTTAGTGCTCAGTCACTCAGGTGATCCAAATTGGTTAACCACATTACCCTTGAAGTGTATAATGAGAGGGTAAACATGAAATTGTTTTCTCCTGATCTCTTTAAAAATCAAAGATTTCACACTCCCATACTGAAGGAACATGGGTTAACATAACTTAGTCATGTAATTTTCCCCGTACAAACCTCATAAAATCAAAGAAACAAAAAAATTGCAAAAGATAACACATTAAAAAAAAATTTAAAGGCATTGCCTAAGAGAAAAAAGTATGATAACACTTCACAAAGGCTAGCCTAGAGACACTCCCAGGGGGTAGCCAGCTAAACACTGGACACAACTCTTGAAAAAATCTTGAATTCTAGAGGGCAATGGAAGAGGCGCTCTCACTTATTGATGATGAGAATATAAATTAAATACAAATATTCTTAATGGCAGTTTGGCAGTATCTACAAAAAGACATGCTTTTTGACCTTGCAGTTCCACTTCAGAGAATTGATCCTATAGATATTTTTTGTGCATGTGCTGATGACATATATAAAAATTATTCATTGAAGCATTATTTGTATTAGCAAGAGAAGGGGGAAGAACAAATTTTCCTCAGAGACAGCCTGGTTAAATAAATTATGGTAACTTATAGTAAGTGAAAAAGAAGTAAGGTACAAAACAGTGTGTATCGAATACTGCCATTTGTGGAAAAACACACTATTTGGGTGATTTTATATGTATAAAATCATAAAGGATACACAACAAAGTCATGGCTTTGTGATGTTGGTTGCTTCCAGCGAGGAGAACTGGGTGGCTGGGGGACAGGTATAGAAGGAAGACTTTTCACTGTATACTATTCCATACTTTCAGATTTTAAAACTTATAAATATATTACTTTTAAAAAGAGATACAATTAAAAATGTTAAAATATTACAAATCTTTCATGTTTGTGGTGTACATATGTTTGTATAAACATATACAAATAAGAGGATCTGGAATGATACATACCAAACACCAAAGAGGTGTTGTGCCTTAGAATGGGGAGGTGAGAAGTTAGATGTATGTGTGGGGTGGACATTTACCTTTTACTTTATATTGCTTGAATTTTAAAATGAGATTTCATAGTTACAAAAATCAAGCACATATAAATGGTCTTGTCCTGTAGGGCTGGGAGAACTGAGCCAGGAGAGTAGAGTCTCTTTTTTTTTCAATTCAATTATAAATGTATGAGAGGCTCAGTCCTATTAAGTTGGTCTTGAGTCATTATTCCCTTGAGTCTTTCTGACGGATTGAAGTAATAAGACCATACCATTTAAGGACTCACAGTCTTGCAGTCTTATAACCACCTCTGTGGAGAATACCAAAATATCGCATATGAGAAGAGCTATCTAAAAGGCAAAGGGTATGAAAAGAAAGGTAGTAGAGAGCCACTTTTATAACTGTCTCAGAAGTACAACCCACACTTCAAAAGTATAT
Source organism: Homo sapiens (assembly GCF_000001405.40). NCBI lineage: Eukaryota > Metazoa > Chordata > Mammalia > Primates > Hominidae > Homo > Homo sapiens. The sequence goes on along the minus strand of NC_000023.11, from coordinate 75,479,881 downwards.
AATCTTCAATGGAATACTATTCAGCCATAAGAAAGAATGAAATCATGTCTTTTGCAGCAAGATGGATGGAACTGGAGGCCATTATCTTAAGTGAAACAACTCAGACACAGAAAGACAAATACCTCATGTTCTCACTCATAAGTGGAAGCTAAATAATGTGTACATATGGAAACAGACTGTGGAATGATAGATAATAGAGACTGGTATGGGTGAGGGGGTAGGAGAGGGGTGGATGATAAGAAACTACTCAGTAGGTACAATGTACATTATTCAAGTGATAGATACTCTTGAAAGCCCTGACTACACCACTGTGCAACCTATGCATGTAACGAAATTTTCCTTGTACTCCATGAATTTATACAAACTTTTTTAAAAGAAAAAAACTGTTTAGTCTTTAACACCTGGCTACATTATAGACTACCTGTGTGACTTTGGTTAATCAACTACCTCTGGTAGTTAATCGACTATCCCTATCTTATTACCTATCTTACAAATTTATTGAGAAAATAAAATGAAATAATATATGTGAAAGCATGTTGTAAACTCTAAAGTGCTGTGTAAATTGTGTCATTATCACCTTTCAGTACTCAAAGTAGCAAAGATAATGACAATTGGCTGAAGTAGTTTTCCCTACATTGTCATAAAGGACATTTCCCCCTTCAAGAATGACATGGCAACTTTTAAGGTGTGCAACTTGCAGAATGTCTTTGTTTCAGGTTTGTCATTATGGCTTGTTTCTGTCACTGTATGGGAAAATAAAATTAACACTTCATAATAATACCAGAGAATACATGTTAATAAGAAAACAATAAAAATTCGTCATGGAGCTTTGTATTTTTGAATTCTTAGAAATGGATAAAAAGATAGTATAAACACTGATTTTTTTTTTATTTCAGTTATTTACCTCATACTCTACCATGCCATCTTTGTGTTCTTTACCTGGACCTACTGGAAGTCTATCTTTACACTCCCACAGCAGCCAAACCAGAAGGTAAGAATATTGGTTACTTCTTAAAGGATAAGAACAGAAAAAAGTAGAAGTGACAATAAAGCAAGAAGAGGACAAAAAGAGGAGTAAATAATACGAAAGAGTCAGGGTAATCTTAAAGAACTCCTAGTGATAAAGGTGAATTGAGGGTAGGATAGGCTATTGAAGGAGTTTGTGAAATCACCAGCTCTGGATATCTTTAATACTAAGAAGCCAACTGGGTGCTGTGGCTCACACCTGTATTCCCAACAATTTTGGAGGCTGAGGTGGGAGAATCACTTGAAGCTAGGAGTTTGAGACCTAGGCAACAAAGTGAGACCCTGTCAATACACAGAATTTTTTAATTATCTGGGCATGGTGGAGCACACCTGTGTTCCCAGCTACTCAGGAGGCAGAGGCAGGAGGATTACTTAAACCCAGGAGTTTGAGGCTGCGGTGACCTGTGATGGTGCCACTACACTCCAGCCTGAGTGACAGAGTAAGACCCTGTCTCAAATTTTAAAAAGAGTAGGAAACCACTACCTGCATTGGTGATATAATTAGAAAACAAGAACCCACTTGGACTCTGAGGCCTCATCTAATTCAATTCTATGAAACTACTATTTTAGTACCAGTGATTATTTTATTTATTTAGTGCTGTTATTTCATTCCAGTGAGACTCTGAAATACAACTCTGAGAAAAAAGCACAATAGTTAAATAAATCATTTTCAGACTGTGTTACCTTAAATGCGAGTGTTTCATGCAATATTTTTAAAGGTTCATGAAATAATTTGTGATTATATCAGGCATTTGTAATGTGTAACTACTCTAAATTAGGGTAGGTTCCAAAGTAGTAAAAGAACAATAGGGAAACTTTCCAGCCTCCGAACATTAGGAAAAATACTGTCTCCTTAATGAAGCCAAAATGGTGCACAAGAAAAATAAAGTTAACTACAGAGAAAGGCAACAATGTAGAAATTGAGGAATGTAAGAGATATGAGATATGAAGAAAATAAAGAGTAAAATGACAGAAGTTATTCATAATAAGTAATTACTTGAAACATAAATGGATTAAACTATTCAATTAAAAGGTTGAAATTGGCAGAATGGATAAAAAATTGTGATTTACCTTTATACTGTTTACAAAAGTCTAACTTTAGAACCAGAAACATAAATAGGTTGAAAATGTAAAGCTAGAAAAAGATATCACTAGTAAATAGTAATCAAAACAGAGCAAGGGTGGTTATATTAATATCATACAACAAAGACTCTTTAAGTAAAAAAATGTTACAAGAGACGAAGAAGGACATATATTTACAAAAGAGTCAATTTATCAAGAATATGTGACAGTTATAAAATATATGTGTGTAATAAGAGAGCCCCAAATTATAAGAAGCAAAAACTGAGAGAAGTAAAGAAAAAAATACACAATAACAGTTACACAGTAATAGTTGGAGACTTCAATACCCCACTTGCAATAATGGATACAATAACTAAACAGAAGGTCAATAAGGAAATGGAGGATTTGAACAACACCAAACCAGCTACATGTAACACACCTATATAGATCACCCAAAAAGAGTAAAATGTACTTTCTTCCTAAGTGTACGCAGAACATTTTCCAGTATAGACCATATATTAGGCCATAATACAAGACTCAATAAATTTAAAAGACACAAAATATCTTCTCTGATTGTGATGGAATGAAACCACAAATCAATAACACAAAGAAATCTACAGTTTCATAAATATGTGGAAATTAAACACATGCTTAACAAATGAATCAAATAAGACAGCATAAGGGAAATTAGAAAATATTTTGAGATGAATGAAAACAAGAAAAAACTTAACAGAAATTAGGGGATGCAATAAAGCAGTGCTCAGAAAAAAATTTATGGCTGTAAGTACCTTCATTTAAAAAGGATAAAAATTTCAAAATAGTCTGACTTTTCATCTTAAAAAACCATAAAATAAATAGCAATCTAAAACCAAAGTAATCAGAAGGAAATAATAAAGATTAGAACAGAAGTAAACAAAATGAGGAATAGAAAATAATACAGAGACCCAACAAAACCAAAACTGAGGGTTAACAAAATTGTCAAACCTTTATTTAGCTAGACTGAAAAGGAGAGAAGGAGGGAAGAGAAGGGAAAAGAGGAGAGAAGGGAAGGGAGGGGAGGAAGAGGAGGAGAGGAGAAGGGAGGGAAGGGAGGAGAAAGGAACATAAAAAAGAGTACAGGCACAAATTACTTATATTAGGAAGGGAGGGAGGGAAGAAAGGAAAGAAGGAAGGAACAAAGGAAGGGAAGGAGGGAGGAAAAAAGGAAGACGTAAATTACTAATATCAGAAGTGAAAGTGGAGATGTAACTACCAACTTTAAATAAATTGAATTATAAGAAAATAATATGAAGAATTGTGTGCCCCTAAATTTGATAACCTAGATGAAATGGAAAAACTTTTAGAAAGACACAAACTGCCAAAACTGACTCAAGAAGAAATAAAAAATCTGAATAGACTTTTAACAAGTAAAGATATAGAATTAGTAATCAAAAACCTGCCAACAAAGAAAACCCAAGGACCAGATGGCTTCACAGATGAATTCTATCAAATATTTAAGGAATAATTAACATCAATCCTTCCCAAATTTCTTAAAAAAAAAAATAAGAAACATTTCCTCTGGCTAGTGCAAGTAGGCAAGAAAATCAAATAAAAGACATTGAAATTGAACAGGAAGAAGTAAAATTATCTCTGTTTGTAGGTATGATCTTACATATAGAAAACCGTAAATATTCCACATGTAAAACCCTATTATAAATAATAAATGAATTCAGCAAAGTTGCAGGATACAAAATCACCACATCACGCAAAAACCAATTATGTTTTGATACACTAACAATGAACAATCTGAAAGGAAACTAAAAAAGCAATTTCATTTATAATAGCACCAAAAACATAAAATACTTAGGAATAAACATAACCAAAAAAGTGAAAGACTTCTAAAGTGAAAACTAAAAAATGTCACTGAAAGAAAGTAGACATGAATAAAGGGAAAAGCATCCTGTATTCATGAATTGGAAGAGTTAATATTGTTAAAACGTAAATACTATCCAAATCAATCTATAGATTTAATGCAATTTATATCAAAATCCCAATGATCTTTTTTTTGCAGAAATAAAAAGTCATTTTCTAAAATTTATATGGAATATCAAGAGATCCCACATACCAAAAACAATCTTGAAAAAGAACAAAGTTGTAGCTTCACACTTCCTGATTTCAGAATTTACTGCAAAGCTACAGTAATCAAAACAATGTGGTACTAGCATAAGGACAGATATGTAGACCAATGGAATAGGATAAAGAGCCCAACAACAAACACTTGCATATTTGGTCAGAAATCTTCAACAACCATGCTAAAAGCATTCTAATGGAGAATGCACAGTCTTCAACAAGTGGTGTTGGGATAACTGGATGTCCATATCCAAAATAATGACGTAGAACCTTTACCTCACACCATATATAAAAATTAACTTAAAATAGATCCAAGATCTAAACTTAAGAGCTAGGATTATAAAACTTAGAAAAAAAATCCACAGAGGAATATTTTTATAACATTGGTTTGGGAATTTCTTGGATATGACACTGTAAAAAAGTAAACATACATAAATTGGACTACATCATAATTTAAAATTTTCATATGTCAAAGGATACATTTAACAGAGTGAAAAGGCAGCCTACAGAATAGCAGAAAATATAAGTAATATGTTAGATAAACAGTTATTATACAGAATATTTAAAACCTACAGCTAAACAAAAAACTTTTTTTTATTTATTTTTATTTATTTATTTATTTTTTTGAGACGGAGTCTCGCTCTGTCGCCCAGGCAGGAGTGCAGCGGCGCAATCTCGGCTCACTGCAAGCTCCACCTCCGGGTTCACGCCATTCTCCTGCCTCAGCCTCCCGAGTAGCTGGGACCACAGGCACCCGCCACCACGCCTGGCTAATTTTTTGTATTTTTTTTAGTAGAGATGGGGTTTCACCGTGTTAGCCAGGATGGTCTCGATCTCCTGACCTCATGATCCACCCGTCTCGGCCTCCCAAAGTGCTGGGATTACAGGCATGAGCCACCGCGCCCGGCCAACTCATTTTATTTTTAAAAAATAATTTCAATTTTTATTTTAGTTTCAAGGGTTATATGTGCAGATCAGTTTTAAAATGGGTAAATAACTTGACAGTTCTCCAAAGAAGATACCTCAATGATCAGGAATATTTTAGTCAGGGTTCTCTAGACGGACAGAACTAACTGTGTGTGTGTGTGTGTGTGTGTGTGTGTGTGTGTGTATAAAGGGGATTATATATATATATATAAAGGGGATTATATATATATATATACACACATATGGGAGTATATAAAAGTGTAAGTATAATAAAAGTACATATATGTGTGTGTGTGTGTGTGTGTGTGTATATATATATATATAAAGGGGAGTTTATTAAGTATTAATTCACACAATCACAAGGTCTCACAATAGGCCATCAGCAAGCTGAGGAGCAAGGAAAGCCAGTCTGAATCCCAAAAATGAAGAAGTTGGAGTCCGATGTTTGAGGGCATGAAAGGTCCAGCACAGGAGAAAGATCGAGGCTTGGAGGCTAGGCCAGTCTAGTCTTTTCACGTTTTTCTGCCTGCTTTATATTCACTGGCAGCTGATTAGATGGTGCCCATCCAGATTAAGGGTGGGTCTGCCTTCCCAAGCCTACTGACTCAAATCTTAATCTCCTATGGCAGCACCCTCACAGACACACCCAGGATCAGTCCTTTGCATCCTTCAATCCAATCAAGTTGACACTCAGTATTAACCATCACAAGTCCACCCTTGTCAAGTTGAAACCATACACATCTCCTGAGACCATACATAATCTTCAAATCAAGACAATAATAAGGTCATAATTATGCCTGACATGATACAACTATCCTTTGTACAACAGAAACGCACCAATACCCAAACCAAATGCTATTACATAAAGTTAACAATACTTAAATGCTGATATGAAGTCAATAAATCTTATGTCACATGATAAAGGAAAAAGGAAATGGAAGATATTTTCTTAGTACGAGTGTATACATGCACAAATATGTTTTTAAGAAAAGAAGGAGGAAATACTCATGATAATTATAGTTCTTGTTTCTGCAACTGGTCACATGGTTGTAGCTGGTATTGATGACCACCTTCTACTCCTGTATTACATGCATATTCTTTCTTACCTCCGTTGTGGAGTAATAAATTGATTTCATCTTGATAGTCTGGGTCAGTCACCCCAGGGAACACTATAACTCCATTCTTAGCTTGTTGACTTAAAGGTAGGAGGAGCCCAAACTGTCCAGGTGGCAATCTTAACTTCCAGTTTAATGGAATCGTTGTGTCTCCTGGTGGCAATGTTCCTCCATCTGGAACAAAGACCTCTGGGCAAGCAGAACATAATGTTGTGGGAACAGGAAGCAAAAATTTTGCTAGTGGATCACTAGGGGTGATAGTGAGTAGTGCCACTTCCACTTCCACCACTTGATTTCTAGACACATGAATCCTGCCTATGCAAGAAAGAGTACCATATATTGGATGCTGATTGAAAGCATACACGGCCTTCTGGAGAACTATGCCCCAGCTCTGCAAAGTATTGTCACCTAGTTGACATGTAATTGTGATTTCAAAAGGCTATTCCACTGTTCTATCAATCCAGCTGCTTCGGGATGATAGGGAACATGGGAATTCCATGAGCATGAGCCCACTGCCTCACGTCTTTAGCCGTAAAGTGAGTGCATTGGTTAGAGGCAGTGCTGTGTGGATTACCGTGATGGTGGATAAGGGATTCCATGAGTCCATGTATTGTATTGACAGAAGCATTGTGTGCAGGATAGGTAAACCTGTATTCGGAGTCAGTATCTATTCCAGTGAGGAAAAACCTCTGCCCATTCCTAATAAATGAAGTCCAGTATAATCAACCTGCCACCAGGTAGCTGGCTGATCACCCCAAGAAATGGTGCCAGTTTGAATGCTGAGTGTTGGTCTCTGCTGCTGGCAAAATTGGGCACTCAGCAGTGGCCATAGCCAGGTCGACCGTGGTGAGTGGAGGTCCATATCACTGAGCCCATGCATAACCTCCATCCTTGCCACCACAGCCACTTTGTTCATGGGCCCATTGGGCGATGACAGGGGTGGCTGGGGAAAGAGGCTGAGTGATGTCCACAGAACAGGTCGTCCTATCCACTTGATTATTAAAATCCTCCTCTGCTGAAGTCACCCGTTGGTCACCACTCACATGGGATACAAATATCTTCACAGTTTATGACCACTCAGAGAGGTCCATCCACATACCTCTTCCCCAAATTTCTTTGTCACCAATTTTCCAATCATGCTTCTTCCAAATCCCTAACCATCCAGCCAAACCATTGGCTACAGCCCATGAATCAGTATATAATTGCACATCTGGCCATTTCTTCCTCCATGCAAAGTGCACAACCAGGTGTGGTGCTCAAAGTTCTGCCCCATGGGAAGATTTCTTTACACCGCTGTCCTTCCAGGATGTCCTAGAAAGGGGCTGTAGTGCTGCAGCTGTCCACTTTTGGGTGGTGCCTGCATTTCGTGTAGAACCATCTGTGAACCAGGCCCTAGTAATCTCTTCCTCTGTCAATTGATCATAGTGAACCCCCCATGAGGCCATCAGTGCAGGCTGGGGGAGAGAAGGCAAGGTGGCAGGAGTGGAGACCATGGGCATTTGAGCTACTTTGTCATGTAACTTGTGCCTTCAGGACCTGCTCGAGCATGATCACGTATATACCACTTCATTTGATGATCGAATACTGATGTGCACAACCAACTTTATGGCTAGATGGGTCACAGAGTGCCCAGTTCATGATAGATAGTTCAGGTCACGTGGTGACTTTATGACCCATAGTCAATCGTTCAGTTTCCACCAAAGCCCAGTAATAGGCCAAGAGCTGTCTCTCAAAAGGAGAGTAGTTATCTGCAGAAGATGGCAGGGCCTTGCTCCAAAATCCTAGAGACCTCTGCTGTGATTCACCTGTGGGAGCCTGCCAAAGGCTCCAAACAGCATCCCTATCTGCCACTGACAACTCAAGCACTGTTGGATCTGCTGGGTCATATAGCCCAAGTGGCAGAGTAGCTTGCACAGCAGCCTGGACCTGTTGAAGAGCCTTCTCCTGTTCTGGACCCAACTCAAAACTGGCAGCCTTTTCGGTCACTCGATAAATGGGCCAGAGTAACATGCTCAAATGAGGAATGTGTTGCATCTAAAATCCAAATAGGCCCACTAGGCATTGTGCTAATTTCTTGGTTGTAGGAGGGGCCAAATGCAGCAACTTATCCTTCACCTCAGAAGGAATATTTTGACGGCCTCACACCACTGGAACCCTGGAAATTTTACTGAAGTAGAAGGTCCCTGAATTTTAGTCAGATTTATTTCCCATCCTCTGGCATGCAATTGTCTCACCAATAAGTCCAGTGTATTTGCTACTTCTTACACACTGGATCCAATCAGCATAATGTCATCAATGTAATGGACCAGTGTGATATCTTGCAGAAGCGAAAAACGATCAAGGTCTCTCCCAATAAGATAATGTCACAAAGACAGAGAGTTGATATACTCCTAAGGTAGGACAATAAAGGTATATTACTGGCCTTGCCAGCTGAAGGCAAATTGCTTCTGGTGGGCCTTATGGACAGGAATGGAGAAAAAGGCATTTACTAAGTCAATGTCTGCATACCAGGTACCAGGAGATGTGTTAATTTGCTCAAGCCATGAAACCACATCTGTTATAGCAGCTGCAATTGGAGTCATCGTGAAGCTTACGATAATCCACTGTAATTCTCCAAAATCCATCTGTTTTCTGTTCAGGCCAAATTGGAGAGTTGAAGGAGGATGTAGTGGGAATCACCACCGCTGCATCTGTCAAGTCTGTGATGGTGGCACTAATCACAATCCCTCCAGGGATGTGATACTGTTTTTGATTTATTGTGTTTCTAGGTAGAGGCAGCTCTAATGGCTTCCATTTGGTCTTTCCCACCATAATAACCCTCACCCTATCAGTCAGGGAGCCATTGTGGGGATTCTGCCAGCTGCTAAGTATGTCTATGCCAATTATGCATTCTGGCACTGGGGAAATGACCACAAGATGAGTCCGGGGACCCACTGGACACCAGACACTGTAAATCAGACCTGAGCTAAAACTCCATTAATTACCTGACCTCCATAAGCACCTACTTTAACTGGAGGACCGTAATGACATTTTTGCTTGCCTGGAATCATCAGCTCAGAGCCAGTGTCCAGTAGTTCCCAAAATGTCTGATCATTTCCCTTTCCCCAGTGCAGTTACCCTGGTAAAAGGCCACATGTTTCTTTGGGGAAGGATGGGAGAAAGATTATGTTCCTTGGTTCTCCACATATGGTCAAAGGTATTATGTATAGAGTCACTAAACTCCTCGCCTCTCACAAGCCATGAAACTCCAGGAGTTTGTTAAGTATTAACTCCCACAATCACAAGGGCCCACAATAGACCATCTGCAAGCTGAGGAGCAAGGAAAGCCAGTCCGAGTCCCAAAACTGAAGAACTTGGAGTCCAATGTTCGAGGGCAGGAAGGCTCCAGCTTGGCAGAAAGATGTAGCCTTGGAGGCTAGGCAGTCTAGTCTTTTCGCGTTTTCCTGCCTGCTTTATATTCGCTGGTAGCTGATTAGATGGTGCTTACTCAGATTAAGGGTGGGTCTGCCTTCCCCATCCCACTGAGTCAAATGTTAATCTCCTTTGGCAGCAGCCTTGCAGACACACCCAGGATCCTTTGCATCCCTCAGTCCAATCAAGGTGACACTCAATATTAACCATCACAAAGAAGCACATGAAAAGATGCTGAATATCGTTAATCATTAGATTAATGCAAATCAAAACAATGAGATACCACCTCACACCCTTTATTAAAATCTTTTTTAAAAGGCTTACTATAAAAAAAACTGTAAAACAGCAAGTGTTGGTGAAGATGTAAAGAAATTGGAACATTTGAAGGCTGTTGGTGGGAATGGTAAAATGGTGTAACTGCTATGGAAAACAGTATAATGGTTCCTCAAATAGTTGAAAATAGCACCACCACAGGGTCTAGCAATTCCACTTTTGGGTTTATACCCAAAAGAGTTGACAGCAAGGTCTCAAAGAGATGGCTGTATATCTATGTTTATAGTGTTATTCACAATAGCCAAAAGGTGGAAGCAACCCAAATGAACTGGTAAGTAAAATCAAGTATATACATACAATGGAATATTATTCAGCTTTTGGAAAGAGAGGGAAATTCTGACACATGCTACCACATGGACGAAACTTCAGGACATCGTACTAAGTGAAATAAACCAGTAACAAAAGGCTAATATGTATGATTCTACTTATATGAGGTACCTAAAGTAGACGAATTCACAGAGAAAAAGTAGAATGGTCTTTGCTAAGACTGGGAGGAGAGGGAAATGTGGAGTTATTTAATTAGTATAGAATATCAGTTTGGGAAGATGAATAAAGTTCTGGAGATGGATGGTAGTGATGGTGGAACAGTAATGTGAATGTACTTAATACCACTGAACTATATAATTTAAAATGGTTAAATTTCATTACACATATTTATCACATTATTTTAAAAAGGACCAAATGCTTAAATGTAAGGCCTAAACTTACAAAACTCTTTGAGTAAAACTTAGGGGAAAATCTTTATTATCTTGGATTTGGCAATGAATTCTTTGATATGACACCAAAAGCACAAGTAATAAAAGAAAAAGTGGATAAATTTGACTTCATCAAAGTTAAAAAAAAAAGCCTTTTGTACATCAAACAACACTATCAAGAAAGTGAGATGATCATCCAAAGAATGGGAGAAAATATTTGCAAGTCATGTATCTGATGTGTCAAGTGTTCAGAATATATCAAGAATTTCTACAAATAAACAACAAGAAAACAAACAACCAAATTTAAAACTGGTGAAAGGATTTGAATAGACATGTCTCCAAAGAATATATACAAATAGCCAAAAAGCACAGAAAAGATGCTTGACATCATTAGTTACTAGAGAATTGCAAACAAGACCATGATAGATACCTACTAGGATAGCCAAATTAAATAAATGAATGAATGAAAAATAATAACTCTTGGAGAGGATGTGAAGAAATCAGAATCTTCATACATTGCTACTAGGAATGTAAAATGGTATGACTGATGTGAAAACAGCTGTGCAAATTTTCATGAAGTTAAATATATAATTACCATGTGACCCAGAAATCCCACTCCTAGATACATACCCAAAATAATTGAAAACAGGTGTTCAAACAAGTACTTATACATAACTATTCATAGCAGCACTATTCACTATAGCCAAAAGGTAGAAACAGTCCAAATTTTCATCAGTGAATAAATGGATAATGAAGGTGTTGTATGTCCATATGCTGGCTGGAATTTTATTCAGCCATGAAAAGGAATGTAGTACTGATACATGGTACAACACGGATGAACCTTGAAAACATTATGCCAGGGCTGGGCTCGTGGCTCATGCCTGTAATCCCAGCACTTTGAGAGGCCGAGGCAGGCGGATCACCTGAGGTCGGGAGTTCGAGACTAGCCTGACCAACTTGGAGAAACCCCGTTTCTACTAAAAATACAAAATTAGCCGGGCATGGTGGTGCATGCCTGTAATCCCAGTTACTCGGGAGGCGGAGGCAGGAGAGTCGCTTGAACCCAGGAGGCAGAGGTTGTGGTGACCCGAGATTGTGCTATTGCACTCCAGCCTAGGCAACAAAGAGCAAAACTCTGTCTAAAAAAAAAAAAAAAAAAAAATTATGCCAGTTGAAAGACACCAGACACTGAAGGCCACATAGTTTTGATTACATTTATGTGAAATATCCAGAAAGGCAAATCCATAGAGACAGAATTCAAATTAATAGTTCCCAGGCTCTGGGGATAGAGAGAAATGGAGAATAACTGTTATTAGGTATGGTGTTTCCTTTTGGGGAGATGAAACTCTTCTGGAACTAGATAGCGGTAATGGTTGCACAACACTCTGTACTAAATGCTACTGAATTGTACACTATAAAATGGACACTTTAAATGGAATTTATGTTATGTGAATTTTGCCTAAATAAAAATGACTGTCGTCATCACCTTATGAAGCTTGTAGGCCAGTAGAAAGTCTGATTGTTTGGGAATTTCATAGCCCTAACCTGGGTGAGATGATGACAGAATTTAGACATCCACTACAAATATCTAACACTTAAGACCACATCTTTATTATTTTTAACGTGTAAAAAGAAAAGGAGAGTACATTGGGCCAATTTAATAGCCACAGTATTACATTCTTTAATACCCAAGTACATCCCAATCTATCATCAATTGCCTCATCCAAAATGCATTTACTGGCTCACTGTATTATAAGTTTTCAATAAGGCTTGTTAGTGCCAGAATTAGGGCATCCAGGCCTGACATCTTATTCCAAACAAAAGCCAGTTTGTTAAGTAGACATGAGATATTTATCACATACAAATAGAAAATCCTCTTCCTGTGCCTTTCAAGTAGGTGCAGTGTACTATAAGGAAGTTATATTCCCAAGGACATCCCAGAAATTAAAGTGCCACCACAAGGTGCTACTTTTAATTATAATGTTAAAAAGAATTTTTAAAACCTTATAATTTTGTCTTAACTGGTATAACTGTTCTTCTAAGTAAACAAAATAACCAGTTGTTTTTCATATTACTTTGCAGTATTTAGTTCATTTAGCTACTGTTTTATAATATCAATTTATTGACTTTTGTTTTTTTCTTTGTCTTAAACTTTTATTTTAAGTTCAGGGGTACATGTGCAGGATATGCAGATTTGTTATACAGGTAAATGTTTGCCATGGTGCTTTGCTGCACAGATAATCCCATCACCTAGGTGTGAATCCCAGCATCCATTAGCTCCTCTTCCTGATGCTGTCCCTCCCCCCACCCCTAACAGGCCCCAGTGTGTGTTGTTCCTCTTCCTGTGTCCATGTGTTCACATTGTTCAGCTCCCACTTATAAGTTAGAACGTATGGTGTTTGGTTATCTGTTCCTGTGTTAGTTTGCTGAAGATAATGGCTTCCAACTCCACCCATGTCCCTGTAAAGGACATGATCTCCTTCCATTTTATGGCTACATAATATTCCATGGTGTATATGTACCACATTTTCTCTATCCAGTCTATCATTGATGGACATTTAGGTTGATTTCATGTCTTTGCTATTGAGAATAGTGCTGCAATGAACATATGCATGCATGTATCTTTATTTATTTATTTATTTATTTTTAAAGAAAAGAGGTTTAATTGACTCACAGTTACACATGGCTGGGCAGGCCTCAGGAAACTTACAATTAATGCATGTATCTTTAAACTCAAATAATTTATATTTCTTTGGGTATATACCAAGTAATGGGATTGCTGGGTCAAATGGTATTTCTGGCTCTAGGTCTTCAAGGAATTGCCACACTATCTTCCACAATGATTGAACTAATTTACACTCCCACCAACAGTGTAAAGGCATTCTTTTATCTGCAACCTTGTCAGCATCTGTTGCTTTTGACTTTTTAGTAATAGCCATTCTGACTGGCGTGAGATAGTATCTCTTTGTGGCTTTGATTTGTGTTTAATAATCAGTGATGTTGAGCTTTTTTTACATGTTTGTTTTGGCCACATCTATGTCTTCTTTTGAGAAGTGTTTGTTCATGTCGTTTGCCCACTTTTTACTGGGGTTGTTTGTTTTTTTCTTAGAAATTTAAGTTCCTTGTGTAATAGACTCTGGATATTAGACTTTTGTTAGATGGAGAGATTGTAAAACTTTCCTCCCATTCTTTAGGTTGTGTGTTCACTCTGATGATGGTTTCTTTTGCTGTGCAGGAACTCTTTAATTACATCCCATTTGTCAATTTTTTCTTTTGATGCAATTGCTTTTGGTGTTTTCATCATGAAATATTTGCCTGTGCCTATGTCCTGAATAGTATTGCCTGGATTTTCTTCTAGGGTTTTTACAGTTTCAGGTTTTATACTTAAGTCTTTTAATCCATCTTGAGTTAACTTTTATATAAGGTGTAAGGAAGGGGGCCAGTTACAATTTTCTGCATATGGCTAGGCAGCACTCCCAGCATCATTTACAAAATAGGGAATCCTTTCCCCATTGCTAGTTTTTGTCAGGTTTGTCAAAGATCACATGTTTTTGGCGTGTGGTCTTATTTCTGGGTTCTGTTTTCTGTTCCATTGGTCTATGTGTCTGTTCTTCTGCCCATACCATACTGTTTTGGTTACTGTAGCCTTGTAGTATAGCTTGAAGTCTGTAGCATGGTGCCTTTAGCTTTTTTCTTAGGATTGTCTTGGCTATTCAGGCTCTTTTTTGGTTCCATACGAATTTTTAAATAGCTTTTTCTAATTCTCTGAAGAATGCCAGTGATAGTTTAATGGGAATAGCATTCAATCCATAAATTACTTTGGGCAGTTTGGCCATTTTCCCGATATTGATTCTTCCTATCTCATGAGCATGGAATGTTTTTACATTTGTTTGTGTCCTCTCTGATTTTGTTGAGCAGTGGTTTGTAGTTCTCCTTGAAGAAGTCTTTCACTTCTCTTGTTAGCTGTATTCCTAGGTATTTTATTCTTTTTGTGACAATTGTGAATGGGATTTCATTTATAATTTGGTTCTCTGCTTACCAGTTGTTGATGTATAGGAAGGCTAGCGATTTTTGCACATTAATTTTGTATCCTGAGACCTTGCTGAAGTTGCTTATTAGCTTCAGAAGCTTTTGAGCTGAGACAATAGGGTTTTCTACATATAGGATCATGTCATGTGCAAACAAGGATAGTTTGACTTCCTTTATTCCTATTTGAATGCCCTTTATTTCTTTCTCTTGGCTGATTGCCCTGGCCAGAACTTCCAATAATATGTTGAATAGGAGTGGTGAGAGAGGGCATCCTTATCTTGTGCCAGTTTTCAAGGGAAATGCTTCCAGGTTTGCCCACTTAGTATGATATTACCTGTGGCTTTGTGATAAATGGCTCTTATTATTTTGAGGTATGTTCCTTCAATACCTGGTTTATTGAGAGTTTTAAACATGAAGAGATGTTCAATTTTATCACAGGCCTGCATCTATTGAGATAATGATGTGGTTTTTGTCTTTAGTTCTGTTTATATGATAAATCACATTTATTGGTTTGCATATGTTGAATGAACCTTGTATCTGGGGATGAAGCCACCTTGATTGTTGTGAATAGCTTTTTGATATGCTGCTGGATTCATTATGCCAGTATTTTATTGAGGATTTTTACATCAATGTTTATCAAGGATATTGACCTGATGTTTTCTTTTTTTGTTTTAACAAGCAGGAGGTAGCAGTTTTTATTTTTATTTTTTGTGAGTTTATTTTTTATTTTATTTTATTTTATTATACTTTAAGTTCTAGGGTACATGTGCACAACGTGCAGGTTTGTTACATATGTATACATGTGCCATGTTGGTGTGCTGCACCCATTAACTCGTCATTTACATTAGGTATATCTCCTAATGCTTTCCCTCCTCCCTTCCCCTACCGCACAACAGGCCCCGGTGTGTGACGTTCCCCTTCCTCTGTCCAAGTATACTCATTGTTCAATTCCCACCTATGAGTGAGAATATGCGGTGTTTGGTGTTTTCTCCTTGTGACAGTTTGCCGAGAATGATGGTTTCCAGCTTCATCCGTGTCCCTGCAAAGGACATGAACTCATCCTTTTATATGGCTGCATAGTATTCCATGGTGTATATGTGCCACATTTCCTTAATCCAGTCTATCATTGTTGGACATTTGGGTTGGTTCCAAGTCTTTGCTTTTGTGAATAGTGCCGCAATAAACATACGCGTGCGTGTGTCTTTATAGCAGCATGATTTATAATCCTTTGGGTATATACCCAGTAATGGGATGGCTGGGTCAAATGGTATTTCTAGTTCTAGATCCTTGAGGAATGGCCACACTGTCTTCCATAATGGTTGAACTAGTTTACAGTCCCACCATCAGTGTAAAATTTTTCCTATTTCTCCACATCCCTCCTGTTGTTTCCTGACTTTTTAATGATTGCCATTCTAACTGGTGTGAGATGGTATTTCATTGTGGTTTTGATTTGCATTTCTCTGATGGCCAGTGATGATGAGCATTTTTTCATGTGTCTGTTGGCTGCATAAATGTCTTCTTTTGAGAAGTGTCTGTTCATATCCTTCGCCCACCTTTTGATGGGTTTTTTGTTGTTGTTGTTGTTGTTGTTGTTGTTGTAAATTTGAGTTCTTTATAGATTCTGGATATTAGCCCTTTGTCAGATGAGTAGGTTGCAAAAATTTTCTCCCATTCTGTAGGTTGCCTGTTCACTCTGATGGTAGTTTCTTTTGCTGTGCAGAATTTGTTGTATCTCTTCCAGGTTTTGGTATCAAGATGAAGTTAGCCTCACAGAATGAGTTGGGGAAGAGTCTCTCCTTTTCAATTTTTTGGAATAGTTTCAGTAGAAATGATACCAGCTTTTCTTTGTAACTCTGGTAGAATTCAGCTGTGAATTCATCTGGTCCTGGGCTTTTTTTGATTGGTAGGCTGTTTATTACTGCCTCAAATTCAGAACTCATTATTGGTCTATTCAAGGATTTAATTTCTTCCTTGTTCAGTCTTGGGAGGGTGTATGTACCCCGGAATTTATTCTAAATTTTCTCATTTATGTACATAGAGGTTTTATAGTATTCTCTGATGGTTGTTTGTATTTCTGTGGGATCAGTGGTGATATCCCCTGATCATTTCTGATTGTGTTTATTTGATTCTTCTCTCTTTCCTTCTTTATTAGTCTGGCTAGTGGTCTATCTATTTGATTAATTTAAAAAACCCTGGATTTGTTGATTTTTTTTGAAGAGTTTTTTCATGTCTCTGTCTCCTTCAGTTCAGCTCTGATCTTGGCTATTTCTCGTCTTCTGCTAGCTTTGGTGTTTCTTTGCTCTTGGTTCTCTAGTTCTTTTAGTTGTGATATTAGGGTGTCAATTTGAGATCTTTCTAGCTTTTTGGTGTGGGGATTTAGTGCTATAAATTTCCCTCTTAACACTATTTTAGCTGTGTCCCAGAGATTCTGGTACATTGTCTTTTGGTTCTCATTCGTTTCAAAGAACTTGTTGATTTCTGTCTTAATGTCATTATTTGCCCAAGAGTCATTCAAGAGCAGGTTATCCAATTTCCATGTAGTGGTGTGGTTTTGAGTTAATTTCTTAATCTTGAGCTCTAATTTATTATGCTTTGGTCTGAGAGACTGTTATGATTTCAGTTCTTATGCATTTGCTGAGGAGTGTTTTACTTCCGTTTATATGCTCAATTTTAGAGTAAGTGCCATGTGGCAATGAGATGAGTGTTTATTCTGTTGTTTATGGCTGAAGAGTTCTGTAGATATCTATCAGGTCCTCTTGATCCAGAGATGTGTTCGGGTTCTGCATATCCTTGTTAATTTTCTGTGTTGATGATCTGACTAATACTGTCAGTGGAGTGTTAAAGTCTTTCACTATTACTGTGTTAGAATATAAGTCTTTTTGTAGATCTCTAAGAACTTGCATTATGAATATGGGTGCTCCTGAATTTGGTGCATATATATTTAGAAAGCTCTTCTTGTTGAATTGAACCTTTTTCCATTATGTAATATCCTTCTTTGTCTTTTTTTATTTTTGTTGGTTTAAAGTCAGTTTTGTTAGAAACTAGGATTGTAACCTCTACTTTTTTCTGTTTTTCATTTGTTTGATAAATTTTCCTCCATCCCTTTATTTTGAGCCTATGTGTGTCTTTGCACTTGAGATGGTCTCTTGAAGACAGCATACCAATGGGTCTTGGCTCTTTGTCCAGATTTATAGTCTGTGTCTTTTAATTGAGACATTTAGCCCATTTACATTTAAGGTTAATATTGTTATGTGTGAGTTTGATCCTGTCATCATGATGCTAGCTGGCTATTTTGCAGACTTGTTTATGTGGTCATTCCATAGTGTCACTGGTCTGTGTACTTCAGTGTGTTTTTGTAGTGACTTGTAACAGTCTTCCCTTTCCATATTTAGTGCTTCCTTCAGGAGGTCTTGCAAGGCAGGCCTGGTGGCAATTAATTCCCTCAGTATTTTCTTGTCTGAAAAGGATCTTATTTCTCCTTCAGTTAGGAAGCTTAGTTTGGTAGGTGTCAAATACTGGGCTGAAAATTATTTTCTTTAAAAATGTTGAATATTGGCCCCAATCTCTTCTGGCTTTTAGGGTTTCCACTGGGAGATCTGCTGTTAGTCTGATCTACTTTCCTTTGTAGGTAATGTGGCCTTTTGCTCTGGCTGCCCTGAATATTTTCTTTATTTCAACCTTGGAGAATCTGATGATTATGTGTCTTGGAATTGATTTTCTCATGGAGTATCTTACTGGGGTTCTCTGCATTTCCTGAATTTGAATGTTGGCCTGTCTTGCTAGGCTGGAGAAGTTCTCCTGGATGATATCCTGAAATATATTTTCCAGCTTGGTTCAATTCACGCCATCTCTTTCAGGTACCCCAATCAGTTGTAGGTTTGCTCTCTTTATATAATTCCATATTTCTCAGATTTTATTCATTCCATTTTATTCCTTATTCTCTATTCTTGTCTGTCTTATTTCAGAAAGATAGTCTTCAAGCTCTGAGATTCCTTCCTCTGCTTTATTTATTCTGCTATTGATACTTGTGATTGCATAGTAAAGTTGTCATATTGTGTTTTCTAGCTCCGTCATGTCGGTTATATTCCTCCCTAAAGTGGCTATTCTGGCTATCAGCTCCTGTATTGTTTTATCATGATTCTTAGCCTCTTTGCATTGGGTTACAACATGCTCCTTTAGCTCAGTGAAGTTTGTTATTACCCACCTTCTGAAGCCTACTTCTGTCAATTCAGGCATCTTAACCTCAGCCCAGTTCTGTGCCCTTGCTCTAGAGGTGTTGCATTCATTTGAAGGAATAGAGACACTCTGGCGTTTTGTTTTCAGCCTTTTTGTGTTGATTATTTCTCATATTTGTGGGCTTATCTATCTTCAATGTTTGAGGTTGCTGACCTTTGAATAAGTTTTTTGTGGGGTCTTTTCTGTTGATGTTGTTGTTTTCTGTTTGTTTTTCTTTTAACAGTCAGGTCACTCTCCTATAGGGCTGCTGTGGTTTGCTGCAGGTCTACTCCAGACCCTACTTGCCTCATTTTTTTTTTCATACCTGGATGTATCACCAGTGAAGGCTGTGAAACAACAAAGATGGCAGCCTTCTCTTTCCTCTGGAACCTCCATCCCAGGGGGGTAATGACCTGTTTCTGGCCCAAATGCACCTATAGGAGGTATCTCGAGACCCCTGTTGGGAAGTTTCACCCAGTCAGGAGGAGTGGAAACAGGGACCCACTTAAAGAAGCAGTCTGGCTGCTTTTTGGTAGAGCAGGTTTGCTCTACTGGAGGGAACCCATCCTTGTCCAGAAAATTTGGACTCTGCAAAGCCAGCAGACTGGAATGGCTGAATCAACTGCACCACAGAGATAACAGCCACCCCTCCCCCTGGAAGCTCCATCCCAGGGAAAGTTCAGAGCTCTGTCCCTATAAGCCTAGGTGGAGTGGCTGAAGACCCCACAGGGAGGTCCTGCCCAGTGAGGAGAAATGGGTTGGGGTCCCACTTAAAGAAGCAGTCTGGCCAGTCGTGGTGGCTCACGCCTGTAATCCCATCACTTCAGGAGGCCAAGGCAGGCAGATCACCTGAGGTCGGGAGTTCAAGACCAGCCTGACCAACATGGAGAAACCCCATCTCTACTAAAAATACAAAATTAGCCAGGTATCGTGGCCCATGCCTGTAATCCCAGCTATTTGGGAGGCTGAGGCAGGAAAATCGCTTGAACCTGGGAGGCAGAGGTTGCAGTGAACTGAGATTGTGCCATTGCACTCCAGCCTGGGCAATAAGAGTGAAACTCCATCTCAAAAAAACAAACAAACAAAAAAGCAGCAGTCTGGCCATGATCTGCCAAAGCAGCTGTCCTTCATTGTGTTGTATATATTTAGCGTAAATAGATAAGTCCAAAATTTTCCAAACTGACCCTTCCTCATCGGGACAATTTTCACTCTCTAAAACTGGAGGCTGAAATGGCTGAGTTCGCTGAACTGCAGATATGGTGGCTGCCCCATCCCCCAGGAGCTCTGTCCCAGGGAGAAATCAGAGCTCTCTCTGTATTACCCTGGCTGGAGTGGCTGAAGTCCCCACAGACAGGCTCCACCCAGTGAGGAGGAATGGATTGGGGTCCTGCTTATAGAAGCAGCCTGGCCACAACCTGGCAAAGTAGGTACGCTTCACTGTTGGGGGGTCCTTCCTCCTCTGGGCCATTTGCACTCTCCAAAGCTGGCAGGCTGGAATG
The DNA here is from genome assembly GCF_000001405.40 of Homo sapiens. Classification (NCBI taxonomy): domain Eukaryota; kingdom Metazoa; phylum Chordata; class Mammalia; order Primates; family Hominidae; genus Homo; species Homo sapiens. The sequence continues at coordinate 75,459,460 of NC_000023.11, read as the reverse complement.
GCTGAGCTGACTGAATCACAGAGAAGGCAGCCACCCCTCCCCACAGGAACTTTATCTCATCTCAGGCAGACTTCAGCCTGTTGCAGTTGGCTGGCTAGAATTACAAGCCAGTGGGTCTTAGCTTGTACAGTGCTATGGAAGTGGAGCCTGCAGAATGACACTGCTTGACTCCCTAGATTTAGCCCTCTTCTTAGGTGTATGTACAAATGGATCTCCCACCTTGCTGGGGCTACTGGGGCTGGAGTATGTAAAACTCCTGGGTCTCTGTGTGTGGCTGAGCAGCTGCTCTGCCATGACTCCACACAGCTTTGTGTATCGGACCCAAGGCCCTGGTGGCATGGGATCACCAGAGGATCTCCTTATCGGTGGGTTGCAGTGATCTGTGGGAGAAGAGTGATTTCCTGAGCAGGGTGGCACAATCATTCACCAATTCCCTTGGCTGGGGGTTGTTTTTTTTTTTTTTTTTTTTGTCTCTGTGCCACTCCTGGGAGGGCTATTTCCCCACCCTGCTTTTCTTCATTCTCTATGGGTCTAGTTGTTTGCCTAGTCAGTCCGAATGCGAGAACCTGTATATTTTAGTTGAAGGTGCTGAACTCACTCACTACTTTCATTCCTCTCCATGAGTGCCACGGACTGCTGCTTCTAATCAGCCATCTAGGCCCCTCCCATACCACCTATTGACCTTTGGTTGGGAAAAACAGTATGAATTTGTTCAGTTCATTGGAGAATCTTTAGCACCCTAGGCTAAGGATTAATTGCCTATGGTACACCACATTCATTGTAATAGCCAAAAATGCCCCTACATAGTTCCACATACCCCAAGCAGGGTACTTAATTCTCACTCTACCTGAGAATGACAGTACCATAAAAACGCACCACTAGGTGTGGTTCTTAAAACACAGTGTTTGATTTTATATGTTTTCAATTTTTTAAGTTAGATATATTTAAATTATCTCAAATATTTTATTATTTGTTCTGCTAATTTTATTGAAGTATAACATACAGACTCTACTCCCAGAATTAAGTTTTAAAGAGAATAATTTGATGAATGTTTCCCCATATATTATACCTAAGTAATCAGTATCCAGGTTAAAATTTTAAACATTCTAGTATCTCATAAATCTTCATGCCTCTTTTCAATCAACCTCCTCTTAGAGGTAACTACTACGCTAACTTCTATCACCATAGATTGGTTTTGCCTGTTTTTGAAGTCCATAAAAAAGGAATCCTAGTTGGTACTATTCTATGTGTACCTTTCACTCAACACAGTGTTTTTCAAATTTATCCATGTTGATGCATTTTTCAGTAGTTAATTTCCTTTGATTGCTGTTAGTTATTCCCTTTTATCACACTTGGTTTAACCATTCAGCCATTGAAGTATACTTGTTTCCATTGTTTTGTGTGTTATGAATAAAGCTCCAATGAACATTCTTGTACATGTCTTTTGGCATATAAATATAGTTGTTCCTCAGTACCCACAGGGGATTGATTTCAGGACCTCCCATAGATACCAAAATCACAGATGCTCAGGTTCCTTACATGAAATGGCATGGTATTTGCATATAACCCATTCACACCCTCCTACATATTTTAAATCATCTCTAGATTATTTACAATACTAATACACTATAAATGCTATGTAAATAGTTTTTGTATTGTTTGTTATTTGTATTATTTTTCTTGTATTGTTAATTTTAAAAATATTTTTTAATCCAGTTGGTTGAATGCATGAATGTGGAACCATACATAGGGAAGGCTGACTCTGTGTATCAGAGACTCTGTGTGTGTGTGTGTGTGTGTGTGTGTGTGTGTGTGAGTGTAAATAAAACTTTAATACATGCTCACACATATACACCCAGATACTCATTTTTCTTGTGTATATAAGTAGGAATAAAATTGCTGGGGTCATAAGACAGGCATATATTTAGCATAAATAGATAATGACAAAATTTTCCAAACTGATTATATAAATCTGCACTCCCACCATGATCTTCTGTACATCAAAATCCACCATAAAGGAAGTAAAAGGGAAAGCCACAGACTGGTAGAAAATATTCAACCAAAGACTAGTATCCAAAATATATAAAGAATTTCTACAAATTAATACCAAAGAAAGACAAACAACCCAATTCTTTTTTTAATGGACCAAAGACTTGAAAAGCTATTTCACAAGAGGATATCCAAATGGCCAATAAACTCATGAAAAGGTGCTCAATATCATTAGTAATGAAAGGAGTACAAAATAAAATCACAATAAGATGCCACTACAAATGATATGGTTTGCAAGAATAGACTAATGCAACACACCAACTAGAAGAGTTAAAATTAAAAACATTGGCAATATCAAATATTTTTTAGATTTTTTCTAAATATCAGTTTTTTAATGTTATACATGTTTATTATTTTAGCTAACATTTGTTGAGTACTTACACTGTGCCAAACACCACAGCTAAATGCTTTACATTTAACAGTAATTATGGGGATGATATTATTATCTCTATTTCTTGGATGAGGAAATTAAAGCTTGGAGAAATTAAGCAAGAAGCTCCAAGTCACAGAATTTAAATGGCACTTAAGTGGTTGGGACTTGAACCTGGATCTGTCTAAATTTACAGTATGTGGCCTTGACAGGGGAGACACCCGTTGCTGTTATGTTTGGTAAGTGCTGGACCCAACTGCTCTCAGAGAGGAAACGTTGTCATAGAGCAGCGTTGCTCAGAGGATTCTGCCAGTAGTTGTCTCTAAAAACAGTCTCTTTATACCCAGTAACGGGATTGCTGGGTCAAATGATATTTCTGATTCTAGATCCTTGAGGAATCCCCGCACTGTCTTCCACAGTGGTTGGACTAATTTACACTCCCACCAACAGTATAAAAACATTCCTCTTTCTCCACATCCTTGACAGCATCTGTTGTTTCCAGACTTTTTAATTATTGCCATTCTTTTTTGTTTTTGATTATTATACTTTAAGTTCTAGGGTACATTTTCACAACGTGCAGGTTTGTTACATATGTATATATGTGCCATGTTGGTGTGCTGTGCCCATCAACTTGACACTTACATTAGGTATTTCTCCTAATGCTATCCCTCCCCCAGCCCCCCACCCCATGACAGGCCCTGGTATATGATGTACCCCGCCCTGTGTCCAAGTGTTCTCATTGTTCAATTCTCACCTGTGAGTGAGAACATGTGGTGTTTGGTTTGCTGTCCTTGTGATAGTTTGCTCAGAATGATGGTTTCCAGCTTCATCGATGTTGCTACAAAGGACATGAACTCATCCTTTTTTATGGCTGCATAGTATTCCATGGTGTATATGTGCCACATTTTCTTAATCCAGTCTATCATTGATGGACATTTGGGTTGGTTCCAAGTCTTTGCTATTGTGAATAGTGCCACAATAAACATACATGTGTGTGTGTCTTTCTAGTAGCATGATTTATAAACCTTTGGGTATATACCCAGTAATGGGATGGCTGGGTCAAATGCTATTTCTAATTCTAGATCCTTGAGGAATCGCTACACTGTCTTCCAAAATGGTTGAACTAGTTTACACTCCCACCAATGGTGTAAAAGCATTCATATTTCTCCACATCCTCTCCAGCAACTGTTGTTTCTATGATCGCCATTCTAACTGGCATGAGATGGTATCTCATTGTGGTTTTGATTTCCATTTCTCTGATGACCAGTGATGATGAGCATTTTTTCATGTGTCTTTGGCTGCATAAATGTCTTCTTTTGAAAAGTGTCTGTTCATATCCTTTGCCCACTTTTTTATGAAATTGTTTGATTTTTTCTTGTAAATTTGAGTTCTTTGTAGATTCTGGATATTAGCCCATTGTCAGATAAGTAGATTGCAAAAATTTTCTCCCATTCTGTAGGTTGCCTGTTCACTCTGATGGTAGTTTCTTTTGTCTGCAGAAGCTCTTTAGTTTAATTACATCCCATTTGTCTATTTTGGCTTTTGTTTCCATTGCTTTTGGTGTTTTAGTCACGAAGTCCTTGCCCATGCCTACGTCCTGGATGGTATTGCCTAGGTTTTCTTCTAGGGTTTTTATGGTTTTAGGTCTAACATTTAAGTCTTTAATCCATCTTGAATTAATTTTTGTACAAGGTGTAAGGAAGGGATCCAGTTTCAGCTTTCTACATATGGCTAGCTAGTTTTCCCAGCACCATTTATTAAATAGGGAATCCTTTCCCCATTTCTTGTTTTTGTCAGGTTTGTCAAAGATCAGATGGTTATACATGTGTGGTGTTATTTCTGAGGCCTCTGTTCTGTTCCATTGGGCTATATCTCTGTTTTGGTACCAGTACCATGCAGTTTTGGTTGCTGTAGCCTTGTAGTATAGTTTGAAGTCAGGTAGCATGATGCCTCCAGCTTTGTTCTTTTGGCTTAGGATTGTCTTGGCAATTCGGGCTCTTTTTTGATTCCATATGAACTTTAAAGTAGTTTTTTCCAATTTTGTGAAGAAAGTCATTGGTAGCTTGATGGGGATGACATTGAATCTATAAATTACCTTGGGCAGTATGGCCATTTTCAGGATATTGATTCTTCCTATCCATGAGCATGGAATGTTCTTCCATTTGTTTGTGTCCTCTTTTATTTAATTGAGCAGTGGTTTGTAGTTCTCCTTAAAGAGGTCCTTCACATCCCTTGTAAGTTGGATTCCTAGGTATTTTTTCATTTTTATTTTTTATTATTATACTTTAAGTTCTAGGGTACATGTGCACAATGTGCAGGTTTGTTACATATGTAAACATGTGCCATGTTGGTGTGCTCCACCCGTTAACTTGTCCCAAATCAAAACCACAATGAGATACCATCTCACACCAGTTAGAATGGCAATCATTAAAAAGTCAGGAAACAACAGGTGCTGGAGAGGATGTGGAGAAATAGGAATGCTTTTACACTGTTGGTGGGACTGTAAACTAGTTCAACCATTGTGGAAGACAGTGTGGCAATTCCTCAAGGATCTAGAAATAGAAATACCATTTGACCTAGCCATCCCATTACTTGGCATATACCCAAAGGATTATAAATCATGCTGCTATAAAGACACATGCAAATGTATGTTTATTGCAGCACCATTCACAATAGCAAAGACTTGGAACCAACCCTAATGTCCATCATTGATAGACTGGATTAAGATTCCTAGGTATTTTATTCTCTTTGTAGCAATTGTGAATGGGAGTTCACTCATGATTTGGCTGTTTGTCTGTTATTGGTGTATAAGAATGCTTGTGATTTTGCACATTGATTTTGTATCCTGAGACTTTGCTGAAGTTGCTTATCAGCTTAAGGAGATTTTGGGCTGAGACGATGGGGTTTTCTAAATATACAATCATGTCATCTGCAAACAGGGACAATTTGACTTCCTCTTTTCCTATTTGAATACTCTTTATTTCGTTCTCTTGCCTGATTTCCCTGGCCAGAACTTCCAATATGATGTTGAATAGGAGTGGTGAGAGAGGGCATCCCTGTCTTGTGCCAGTTTTCAAAGGGAGTGCTTCCAGTTTTTGCCCATTCAGTATGATACTGGCTGTGGGTTTGTCATAAATAGCTCTTATTATTTTGAGACACGTTCCATCAATACCTAATTTATTGAGAGTTTTTAGCATGAATGGCTGTGGAATTTTGTCAAAGGCCTTTGCTGCATCTATTGAGATAATCATGTGGTTTTTGTCTTTGGTTCTGTTTATTTGATGGATTACGTTTATTGATTTTCATATGTTGAACTAGGCCTTGCATCCCAGGAATGAAGCCAATTTGATCTTGGTGGATAGCTTTTTGATGTGCTGCTGGATTCGGTTTGTCAGTATTTTATTGAGGATTTTCACATCGATATTCATCTGGGATATTGGTCTAAAAGTCTCTTTTTTTTGTTGTGTCACTGCCAGCCTTTGGTGTTAGGATGATGCTGGCCTCATAAAATGAGTTAGGGAGGATTCCCTCTTTTTCTATCAATTGAAATAGTTTCAGGATTGGTACCAGCTCCTCTTTGTACCTCTGGTAGAACTTGGCTGTGAATCCATCTGGTCCTGGACTTTTTTTGTTTGGTAGGCTATTAATTATTGTCTCAATTTCAGCTCCTGTTATTGGTCTATTCAGAGATTCAGCTTCTTCCTGGTTTAGTCTTGGGAGGGTATATGTGTCCAGGAATTTATTCATTTCTTCTAGATTTTCTAGTTTATTTGTGTAGAGGTGTTTATAGTATTCTCTGATGGTAGTTTGTATTTCTGTGGGATCGGTGGTGATATCCCCTTTATCATTTTTTATTGTGTCTATTTGATTCTTGTCTCTTTTCTTTATTAGTCTTGCTAGCAGTCTAGCAGTCTATCACTTTTGTTGATCTTTTCAAAAAAACCAGCTCCTGGATTCATTGATTTTTTGAAGGGTTTTTTGTGTCTCTATCTCCTTCAGTTCTGCTCTGATCTTAGTTATTTCTTGACTTCCGCTAGCTTTTGAATTTGTTTGCTCTTGTTTCTCTAGTTCTTTTAATTGCAATATGAGGGTGTTGATTTTAGATCTTTCCTGCTTTCTCTTGTGGGCATTTAAGTGCTATAAATTTCCATCTACACACTGCTTTAAATGTGTCCCAGAGATTCTAGTATGTTGTGTCTTTGTTCTCATTGGTTTCAAAGAACATCTTTATTTCTGCCTCCATTTCATTATCCAGTAGTCATTCAGGAGCAGGTTGTTCAGTTTCCATGTAGTTGTGCGGTTTTGACTGAGTTTCTTAATCCTGAGTTCTAATTTGATTGAACTGTGGTCAGAGAGACAGTTTGTTATGATTTCTGTTCTTTTACATTTGAGGAGTGCTTTACTTCCAACTATGTGGTCAATTTTGGAATAAGTGCGATGTGGTGCTGAGAAGAATGTATATTCTGTGGATTTGGGGTGGAGAGTTCTGTGGATGTCTATTAGGTCTGCTTGGTGCAGAGCTGAGTTCAAGTCCTGTATATCCTTGTTAACCTTCTGTCTCATTGATCTGTCTAATATTGACAGTGGGGTGTTAAAATCTCCCATTATTATTGTGTGGAGTCTAAGTCTCTTTTTAGGTCTGTTAGGACTTGTTTTATGAATCTGGGTGCTCCTGTATTGGTTGCATATATATTTAGATTAGTTAGCTCTTCTTGTTGAATTGATCCCTTTACCATTATGTAATGGCCTTCTTTGTCTCTTTTGATCTTTGTTGGTTTAAAGTCTATTTTTTCAGAGACTAGGATTGCAACCCCTGCTTTTTTTTTTTTTTTTCGCTTTCTATTTGCTTGGTAGATCTTCCTCCATCCCTTTATTTTGAGCCTATGTGTGTCTCTGCACGTGAGATGGGTCTCCTGAATACAGCACTCTGATGGGTCTTGACTCTTCATCCAATTTGCCAGTCTGTGTTTTTAATTAGGGCATTTAGCCCGTTAACTTTCAAGGTTAATATTGTTATGTGTGAATTTGATCCTGTCATTATGATGTTAGCTGGTTATTTTGCCCATTAATTGATGCAGTTTCTTCCTAGCATCGATGGTCTTTACAATTTGGCATGTTTTTGCAGTGGCTGGTACCAGTTGTTTCTTTCCATGTTTAGTGGTTCCTTCAGGAGCTCTTTTAGGGCAGGCCTGGTGGTGACAAAATCTCTTAGCAGCAACATCAAATATTTTTAAACAATTCAAAAATTAGACTTCTAAAGGAGATTTTTATTTACCTGTTATTATCTGGCACTTCTGCACCAATATTATGAAGTAGGTATTATTTCTTCTATTTTACATGTGAAGAAACAGGTTGAGAATGTCTGATTTTGCAAAGTGATTTTCTATTAAGTAATAGAGATGAGACTTAAACCTAGAAATTCTGACCACAGATCCTTTTTTTCAACTCAGTCTACCCTTCGGCACAGATAGAATAAATGCTTTCAGGTTCATATTACTTTTGAAGATCAATGGCATATCTTTTGCAAGATTAGCAAAATGTGGCACTATTGTGGCAACAAGCTCCATACGAGACTAAAAAAGTATTCAATAGTGAGAATATCTAAATTTCCCCTTATTTACAAGATTAGAATATGCAGACAATGTTACAAGCAGTCTCATCCAGCTTCTCCAAGGGTGTTATCAGTGTTACCTGTGAAAACTCTTGCAACTTGGTAAGCATGGTTAATTATCAACAGGGCCCTGGCAAAAATGTGTTACACATCTGTATGCAACATCATATTATGAATCAATGGAAAGGGACAAGTCTTGAAATCAGATGAATTGAGTTTGAGGTCCAGCATTGCCACTTGTTAGTTGATTGAGTCCAACTTTAGGCAAGTTACTGAATCTCTCTGTTTTATTTTCTTTATTAAAAAATACACATATCTCATGCTTTTGATAATTGAGATAAAAGCCAGATTATTGAAGTAATTATCCAGAGAACATTATAAGACTAAGTGGTACCTGAGCTTCAAGGGTAGGTAACAAATAATTTCATTAAAGTAGTTATTGTTGTTGGTTTTAATCTTTTCTATTAACTTTAGATAATAAAGTCTTACCTTTCACTCCTGCTTCCAGTTCCACTTGTCCTACACAGACAAGGAGCGCTATGAAAATGAAGAAAGACCTGAGGTCCAGAAGCAGATGCTTGTTGATATGGCCAAAAAGCTACCGGTTTACACAAGAACTGGAAGTGGAGGTCAGTTCATCCAAAGGCAGCTAGAGAGGCAGCTCAGCAAGTATCTCAGAAAGGCTAAGTCATATATGTTCTCAAACTAGCCCTTTTTTTTCCTCCCATCTTCTGAAAACCACTATGGAGATTTTTCTCCACATTTTATTTCTAAAAAATTTTAAACACATATCAAAGCTGGAAGAATTGTATAGTAAACAAACTGTATACCCCAAACTGGATTCTTCTGCTAACATTTTTCTGTGTTGCTATATCACATATCTATCCACATATGCATACCTCTATTTATCTTTCGTCAAGCCATCTTATGTTTCTGATGCATTTCAAAGTAAATAGCTGACATCAGTAAGACATCTACCTAAATATTTTATTCTGTTTTGTTAAAATTTACATACAAAAACATGCATAATCTTAAGGGTACCATTCCATGTATTTTGAAAAGTGTACACATCTGTGTAACTAAACCCCCAATAAAATTGCCATCACCTCAGAAAGTTCTGTCATGCCTCATTTCCAGTCAATCCGACCCCACCCCACTTCCCACAGAAACCGCTATTCTGATAGCTTTTCACTATAAATTAGTTTTGTCTGCTCTCAAATTTTATATAATTGGAATCACAGAGTACATACTCTTGCGTCTGGCTTCTTTTATTCAACATAATGTTTGTAAGATTCATCCATCTTTTTTGTGTATTTTTTTATTGCTGTGTAGCATTATATTGTATGAATATATCAAAGTTTATCCATTCACTAGTTGATACATACTTGGGTTGTTTCTAGTGTTTAGTTATTATGAGTCAATTTGCTATGAATATTACTGTATAAGTATCTGTGCAAAGACATATCTTCTTTTTCCTTGAGTAAATATCCAATACAGAATTTTACTCTTAGGTTTCATCTGCATGACTAAAACAGTACTTGCTGAACTAATTCTCCACCTTTTAAATTTTGAAAACATACAGAGGTATGGGGAATATGTTAAAAAGTTTGAAAACCATGGTTCTTCTGATATGTCATCCTAATGTTTCTAATAAGGATGATTATGTTTCGTATTTCAAGGCTTTAGAAAGTTTACTGTCAGACACATATTCATTTGTTCATCATTTATTCAGCAAATATTTTTTAAGATATATGGCAATGGGGGAAATTTTACTATGTTCTTGGTATTATATGATATTAAGGACTTGCTGTTAATTTTGTTAGAGCAATAATATAGTGGTTATGATTTTTAAAAGTCTTCATGCATATGGAAATATTTATGGTTTGAAGTGACACAGTGTTTGGGATTTGTTTAAAATGATCAAGTAAAAAGCCAGTGGAAGAGATAGGTGAAACAAAAATGACACAATGTTGATAATTGTTGAATCTGGGTAATGGTACTTACCACGGTACCTTTGCTACTGACTATTCTCTGGGACCTTGAGGTATTTGCAATTCCCAGGATAGGCAGTAATAGGAAAGGCTTCTCTGAGGAAATACTATTTGAAGACTTAAATGATAAGGATTTAGCCATGTGTGTTAGTCAGCGTTCTCCAGATAAATAGAGCCAATAGAATTGTGTGTGTGTGTGTGTGTGTGTGTGTGTGTGTGTGTGTGTGTGTGTGTGTGTATAGAGAGAGAGAGAGATTATGAGGAATCAGCAAATGATTATGGAACCTGAGAAGTCCCACGGTCTGCCATCTGCAAGCTGGAGAATCAGGAAAGCTGGTAATGTAATTATAGTCTGAGTTAAACGGTTTGAGAACCAGTAGTGCTGATGGTGTAAGCCCCAGTCTAATGGCAGAAAACTGATGTCTCAGCTCATGCAGTCAGGCAACAACAGCAAATTTTCTCATCCTCCACATTTTTGTTCTGTTCAGGTCCTCAAAGGATTGGATGAGGCCCACCTGCATTGGGGAGGACAGTCTGCTTTACACAGTCTAGATTCGAATGCTAATCTCACCCAGAAGCACCTTCACAGAGACACCTAGAAATAATACTTAACCAAATATCTAGGTACCCTATGACCCAGTAAAGTTGACACACAAAATTAACTATCACAAGTCCAGCCCTTGTCAACTTGGCACCCATACACATCTCCTTAAGCCATACTCTCCACTTAAAGACAATAACAAGGTTACAATTTTACCTAACATGATACAAATATCATGCATTCAACTGAAAACGCACTAACCCCTTCCACAGAAGAATAGGTATTCTTGAGTGAGTTTACTTTTCTCCTTGCTATTTTGTTAATTAAAAACTAAATACTATGATATAAAATAACAACACTTAAATGTTACGATGTAAAGTCAATGCACCTTATGTTACATGATAAGGGGATAAGAGAAGGAAGAAGACAAAGATATTTGAAATACACACACACAACTGTATTCATAACAACATAAGAAGGAAACACCCATAACAATAACAGATCTTGTTTCTGTAACTGGTCACATGGTCATAGCTGGTATTTATAGCTACTTTCTCCCACCATCCATTCTGTACTCCCTTTGCCTTTAGCAAGCACCTCAGCTGGTACTGGTTTTTTACCTGACGTGGTGACCCAAATCTCCAGTTCTGAAGAGTCTGGGTCATTAGTAGTCCTGCCTGAATTGGATTGTTGTGGTTTTCCATTGACCTAATCACGGGGCATGGTAATACTAAGAGATGCCCTAAGGCACCTCCTGTATTCTTGACATAGTCTTTCTTTCCTCCATTGCAGAGTAGTAATAGTCCAATTTACACTTAATAGTCTAAAAGTCTATTATACCAGTTTACACTACCATTTCCACCCCTTGATTTCCACCCAGGACTCAAGGAGTAGAAATGGAAGTGGCACCACTCACCATTACCTTTAGTTACCCACTAACAAAATTGGACTATTAAGTCTAATTTACACTTCATAATCTGGATCAGTTATCCCAGCCAACATTGCACCTGCCTCTTGTCCTGTTGATTCAGAGATACGAGGATTCCAAAGTGGCTGGGTGGCAGTCTTAACTTCCAGTTCAATGGAATCATTGTTGTGTCCCCTGGTGGAAGTCCTCCCTCTGGGACTAACACCTCTAGACTAGCAAAGCACAAGATTGCAGGAACAGGAAGAAAACATTTTGTTAGTGGGTCACTTAGGGTAATGGTGAGTGGTACCACTCCCATTTCCACCCCTTGATTTCTGGACCTGTGAATCCTAACTATCAGAGAATCAGCATCATCTATTGGACACTGATTCAGAGCATATACAGCTTTTGGGAAAATCTTGCCCCAGCCCTGCAAGGTATTGGCACTGTAACTGACACTTCAAAAGACCATGTCATCACTCTGTCAAGCTAGCTGCTTCAGGATGATGGGGAACGTGATAACACCAGTAAATTCCACAAGCATGGGCCTACTGCAGCACTTCTCTTGCTGTGAAGGAAGTTCCTTGATCAGATGTAATGCTGTGTGGAATATCATGATGGTGGATAAGGCATTTTGTAAGTCCATCGATGGCACTTTTGGCAGAAGTGCAGCATGCAGGGAAGACAAATCTGTATCCAAAGTGTCTATTCCAGTAAGGACAAAACGCTGCCGCTGCTATGATAGAAGCACTCCAATGTAATCAACCTGATACCAGGTTGATGGCTCATCACCCCAGAGAATGGTGCTATATCAGGTGCTCAGTGTTGGTCTCTGCTGCTGGCAGATTGGGTAGTCAGCAGTGGCAGTAGCCAGGTCAGCCTTGGTGAGTGAAAGTCAATATTGCTGAGCCATGTAACCTCCATCCCTGCCACCATGGCCACTTTGTTCATGAGCCCATTGGGCAGTAACTGGGGTGGGTAGGGAAAGAGGCTGACTGGTAATCATTGAACAGGTCATTCTGTCTGTTTGATTATTAAAATCCTTCTCTGCTGTAGTGCTATTTTTCAAATGTTTGTGTGCCCCTAAAATTTATATATTGAAATCCTGTCCCCAAGGGGATATTAGGACGTGAGGTCTTTGGGGACATGGTTAAGTCATAAGTGTAGAACCCTCATGAATGTGATTAGTGCCCTTATAATAAGGCTCCAGAGAGCTGCTTTGCCCCTTTCACCATGAGAGGGCACAGCAAGAAAGCACTATCTATAAAAGAGGCCCTCACCAGCACTAAAGCTGTTGGTACCTTGATCTTGGAACTCCAAGCCTCGAGAACCATGCGAATAAATTTGTTGTTTAGAAGCTACCCAGTCTATGGTACTTTGTTAGAGCAGCCCCAAATGGAGTAAAACATGTGATCAACCATGAGTGAGTGTTCACACAAGATACAAATATCTTCACACTTTTTTTCCATTCAGAGAAGTCTTTCCACACACTTCTTTTCCAAATTTCCTTGTACCAGGGCTCTCTTTACAAATGTATTTCTCACAGTGTTAGTGAAAGGTACATTTTCTATACCTTCCCAGTGTGAGTGAGAAGAACTATTCTAAGTTCTACCTTCCATTCTCCTTAAGCCTTTGAATCCTCCCCTCAACATTAAACCAAGGCAGGTCCAGCATTTCCATCTCACTCACTGTGAGCCACCTTTTCATCGTGTTTTAGCAAACCAACCAACCAAATTGTTAGAATGCTTTCTAACTCCCTGAGCTGCAACATTAAAATCAGAATCTCTGCATAGTAGGCCCCTATCAATAAATTTGGCCAGATTCAACTTTATGTTTTTTCCAACATTAGTATTTGTTTCCACCTATGTTCCCTAGATTTCTATCTGTATAAATTAGAAAATTTGAGTAGTTCTTTTGGAGTGTAGTACGTGTCTTCATTGGTCACACTTTGTACCTTACCTTTAGGGATCTGTTAGGACTTGATTCTTATTATAGGCCTTAGAAGCAAAGAGGGATGGGTCCAGAGGAGAATCAACATTGTCTTGTATAGTGGCCTGAGTTTCCTCAAGCAACGCAGCGTTGATCCCTTCAGACAGGATTGGAGAGGCCAATACCATGGGCAGTTGGAAGCTGCTTCTACTGGTTGCAGGGAGGCCTCGTCTCCTGGCAAATAAGATGCATTGGAATTTAGGCACTCAGTATCCCTGGCTTCATAAGGGTCTTCCCACACATCCCCATCCTAACTTACAGGATCCAATTCTTTACAAATCAGTGCCCTCATTTTAACAGTAGATACCCTACAAGACTGGGAGTTCAACTATCATTGTAATTCGGCTATTTACAGATGGAATTCTGTGGTTTTCAGAAATCTCAGTCCTGTGGCTACATGCAATAAGCATCTCCTTTAGGAGATACATAGAAGCTTTCAGGTCATTTATCTACCACTTTGGCTGGGAATTCCTGAACTCATCTGTTTCTTTTAGCACTTTGTTCAGTCATGTTAGAAGCTACAAGCCAACCTCATTTTATTCATTGTTTTTCAAAAATGTTAAATATTATCATATATAGTCACCCAGCTACTTGCTTCTCATAAATGGTTGACTAAGAGCATCTATTGAAGATACTTTGCATATTTCCATTGTCAGATCATGCCACAGATTACCAGTGCTCTTTTTATTACTTGATACAGTGTCATTAGCATCATCAAAACTACTAAGATTGAAGAGCCAATTCCAGAAACTTCAGAACCAATTCAGAAAAACTCATTCCTAAAATTCTGTTTCTTTGGAATAACTATCAGTAGGGTTCTCTATAGAGAAAGAACAATGAGGTATATGTATATAAATTATTATTTACATTATTTACATTGAGGAATTAGCTCACATAATTATGGAGGCTGAGAAGTCCCACTGTCTGCCATCAGTGAGATGGAGACCCAGGAAAGGTGATGGTGTAGTCCTACTTTGAGCCCAAAGTATAAGCACTAGGAGAAACAATGGTATAATTTCTACTCCAAGTCCAAAGGCCTCCTGAGAACCTGAGAGCCAATAGTGTAAGTTCCAGTTTGAGTCTAAAGTTCTGAGAACCAGGAACCCTGATCACGTAAGTCCCAGTCTGACAGACTGATGTTTTATCTCATGCAGTCAGGCAGAGAGAACAAATTCTCCCTTCCTCTGAATTTTTTTTTATAACGGATATACAGTAATTTATTTAAACATTACCATTTCCAGTCTGCAGTAGTACACATGGTATTTTAATAAATACCATTCTACATAAATTTGTGTGTGTGTGTGTGTGTGTGTGTATATATATATATATATATATATATATATATATATATATATATATATACAGTGTTGCTTTTTTCTTTTTTTATTATACTTTAAGTTGTACGGTACATGTGCATAACGTGCAGGTTTGCTACATATGTATACATGTGCCATGTTGGTGTGCTGCACCCATTAACTCGCCATTTACATTAGGTATATCTCCTAATGCTATCCCTCCCCCCTCCCCCCACCCCACGACAGGCCCTGGTGTGTGATGTTCCCCTTCCTGTGTCCAAGTGTTCTCACTATTCAATTCCCACCTATGAGTGAGAACATGCGGTGTTTGGTTTCTTGTCCTTGTGATAGTTTGCTGAGAATGATGGCTTCAAGCTTCATCCATGTCCCTACAAAGGACATGAACTCATCCTTTTTTATGGCTGCATAGTATTCCATGGTGTATATGTGCCACATTTTCTTAATCCAGTCTATCATTGTTGGACATTTGGGTTAGTTCCAAGTCTTTGCTATTGTGAATAGTGCCGCAATAAACATACGTGTGCATGTGTCTTTATAGCAACATGTTTTATAATCCCTTGGGTATATACCCAGTAATGGGATGGCTGGGTCAAATGGCATTTCTAGTTCTAGATCCCTGAGGAATTGCCACACTGACTTTCACAATGGTTGAACTAGTTTACAGTCCCACCAACAGTGTAAAAGTGTTCCTATTTCTCCACATCCTCTCCAGCACCTGTTGTTTCCTGACTTTTTAATGATTGCCATTCTAACTGGTGTGAGATGGTATCTCATTGTGGTTTTGATTTGCATTTCTCTGATGGCCAGTGATGATGAGCATTTTTTCATGTGTGTCTTGGCTGCATAAATGTCTTCTTTTGAGAAGTGTCTATTCATATCCTTCGCCCACTTTTTGATGGGGTTGTTTGTTTTTTCCTTGTAAATTGGTTTGAGTTCTTTGTAGATTCTGGATATTAGCCCTTTGTCAGATGGGTAGATTGCAAAGATTTTCTCCCATTCTGTAAGTTGCCTGTTCACTCTGACGATAGTTTCTTTTGCTGTGCAGAAGCTCTTTAGTTTAATTAGATCCCATTTGTCAATTTTGGCTTTTGTGCCATTGCTTTTGGTGTTTTAGACATGAGGTCTTTGACCATGCCTATGTCCTGAATGTTATTGCCTAGGTTTTCTTGTAGGGTTTTTATGGTTTTAGGTCTAACCTTTAAGTCTTTAATCCATCTTGAATTAATTTTTGTATAAGTTGTAAGGAAGGGATCCAGTTTCAGCTTTCTACATATGGCTAGCCAGTTTTCCCAACACCGTTTGTTAAATAGGGAATGCTTTCCCCATTTCTTCTTTTTTTCAGGTTTGTCAAAGATCAGATAGTTGTAGATGTGTGGCATTATTTCTGAGGGCTCTGTTCTGTTCCATTGGTCTATAACTCTGTTTTGGTACCAAAACAGTAGCATGCTGTTTTGGTTACTGTAGCCTTGTAGTAGAGTTTGAAGTCAGGTAGCATGATGCCTCCAGCTTTGTTCTTTTGGCTTAGGATTGACTTGGCAATGCAGGGTCTTTTTTGGTTCCATATGAACTTTAAAGTATTTTTTCCAATTCTGTGAAGAAAGTCATTGGTAGCTTGATGGGGATGGCATTGAATCTATAAATTACCTTGGGCAGTATGGCCATTTTCTCAATATTGATTTTTTCTTTTTTTTTTTTTTTTTTGAGACGGAGTCTCGCTCTGTCGCCCAGGCTGGAGTGCAGTGGCGGGCTCTCGGCTCACTGCAAGCTCCGCCTCCTGGGTTCACGCCATTCTCCTGCCTCAGCCTCCCGAGTAGCTGGGACTACAGGCGCCCGCCACCGTGCCCGGCTAATTTTTTGTATTTTTAGTAGAGACGGGGTTTCACCTTGTTAGCCAGGATGGTCTCGATCTCCTGACCTCATGATCCACCCGCCTCGGCCTCCCAAAGTGCTGGGATTACAGGCGTGAGCCACCGCGCCCGGCCCAATATTGATTTTTTCTATCCATGAGCATGGAATGTTCTTCATTTGTTTGTATCCTCTTTTATTTCATTGAGCAGTAGTTTGTAGTTCTCCTTGAAAAGGTCCTTCACATCCCTTGTAAGTTGGATTCCTACGTATTTTATTCTCTTTGAAGCAACTGTGAATGGGAGTTCACTCATGATTTGGCTCTCTGTCTGTTATTGGTGTATTAGAATGCTTGTGATTTTTGCACATTGATTTTGTATCCTGAGACTTTGCTGAGGTTGCATATCAGCTTAAGGAGATTTTGGGCTGAAACAATGGGGTTTTCTAGATATACAATCATGTCATCTGCAAACACGGACAATTTGACTTCCTCTTTTCCTAATTGAATACCCTTTATTTCCTTCTCCTGCCTGATTACCCTGGCCAGAACTTCCAACACTATGTTGAATAGGAGTGGTGAGAGAGGGCATCCCTGTCTTGTGCCAGTTTTGGTCCTCAAAGGCTTGGTTGAAGCCCACCCCCACTGGGGAAGACAATCTGCTTTACTCAGTCTACTGATTCAAATGCTAATCTCACCCAGAAAAACTCTCACAAAGACACTTAGAAAGAATGTTTAATCAAATATCTGGGCACCGTATGACTCAGTCAAGTTCACACATAAAATTAACCATCAGAATTAAAACCAGACAAAAATACGGCATATAGGAGGCAGGACTAACTTGCCGCTCCCACTTGGATGGACAAAGCAACATGTGGAGACTCACACCATGAACTTTTGATCTAAGAACTACCACAGGGTGGCCGGGTGTGGTGGCTCATGCCTGTAATTCCAGCACTTTGGGAGGCTGAGGTGGGTGGATCACGAGATCAGGAGATCGAGACCATCCTGGCTAACATGGTGAAACCCCATCTCTACTAAAAATACAAAAAATTAGCCGTGCGCAGTGGCGGGTGCCTGTAATCCCAGCTACTCGGGGGGCTAAGGCAGGAGAATGGCGTGAACCCAGGAGGCGGAGCTTGCAGTGAGAGGAGATCACGCCACTGTACTCCAGCCTGGGCGACAGAGCGAGACTCTGTCTCAGGAAAAAAAAAAAAAAAAAGAACTACCACAGGAACATACCAGGAAAGCGGAAAGAATTCACAGATCCTTTGAAAGAAGCATCTTGCCACTGCAAACTCCATGAGACAGCCAAAAACCTGTGAGTGCCCAAAGTGTTGAGAGGGGGAAAGTCCACTTCTGAACATGCATCCCCACTGGGGAATCTAAAAATTCTGATTGTGGGAAAAGGATTTCACCTTCCTTAGAGCGGAAACAAATTTGGAGAGCCGAGAGAAATATAAAAGTAGAGGAAGCAGTGGGAAGAACCCTGTAGGCACTCACGGTCTTCAGGGAAGCCCAGACTAGCCATTTCCTTTTCACTAGGGCTCTCTATTTCAAGGGTTCCTTGGGGAACAGCCACAGAGAGAAGGAAACTCACAGCTGAGCTTTGTAATAATTTCAACTGAGCATGAATTTTCTTGGGCAGAATCCAGGGAGATGAATGGGAAGTATAGATACGAGCACAGAAGCTGTGGCAGGCAGGGAGGGGCAGGGCCTGAAAGCCCTGCTTGCTTTCTCCATGGGGATGCTTGTAGCAAGGCAAGATGTCAGCCCTGCAAACCGGCTTCCTGGATATAAACTAGGTGCTGTTGGTGGGTACGGGGAGAGTGTGACTGGCCTTGCTGGCTGCATGGGAGTTGGGTGAGGCCTGTCACTGCTGGCTTTTCTCCACTTCCCTGGTGACCTATATGATGTAGCAGAGGCAGCCATAATCCTCCTGGGAACATAACTCCATTAACCTGAGAACAACACCCCTATTTCCCACAGCAACCATAGCAAGCCCCACACAAGGAGAGTCTGAGCTCAGACATGCCTAACCTGCCCTGATGGCCTTTCTCTACATGCCCTGGTAGCTGAAGATGAAATCTCTTGGGAGTTCTATGTCCCTGCCCATTGCCTGAGAAACCAGAATACTTATCCAGGTGACCCTAGGGAAAGATTGAATCCCCGCTATACTACCACAGCTGATGCTCTCTTGAAAGCCCCACCTCCTGGCTGGAGGCCAACCAACTCAAGCCATTACAACAACACATAAAAGAACGTGGTTGGGCACGGTGGCTCACGCCTGTAATCCCAGCACTTCGGGAGGCCGGGGCAGGCAGATCACGAGGTCAGGAGATCGAGACCATCCTGGCTAACACGGTGAAACCCTGTCTCTACTAAAAATACAAAAAATTAGCTGGGCATGGTGGTGGGCGCCTGTAGTCCCAGCTACTCAGGAGGCTAAGGCGAGAGAATGGCATGAACCCGGAAGGCGGAGCTTGCATTGAGCCGAGATCGTGCCACTGCACTCCAGCCTGGGCAACAGAGCAAGACTCCATCTCCATCTCAAAAAAAAAAGGAAAAGAAAAAAGAAAAAAAGAACAACCCTGCTCCAAGAAAGGAGAAAACAACAGCTAATTCCACTGCCTGGGACATCCTGGCTAACCAGAGGTCCTGAGTTTGTCCACGTGATAGCTTCACTGTTAGCACAAACAGCATTTGAGAAAACCAGGGCCATAAAAAAATCTACAGTCAAGGATCCTCACAGAATCCACTTCAACTCCCCTGCTACCTCCACTGGAGCAGGTGCTGGTATCCATGACTGAGAGAACTGAAGATGGATCAAATCACAGGACTCTTTGCAGACACTCCCCAGTACCAGCACAGAGTCCGGTAGCTCTGCTGGGTGGCTAGACCCAGAAGAGTAAATAACAATCACTGCAGTCTGGCTCCCAGGAAACCCCATCCTTAGAAAAATGGGGAGAACACCACATCAAGGGATCACCCAGTGGAAGAAAAGAATCTGAACAGCAGCCCTTGAGCCACAGAACGTTCCTCTGACATAGTCTACCCAAATGAGAAGGAACAAGAAAAACAATTCTGATAATATTATAAAGCAAGGTTCTTTGACATCCCCCAAAGACCACATTAGGTCACAAGCAATGGATCTAAACCAAGAAGAATCCTGTGAATTGCCCAGAAAAGAATTTAGAAAGTCAATTATTAAGCTGTTCAAGGAGGGATCAGAGAAAGATGAAAAATAATTTAAAGAAATTTTAAAAATATTATAGGATATGGATTAAAATATCTCCAGAGAAATATACAGCATAAATAAAAAACATCCACAGCTTCTGGAAATGAAACACACTTAGACAAATGCAAAAGAAACTGGAAAGTTACAACAATATAATTGAAGAAGTAGAAGAAAGAACATCAGAGCTTAAAGAAAAGGCTTTTGAATTAACCCAATCTGACAAAGACAAAGAAAAAAGATTCAAAAAAATGAACAAAGGCTCCAAGAAGTTTTGTGATTATGTTAAATGATTATGTTATTCTGAAACCTAAGAGTAATTGGTGTTCCTGAGGAAGAAGAGAGATCTAAGTGTTTGGAAAACTTATTTGGGGGAAAAACCGAGGAAAATGTCCCTGGCCTTGCTAGAGATATAGACATCCAAATACAGAAGCTCAAAGAACACCCAGGAAATTCATAGCAAAAAATCATCAGGTAGGCACACAGTCATCAGAGTATCTAAAGTCAAGACAAAGGAGAAAATCTTAAGAGCTGTGAGGCAAAAGCATCAGGTAACCTATGAAGGGAAAGCTATCAGACTAACAGCAGATTTGTCAGCAGAAACCCTGCAAACTAGAAGGGATTTGGGTCCTATATTTTGCCTCTTTAAGAAAATAATTACCAGCCAAGAATTTTGTATCCAGCGAAAGAAAACTTCATAAATGAAGGAAAGATAAAATATTTTTTAGACAAAAAAATGCTGAGATAATTTACCATTACCAAGGCAGAGCTACAAGAAATGTTAAAAGGAGTTCAATATCTTGAAACAAAACCTCAAAATACAGCAAAATAGAACTTCCTTAAAGCATAAATCTCACAGGGGTTATAAAACAAAAACACAATGTAAAAAAGGCATTGATGCAACAACTAGCATGATGAATAGAATGATACCTCACATCTCAATATTAATGTTGAATGTAAACGGCCTAAATCCTCCACTTAAAAGATACAGAATGGCAGAATGAATAAAAGTTTACCAACCAAGTATCTGCTGTCTTCAACGCACCTAACATAAAAGGACTGACATAAACTTAAGGTACAGGAGTGAAAAAAGGTATTCAATGCAAATGGACACTAAAAATATGCAGGGTTAGCTATTCTTAGAAAAAAAAACAGACTTTAAAGCAACAACAGTTTAAAAAGACAAAGAGGGACATTATATAATGATAAAAGGACAGTTAAACAGGAAAATATCACAATCCTAAATATATATGCACCTAATACTGGAGCCCACAAATTTATAAAACAATTACTATTAGACTTGAGAAATGAAATAGATGGCAACACAATAATAGCGGGGGACTTCACTACTCCACTGACAGCACGAGACAGGCCATCAAGACAGAAAGTCACACTGACTTCCACAATGGTTGAACTAGTTTACAGTCCCACCAACAGTGTAAAAGTGTTCCTATTTCTCCACATCCTCTCCAGCACTTGTTGTTTCCTGACTTTTTAATGATTGCCATTCTAACAGGTGTGAGATGGTATCTCATTGTGGTTGTGATTTGCATTTCTCTGATGGCCAGTGATGGTGAGCATTTTTTCATGTGTTTTTTGGCTGCATAAATGTCTTCTTTTGAGAAGTGTCTGTTCATGTCCTTTGCCCACTTTTTGATGGGGTTGTTTGTTTTTTTCTTGTAAATTTGTTTGAGTTCTTTGTAGATTCTGGATATTAGCCCTTTGTCAGATGAGTATGGAAGTCAGTGTGGTGATTCCTCAGAGATCTAGAACTAGAAATACCATTTGACCCAGCCATCCCATTACTGGGTATATACCCAAAGGACTGTAAATCATGCTGCTTTAAAGACACATGCACACGTATGTTTATTGTGGCATTATTCACAATAGCAAAGACTTGGAACCAACCCAAATGTCCAACAATGATAGACTGGATTAAGAAAATGTGGCACATATACACCATGGAATACTATGCAGCCATAAAAAATGATGAGTTCATATCCTTTGTAGGGACATGGATGAAATTGGAAATCATCATTCTCAGTAAACTATCGCAAGAACAAAAAACCAAACACCGCATATTCTCACTCATAGGTGGGAATTGAACAATGAGAACACATGGACACAGGAAGGGGAACATCACACTCTGGGGACTGTTGTGGGGTGGGGGGAGGGGGGAGGGATAGCATTGGGAGATATACCTAATGCTAGATGACGAGTTAGTGGGTGCAGCACACCAGCATGGCACATGTATACATATGTAACTAACCTGCACATTGTGCACATGTACCCTAAAACTTAAAGTATAATAATAATAAATAAATTTAAAAAAAAAAAACAAAAAAAAGAAAGTCAACAAAGAAACAACAAAGAAACAGTAGACTTAAACTACACACTAGAACAAATAGACTTAACAGATATTTACAGGGGCTTGGCGCGGTGGCTCAGGCCTGTAATCCCAGCACTTTGGGTGGCCGGGGCGGGCGGATCACGAGGTAAGGCGATCAAGACCATCCTGGCTAACACGGTGAAACCCCATCTCTACTAAAAACACAAAAAATTAGCCGGGCATGGTGGTGGGTGCCTGTAGTCCCAGCTACTCGGGAGGCTGAGGCAGGAGAATGGCGTGAACCCAGGAGGCAGAGCTTGCAGTGAGCCGAGATCACGCCACTGCACTCCAGCCTGGGCGACAGAGCGAGACTCCGTCTCAAAAAGACAAAACAAAACAAAACAAAATAAACAAAAAATAAAACAAACAAAACAAAACAGATATTTACAGAACATTCTACCCAACTACTGCAGAATATACATTCTATTCATTAGCACATGGAACATTATTCAAGATAGACCATATGATAGGCCACAAAACAAGTTTCAGTAAATCTAAGAAAATCAAAATTATTTCAAGTACTTTCTCAGACCACAGTGGAATACAATTGGAAATCACCTTTAGTAGGAACCTTCAAAACCATGTGAATACATAGAATTTAAATAAACTACTCATGAATGATTGTTGAGTCAACAATGAAATCAAGATGGAAGTTTTAAAAATTCTTTGAACTGAATGATAATAGTAACACAACCTATCAAAACCTCTGGGATACAGCAAAACAGTGCTAAGAGGAAAGTTCATAGCATTAAGTGCCTACATCAAAAAGTCTGAAAGAGCACAAATGGACAATCTAAGCTTACACCTCAAGGAACTAAAGAAACAAGAACAAACCAAACCCAAACCCAGCAGAAGAAAAGAAATAACAAAAATCAGAGCAGAACTAAATGAAATTGAAACAAAAAATAAGAATACAAAAGATAAATGAAACGAAAAGCTTGTTCTTCGAAAAGATAAAATTGATAGACAATTAGTGAGATAAACCAAGAAGAGTGAAGATCCAAATAAGCTCAATTTGAAACAAAAAGGGAGATATTACAGCCGATAACAGAAATACAAAAGATCATTCAAGGCAACTAAGGACACATTCGTGGGCACAAACTAGAAAATTTAGAGGAGATGGATAAATTCCTGCAAATATACAACTGTGCTAGATTAAACCAGAAAGAAATGGGAACTCTGAAGAGGCCAGTAACAAGCAGCAAGATTAAAATGGTAATAAAAAAATTGCCAACAAAAAAAAGTCCAGGGCCAGATGGATTCACAGCTGAATTCTATCAGACACTCAAAGAAGAATTGGTACCACTCCTACTGAAACTATTCCAAAAGACAGAGAAAGAGGGAATCCTTCCTAAATTATTCTATGAAGCCAATATTACCCTAGTACCAAAAACCAGGAAAGAACATAGCTAAAAAAGAAAACTGCAGACCAATATTCCTAATGAATATAGATGCAGAAATCCTCAACAAAATACTAGCTAACCGAATTCAACAGCATATCAAAAACATAATCCATCATCATCATGTGGGTTTCATACCATGGATTCAGGGTTGGTTTAACACAGGCAAGTCAATAAATGTGGTACACCACATAAACATAAGTAAAAACAAAAATCACATGATCATCTCAATAGACGCAGAAAAAACATTTGACAAAATCCAGCATCCCTTTATGATTAAAATCCTCAGCAAAATCAGCATAGAAGGGAAATATGTTAAGGTAATAAAAGCCATCTATGACAAACCCACAGCTAAATTATACTGAATGGGGAAAAGTTGAAAGCATTGTTCCTGAGAACTGGAACAAGACAAAGATGCCCACTTTCACCATTTCTATTCAACATAGTACTGGAAGTCCTAGCCAGAGTGATCAGACAAGAGAAAGAAATAAAGGACATCCAAATGAATAAAGAGGAAGTCAAACAGTCACTGTTTGCTGATAATGTGATCATATACCTAGAAAACCCTAAAGACTCTTCCAAAAAGCTCCTGGATCTGATCAATGAATTCAATAAAATTTCACGTTACAAAATTAATGTATACAAATCAGTAGCAGTGCTATACACCAACAGCAACCAAGCTGAGAATCAAATCAAGAACTCCACTACTTTTACTATAGCAGAAAACAAACAAACAAACAAAACTTAGAAATATACCTAACCAAGGACATGAAAGACCTCTACAAGGAAAACTACAAAACACTGCTGAAAGAAATCATAGACAACGTAAACAAATGGAAACACATCCCATGCCCATGAATGGGTATAATCAATATTGTGAAAATGACCATGCTGCCAAAAGCAATATACACATTCAATGCAATTCCCATCAAACTACCACCATCATTCTTCACAGCACTGGAAAAAACAATTCTAAAATTCATGTGAAACTATAAAAGCCCGCATTAGGCAAAGCAAGAGTAAGCAAAAAGAACAAATCTGGAGGCATCACGTTACCTGACTTCAAACTATACTACAAGGCTATAGTCACCAAAGCAGCATGGTACAGGTATAAAAATAGGTGCATAGACCAATGGAACAGAATAGGAACCCAGAAATAAGCCCAAATACTTACAGCTAACTGATTTTTGACAAAGCAAACAAAAACATAAAGTGGGGAAAGACACCCTATTCAACAAATGATGCTGGGATAATTGGCAAGCCACATGTAGAAGAATGAAACTGGATCCTCATTTATCACCATATACAAAAATCTACTGAACTCAAGTTGGATCGAAGACTTAAATCTAAGACCTGAAACCATAAACATTATAGAAGATAACATTGGAAAAACTTTGCTAGATATTGGCCTATGCAAATAGTTCATGACCAAGAACCCAAAGGCAAATGCAACACCAACAAAGATAAATTGATGGGACTTAATTAAACTAGAAAGCTTCTGCATAGGAAAAGAAATAGCAGAGTAAACAGACAACCCAAAGGCTGGGAAAAATTATCCACAAACTATGCATGTGACAAGGGACGAATATCCAGAATCTACAAGGAACCCAAACAAATCAGCAAGAAAAAAACAATCCCATCAAAAAGTGGGCTAAGGACCTGAATAAACAATTCTCAAAAGAAGATATACAAATGGCCAACAAACGTGAAAATATTCTCAACATCACTAATTTTCAGGGAAATGCAAGTCAAAACCACAATGCAATACCACCTTATTCCTGCAAGAATGGCCGTAATTTAAAAATCAAAGCATAATAAACGTTGGCTTTGATGTGGTGAAAAGGGAACGCTTTTACACTCCTGGTGGGAATATGAACTACTACAACCACTATGGAAAACAGTATGGAGATTCCTTAAAGAACTAACGTAGATCTGTCATTTGATCCAACAATCCCACTCCTGGGTATTTACCCAGAGCAAAAGAAGTCATTATATGAAAAAGACACTTGCACAGGCATGTTCATCGCAACACAGTTTGCAATTACAAATTACAAAAATATGGAACCAGCCCAAACCAATGAGTGAATAAAGAAAATGTTACATATATATATATATATATATACACACACACACACACACACACACACACACACACACACACACTACTCAGCCATAAAAAATATACACTACTTGGCCATAAAAAGGGAACAAAATCATGGCATTCTCAGCAACCTGGATGGAGTTGGAGACCATTATTCTATGTAAAGTAACTCAGGAGTGGAAAACCTAATATCATATGTTTTCAATTATGAGTGAGAGCTAAGCTATGAGGATGCAAAAGCCTAAGAATGATATAGTGTACTCTGGGGACTCAGGGGGAAGGGTAGGGGGTGGCAAGGGTTAACAGACTACATGCTGGGTACAGTGTTTACGGCTTAGATGGTGGGTGCACCAAAATCTCAGAAATCACCACTAAACAACTTATCCATGTAACCAAACACCACCTGTTCCCCAAAAACCTATTGAAATAAAAAAAGTAAAATTAACCATCATACCAAAAGGAGCAGAGGGATGATCATCCCAGGCAAAAGGAACTGCAAGCACAAAAAGCCTTGAAACAGGAGCAAGCTTGATTACAAGAGCAGATAGGCAGCCAGTTTCACTGGAACATAGTATGAGGAGAGTTTTACAAGATTCATTTGAAGAGATAGGCAGAGGCTAGATGATACAGGCCATGGTAAGGAGTTTGGATTTTATTCTGAAGGTGTTGGAAATCCATTGAGAGTTTTAAGTGGAGAGTGATATGATCTGATTTACATTTTTTTTTTTATTTTTAGAAACAGGATCTTGCTCTATCGCCCAGGCTGGAGTACAGTGGTTCATTCATGGATCACAGCAGCCTCGAACTCCTGGGCTCTAGCAATCCTCCCGCCTCGGCCTCCCAAGTAGCTGAGGCCACAAGTGCACACCACCATGCCTGGCTAATTTATTTTATTTTATTTTTTTATAGAGACAGGGTCTCACTATGTTGTCCAGGCTGGTCTGGAACTCTTGGTCTCAAGCGATAGTTGTGCCTCAGTCTCTCAAAGTGCTGGGATTATAGACATGAGCCACTACACCAGATCTGATGTAGATTTTGACAGATCACCCAGCTACTCTGTATAGTAGGTCTTTTGAGGGGCAAGTATGAAAGCAGAGTGATAAATTACACAGATATTGCAGTCAACTAGCTAAGAGACAATGTGGCTTAAATGAGGATAGGAGCATTGACAGTATATTTTAAAATATGCAAAAGGACCCAGATATGCATGTTCTTCTCCCTTCCTCTTTGACTCAATTATACCCACGACTTTAGTCACTCACATACTTCCATTAGTGGAAGTAAACA
This sequence comes from Homo sapiens, assembly GCF_000001405.40. Classification (NCBI taxonomy): domain Eukaryota; kingdom Metazoa; phylum Chordata; class Mammalia; order Primates; family Hominidae; genus Homo; species Homo sapiens. The sequence continues at coordinate 75,432,431 of NC_000023.11, read as the reverse complement.
CAAATCTCTGCTGAATTAACTGTCTATTGTGTTGAATCAGTAATATGTGCTTAATGTACACTTTAGATGAAATGATTATATTAGTTCAAATTATTCATCATTTTAGTTTTTATACTTAATAATCACATTAAACACAGTCGTACTCTATCAATGAACATCTAGAAAATGAGAGGGAAAGTAAAATACCTTTCATCTAAAGGAAAGGAAGGAAGGAAGAAAGGAAGGAATGAAGGAGGGAGGGAAGGAGGAATGATTTTTTTATATTAGAATCCTAAAATAAGAATTACAGAGTTAAAAGAATCCTAAAATAAGAAATCATCAAAACTGTACAGGTCACAGCCCTGCCAGCAACTTGCTGTGTGACCCTGGGCAAATCACTTGATATGACCCAGATCTTTATTTCCTTTATCTGTGAAATGGTCAATTAAACTAATTGTTCTAGAATGTCTCTTCTGTTCCCCAAATTATTATTCTAGAAACCACTCTCTTTACCATGTTTTAGGAGTGTTATCCACCACATACAATCCAACCTCTGGAGACAGGAGATAAACTGTGAATCCTTATTTTCAGATCAGAAAGTTGGGGGTAAATAGAGGCTAAATGGTTTTTCAAGATCCCTCAAGCATTTGATAGTATAGTTTGTTTTATAATGAAAGATCTTATGACAGATATCCAGATAAGAAACTTTTCTCGTTCCTTTCAGCCCCCAAAAGTGCTTTCAAAATTGGATACAACAAGGAAAAAAATATATACCCCAATTCTCTTATGTAGTCTGCCTTTTGCTTGGTAACTTGAGATGAGTTTGACTATCTATAATCAGTGCATAACAAGTCATCCAGATAAGCTAGTAAGATATAAGGTCTTATATTGAGCCCTAACAAGTGCTAACCACCTTATTTTTTTTTTTATAGCTGTACGATTCTGTGACCGGTGTCATCTGATCAAGCCAGACCGCTGCCACCACTGCTCTGTCTGTGCTATGTAAGTGACGGCCATATTTCCCCTGGGCTGGGCTTGGCCACTGAAGGTTTCCTAGACAACAAAATGACTGATCCTAACATGTAATCATACCTAGATAAGAGCATTTCCTTTCAATTATAATGAGCATATGCCAAAACCCCTCACACGGATGATGATGATCCAAGCTACTCTAAAGATAAGTAAGAGAAGTAAGACCACATTTTAAAAACTAACATTGTATTTGTGGACAGTTTTAGACTTACAGATTTATTGTGAAGATAGTTCTTGTATGTCTCACACCCAGTTTCCCTTGTTGTTAACATCTTATATTTGTATGATACATTTGTTACAATTAATGAACTAATACTGATACATTATTTTTAACTGAAGTCTATATTTAGATTTCCTCAGTTTTTCCATAATGTCCTTTATCTGTTCCAGGATCCCATCCAGGATACCACATTACATTTAATAGTGATGTCTCATCTCCTTAGCTTCTCTTAGCTGTGGCAGTATCCCAGACTTGTTTTTGATAACCTTGACAGTATTTAGGATTAATGGTCAAGTAGGTCATAGAGTGTCCCTTGATTGAGATTTGTTTGATGCTTTCCTCATCATTGTTAGACTGGGGTAATATGATCTGGGGGAGGAAGACGACAGAGTAAGGTGCCATTCTCATTACATCATATTAAGGGTACCTATAAACATGACTTATCACTGAAAGGTTAATTTTGATCATCTGGCTGAGGTAGTATGTCAGGTTTCACCACTGTAAAATTGTTCTTCCTTTCTATGCTTTACTCTTTGAAAGGAAGTCACTATGCACAGCCAACACTAAAGGAATGGAAAGTTATGCCCTCCATCCTTGAAGGTGGAGTATCTACACAAATTATTTCAAGTTATTTTGCTTGGGACATTTATCTCTTCTCTTCATTTATTTATTTATTCAATCATTTATTTATATCAGTATGAAAGCATAAATATTCATTTTACATTTTGCATTATAACCCAATACTACTTTTTTGTTGCCCAAATTGTTCCAGCTTTGCAAACCCCATTTTTATATTGATACATGTAATGCCTTTTCTCTTGAGTACTTATTCCACCCATATTTTTCTTACCCTTGATTCAGATAGAGGCTATAGCCATATATTTTCTTCTGTATTTTTATTAAACTAAGTATTGAATAAAATGATAGGAGACATCTTGAACCTTTTCTCTGTATTAATAATCTGGAGTTTCCAATCCCTTTGAAAGGTTGGACTTATAAGCATGTAACTTGCTGCTGGCATGATCCTATAAAGTGTTGTTGTGATTACCTCATCCTAGAAATAACTGAGGGCCACAGTTTTGGAGTCACTATAGTGGAAATCTGAGAATGGGTGTTATTAGAACCATGTAAAAATACTGGTGAAACCTTGAGTTTAATTATGAGATGTTGCTTCATTTCCATAGCCTCACTTATCACACTGTATTTTGTCCCCTTCGTAGGTGTGTGTTAAAAATGGATCATCACTGCCCTTGGTATGTCTGTTTGATTCATTTCTCTCCTCTAAAGGGGTCAAAGTTGCTCAATTATATGCACTTTTCTAAGCATAGTTGTCACATGCCTGTTTCTGCCACCATAATTCACTGGGTTTTATATTTCTGTAGGGGACAGGGGAGGGGTAACATTTTAAATAAAGAAAAAATATAACACCAAAGGTATGGTAGTGAATTCCTGGAGTTACAAAGCTAATGGTCTCATATTCATTAACTTTAGCAATTGAGCATAGTAATGAAATACAGCACAAACATTTCTCCTTTTAACATTACACAATTCAGTTCTGTTTCTAGTTGGCTTGATGTTTGAAATATTCTAGAATGTTAAATTCAGCAATTTTCCAAATTTTGTATATCAGACCCTGCGGGCCAGTCTGAAATCACCTAACTACAAAAAGAACATGCCACAACTGTACCAAATGTAGCTGCTAAAACTGTAATACATTTTTAGCAACCAGGATCCAGGTTTGCTTGGATGTGTCACGAACCAGTCCAGAGCTATTAGGCAGGCCAGGTGTTTCTGTGCCTGTAAATGAAAGAATAAACAAGTGAGACATGAACTTGTTTTATCCAGTTTGTTCTTATTAAGGGACTTCTATCTCTATTGGGCTTTTACACGACACATAATGAAGCAGCAGAACTAGCATTATTCCATTGCTTAGTTCACTTATGTATCAGTGTGCTCTCAATCAAGAGGTCCTGATGTCAAATTAGTTTTTCTTTTTTTTTAGGGTTAATAACTGCATTGGATTTTCCAACTACAAATTCTTCCTTCAATTCTTAGCTTACTCTGTTCTCTACTGCCTGTACATTGCTACGACAGTCTTCAGCTATTTCATCAAATACTGGAGAGTAAGTTAAAAATATCCTGAAGGGTCCCCTAGAACAAATGCACACCCACTCCAACTTGTGACATTGTTCACCCTCTATCTTTTTACATTTTTAAATAGCTAATACTGTTGAAGTAACTGGAAGAGAAGGCACTAAAAACAGGTTTTCCATATTGAATACTCTGAGATTTCGGAAGCTGTTATTTAAAGATTCTAGTTAAACAAGTTTCTGTCATACACGAGAATCTTGCTAAGGCCTTTGGGTACCTAATCTCTTGACTCCTATTGATTCTTTACAATGTATTTCTCCAGGTGAGTTTTAAAGTTCCACTTCCTACCAGTTATAGATTTGAAAAATGTTGAAACTAATTTTAAATCCCTAGTTTCCTAAGAAAAAGGCTAACAAATCACTCCCCTGTTGTTAGAAAATACTTCCTAATTCCCTATTCAAAGGAGAGTTGCAGAATTCCTATGAGACAGAAAGATATACTGACCTATCTCACATAATGGGGAGGGGTTTTTTTGTTTGTTTTTTAACTTTGTTTGACAAACACTGGGTTAGCAATTAGGAGAACTGGGATCTAATACTGGATCTCTTACCTGCTTCACTGGCTCATTGCCAAGATCAAATGAAACAGACGTTGAAAGTGCTTTACCTTTAAAAATGTGAGTCTAATAATTATAATGAAATCTCAAAAAAAGTTATTTCATCTACTTGAAGATATAAATCATATCCAACTACTTCCAAAAAAGAAAAACAAACTTAAGGCAGATTTTTTTATTTACATATGTGTACAAGGTCTGGCAAAAGTATAGTGAAATATGTTCTTTTTAAATGTCATACTAGTGGACTCCAGGAGATATCCCTTCCCCACAACTCCAGTACAATTACTAAGACATCCATGATGAAGGCTGTCCAAACTGAACCTGAATATCAAAAGACAGATGTGGACAGAGCTACTAGTTATTTAGGGATTGCACAAAAGCCTATATAACATGAATATCTCACCTCAAATGGAGACATAAAGCCGTAGAGAAAGAACATGAATTCAGTGACCAGAATATAGACTATAATAAACTGAAGAAAAAAGGAGAAGGGTAAGGCAATAGGAACCTAAATAGCCAAGAATATTTAAATTATTAATCAGTGCATTGATCCCTAGTAATATAGAAAAGATAGTGTAGAAAATTATAGTGATGTGTGTTTTCCATTTCCCTTTCAACTTGCTTAATCAGTTCAGATATTTAATAACTTTAAGAATAAGGAATTATATAATAGATGCCATAATCATTAACTCAGGGATACAAGCAAAACTTTATGCAGAAGTAAAACTTTTTCATAAATTTTTCTACAAATATAAAATGCTTCATCATCTCTTCCTTTGTCCCTTTCCACAGCACAGGATTATTATTAAGTTACAATAATTTTAAAATATATTATAAAATCCACATACTGAGCTACTACCCTGAATGTGAAGAAAATCTACTATGTCCAATCAGCAGGGAAAGTGTCGGCCTTGATCTTCACTATAGACCTTTCTTGGTTCTTAACACAGTAGGCTACTGTTTAGGAACCACTTTTTACCCTTGTAACAAAATAAACAATATTACATTTCACACATTTTGCCTTTAGCCCACCTAGTCAGCCAATAATCAAATGTCACAATGCCAGCCAGGTGCTATATGCTTTTTTCATTCTTGAAAGATAATATTTGGATATGAATTAATCATCAGTAATGTGCCAATATTCACAAGTAATACCAAGAGTGAACATAACCTTGTTCTCTTTCTATTCCCTCATTTTTTTTCTCCACAGTAGGCTAGCTCATGCCTCACAGATGAGAGGCAAGGAAATGTGTCCTGGCTTGTCCTAAAATGAAAAGGGCATTGACAGTTCAGAGAAATGCTCCCTGGCAGTCTCTTTAGCCAGATAACACTTTAGTGTAGTTTAGGGATGGCTTTCTCTGTTTAAATTGAATATCCCCTTAAAATAAAAAGTAAACACTGCCATATATTTTGAAAGCTGTGTATCAAGGAGACAAGCTGTGCTCCTATCAATAGCAACCTTCATTTGTATGGTACTTTACAGTTTTTGAAGCACTTTCATACCCCTTATCTCATCTGATCCTTACCACAACCCTGTGAAGTAGGCAAAGCATGAATTATTAGTCTTATTCAAAGATGATAAAAACTGAGGCTCATAGTAGTTAAGTGACTTGTCTATGATCACCCAGCTTGTAAATTTCCAAAGTTAGGACTTTCACCTAAGTCGGACCCTAAGCCCCATGAATTTACACACTATACCATGTCCTACTGCCCATTATGGCTCTGCTGTGGAGAGCTCTAGCTCCATGAGATTAAAGAATTCAGAAGACCAACAGATTATTTCTCTCTTCTCTATATTAAACAATAGCTACTTTGATAAGAGATTGAGCTTTTCCTTATGTAAAAAATAGTAATACATCCCTCACATATTGGGCCATGGATCTCCTCACAGAGCTATGAATTATTTTAGAATCAGGATAATAGCATTATTCTGCCAGTATTCATCTGCTCTCTCTCTGATGGCTATTACTTTGAGTGATTTAGCTTGGTTATCTCCTGAGAAGGTATTTTTGAACATAGGGCTATCACCCTCTTCTAAAAAAAAAAAAAAGTTTAAGAAGAACTCTATCAAGGGACAACACAGTAGATATGCTTTGGGAGACAGAAAAATGTTCTTTGAGAGTAATTGGGTGGGGTGAGGGAATAGACTGCAGCTCAGCCAGACAGACTGTGGACTGACTTTATATCAGTCCCTCTTGTCCAGCCATTTTCTACTATCCATTTATATGTGAAACAATAAGAAGTAAAATAAATGTGAGCTTTAAAATATTTTTAAAACATTCTTTAAAAACTAAAGATTGTGAAAGCAAAAACACAGTCAAGGCAAAACCCACTGCAAAGCAATGTATGGAATCTTTTCTATAAGTTCAAAATAAAACAAAAACCAATCTAATTCAATTTGCCTGCTTAGGCCGAGAATTTGTAGAGGGATCATTTCAAAAAGGAGAGTTTCAAATAAATATTCTTGAAGGTTGAAGTTCTTGAGGTAGCTCTTTGCTGGGCTGCTCTGCCCCTATGCAATTTTCACCTGGACCCCCACTCAGCTGACAGCATCTGACTGGCTGAAGATAAGGGGAAGCATGCTTATCTTCATCCTTCAGTATACAACCTGGAAGATTCCCAATATTTCCATACATAAAAATGAATAAAAATATTATCTCAGAGAAGAAAAAAATCTGTACTATCTGAACTTGCCAAGTGTTGCCAAGCCTTAACTTTCTCCTCCCAAATTGGAGTAGAACTAGATCATTCAGAAGTTAAGGTCCACTTAAGAATCACATTTAACTTTATTACTAGAGAGCAATTGGAAATATTTCAAAGTGATTCATCACACTGAAACAATAATCATCACAGGGAAGGAGGAAATAAATAGTAGTCATTCCCCCAACTATTCACTCCAAAATTGAAAATGTTTTCTAAGATTCTCTTCAGAAGATAAATGTTACATGCTGCGCATGTTACAGAACTTTATAACATTCATTCTGGTCTAGGCTGCATGTCGGAAAAAAAGGCTGGTGCCACATGGAAAATAAGATGTCCTAGATAACTATAAAAATCTTTAGCCACCTACTTTTACAGTTGCCTGTAAAAATTCTGCTTGATTTTTACTGTCTAAACAGCTGTTTCACAGGATGTAATATATCAGCACATTCTACCTCAGCTATAAAAAACAACCACACAAAATCTACAACAACTTTAAAATCAGGTTATGACTTATGGGTAGGACATTTTAAAATTCTACCTATGTTTTAACTTCTTACATACATCACCGTGACATTTTCAATACACGCATGCCCAAGGAAACATTATATATAAAGAATTCCAGAATAACTTACCCTGAGACAAGAGGATAAGGCATATGACTTCAAGATCTCAAACTAAATTGACTACAAGCTGTAAGCGGTTGCATACCAATTATGGCCCGAGAATACCCTTTTCACATTACCCTTTTATAATTGGTACTTAAGATACTCTATTTTACACTGAACTGCACTTAAGCAAGGATCCATTTTAGGCTTTGTAGGCTGAGAGCACACTCACAGGTATCATCATTGACAGAAAGAACCATATTATAAAAATTTTACAGAATCTATTTTTTAAATTACAGCTAGACACTTTATACATGTGAAAACTACTAACCTATATATTTAGAAAAACTAGCCATCCGTTTCCACTTTAATCTTTTGCTTGTTTATTATTTCTTTTCTAGGGGGAATTACCCAGTGTTCGCTCTAAGTTCCATGTCCTTTTTCTTCTCTTTGTGGCCTGCATGTTTTTTGTCAGCCTTGTGATTCTCTTTGGTTACCATTGTTGGCTTGTCAGCAGAAACAAAACCACCTTAGGTAAGACTGAATATTAAGATTAGGAAAAAACATATTAATGTGTATCAGAGGGACCTGTGAATTGTTCCCAATTAAAACTTCCAGTGAAGCATTTTAGCTGCAGTGACATCCCTCTACCCCCAGACTGAGACAGATGAAAATACATTTTACCGAAATAGAAAGGCATAGTGAGTGAAGCTTATAGGCTAATTATGAGAATATTTTTTAATGAAACCCCACACAGAAACAAAAATGGCCATTGTTCTTTATAGTGCATACTGGGTAATAGCTCCCAAGGTTAATAGCTCAGAAGATTTCTAAAAGGTGTTCACATGAGGAAATTAAAGAAAGAATCAGTACAGAAGGGGATGTCAGAAGGGAGAAGTAAAGTTTGATAAAGATAGTAGAATCTAATTTATTATGCACATCTAAAAACAGAGCCCTGAGAAAAAATCCAAACCAACCACAACAAGAATCCAAAAGTCTTGAGAAACAAAAAAAAAAATCAGTAAATATCTGCAATCATCAAGGGGCTGTTTAGGTACTATGGGAATGAGATAAATACATTGAACAAATGATTCTCTAGAAAATGAGTAAAATAAATGAACATATTTTCTGTCAGTTAGTCTATAGGCTATTATGTGGAAAACTATATTACTGATGGATTCCAGTACATTTTATTTCATCTATGGTGAAATAAGTATTTACATTGTGTACAAATCAGTACATGAGGAGTGAGGACAAAGTGTCCAAGTTTTGAATGTTGAATGTTTAGCTAGGATAGATTTGAGAAAAGTTTAGTGCAAAAGCTACTACACATTGGGAATTTGTTTGCTAATAATGCTAACAGCTAAGAAAGTATTTGCATCTATTGGCCGTACATGATGGCTCACTCCTGTATTCTTAGCACTCCTAGCACTTTGGAAGGCCAAGGCAGGAGAATCACTTGAGCTGAGGAGTTTGAGACCAGCCTGAGCAACATAACAAAACCCCATCTCTACAAATAAAAATAAAAATAATTAGCTGGGTGACTATTCACAATAGCAAAGCCGTGGAATCAACCTAAAGGTCCATCAATGGCAAACTAGATAAAGAAAATGTGGTACATATACACCATGGAATGCTACGCAGCCATAACAAAGAACGAGATCCTGTCCTTTGCAGCAACACAAATGAAGCTTGAAGCCATTATCCTAAGTGAACTAACTCAGGAACAGAAAATCAAATACTTCATGTTCTCACTTATAAGTGGGAGCTAAAGACTGAGTACACGTAAACACAAAGAATGGAACAACAGACACTGGGGCCTACTTGAGGAAGGAGTATGGGAGGAGGGAGGGGTTCAGAAAAAAAAATTCACTCGGGTACTATGCTTAGTACCTGGGTGACAAACACCATACCCTCAAGTCACAAATTTACCTATATAACAAACTTGCACATTTACCCTGAACCTAAAATAATAGTTAAAATATTTTTAAAATAATAATCATTAGCTGGGTGTGGTGGCATGTGCCTGTGGCTGCAGCTCCTCAGTAAGCTGAGACAGGAAGATTGATTGACCCTGGCCAGGAGTTTAAGGCTGCGGTAAACTAAGATTGTGCCACTGTACTCCAGCCTGGGTGACAGAATAAGACCCTGTATCTATTTTTTAAAATGAGAACACATGGACACAGGAAGGGGAACATCACACTCTGGGGCCTGTTGTGGGGTGGGGGGAGGGGGGAGGGATAGCATTGGGAGATATACCTAATGCTAGATGACAAGTTAGTGGGTGCAGCACACCAGCATGGCACATGTATACATATGTAACTAACCTGCACATTGTGCACATGTACCCTAAAACTTAAAGTATAATAATAATAAATTTAAAAAAAAAGTATTTGCACCCATTTTCTTAACCAAATATGTATGTAGCCCCTAGTTGCTAGGGTGGTAGATTAGCACATTTGGCTTAGAGACCAGCTACGAAGTGGAAAACCACTAAAAGCTTCATGATAACAGAGTCTGAAAACAAAGAACAAATGAGAAACAGTCAGATGCAGCTAGAGTCCAACAGTGAAATCATTTACTTAATGGGATAAATGTGTGTCTAAAAATAATGTGCACTAACATGGTCCCATTCCTTACAGTCTTTGAAGTGATTATGGCTCACCAATTGACATTTTAGCTGAAGTAAAACTCAGTTTCTTACACTGCAGGCTTCAGCATGAACACTTTCATTTTTGAAATGTTTCAAAACCAAATCAATGTCATTACCATCTCTTTATGTGTCATTACTTTCTTCCCAGCTCTAAAGATGGTGGTCATTCGGCTGTTGTTGCCGCTTAGATTCAAATAAAGTGCTGTTAAATCTGTTCCTATATTCTAAATTCAGCAGTACAAAATACATACTACCCCCGTGGCTGCTTAATTATTTCTGCCACCATGTGTTTCCCCTGTCTTTTAAAAAGAGAGTTCTAATTCTTTATATGCAGTAACAAGTTTAGTTTGTGTGAAGTGATTAAACTGGTTTTTACTAAGCAATTTAGCAATACCTAAAAATGAGAGGTCTGTGCTACCACAGCAAAAAGATATAATAGAACCAAGTCACATACATGGAGAAATGTAAAATCATGACTATGCTGAAATTTGTTTCTTTATTGCTTTCTTCCTCTTTTCTTCAACTCTCCTGCCCTGCCTTAGAGGCCTTCTGCACTCCAGTGTTTACAAGTGGCCCAGAGAAAAATGGGTTCAACCTTGGCTTCATCAAGAATATCCAGCAGGTGTTTGGAGATAAGAAGAAGTTCTGGTTAATACCTATTGGTTCCAGGTGAGTAAATATTACCACTGGAAGAAGTTAGTACTGGACCCTGCCTTGAACCAGCAAATTCAATTTTGATTGTAGTATGCAGCAGGTATCAGTCCAGTGTGAAACTCTATTCCCCAAGTTCTTCATTTCTAGGTTAATAAAGGCAAATAAAGAGGTGAGGGTCTGATAAAATAGATATTCTCATGCTTTCTTTGTGGCAGTGTGCAGTGGCACTACCAATCTTTTATAACTGAATTTGGTAATATCTATCAAAAAATTTAAGAATCTACTTGCCCAACATCCCAGTAATTCCATTTCTGGGAATTGAATCTACCCTAAAGACAGAGACAAACTATGCACAAAAATGTTCATCACAGCATTATTTATAGCCAATAATTAGGAAACAACCTAAACAGCCAACAATATGGGAATATATATATATAATATATATTATATATATATTATATATATATTATATATATATAATATATATATATACACACATACTGGATGGAATATTATACAATCAAAAGTAATGGTTATAAAGACTATGTCACAAAAAGGGAAAGTGCTTACTATATTTTAAGTGAAAAAAGAAAAATCCAATACACTGTGATTAAAAACATAAGTATATATAGAAGAAAAACAGCAGAAGAGAAATATACCAAAAAATGGTAAAAATGGTACTATATTTTAAGTGAAAAACGAAAAATTCAATACACTGTGATTAAAAACATAAATATATATAGAAGAGAAGCAGCAGAAGAGAAATACACCAAAAAATGTTAAAAATGGTAAGGGCAATAGTCTTAGAAATTATTTATATTTTCTCCATTTTATATATTTTGTGGTTAATACTAATATTATTTTATGAATAAAAATATGAAAAGCAAGAACAAAGATTAATTTGAGGTTGTAGGTAATTCTTTTTTTATTATACTTTAAGTTCTGGGGTACATGTGCAGAACATGCAGGTTTGTTACATAGGTATGCACGTGCCATGATGGTTTGCTGCATATCAACCCATCATCTACATTAGGTATTTCTCCTAATGCTATCCCTCCCCTAGCTCCCCACCCCAGGACAGTCCCTGGTGTGTGATGTTCCCCTCCCTATGTCCATGTGTTCTCATTGATCAACTCCCACTTATGAGTGAGAACATGCGGTGTTTGGTTTTCTGTTCTTGTATTAGTTTGCTGAGAATGATGGTTTCTAGCTTCATCCATGTCCCTGTAAAGGACATGAACTCATTTTTTTGATGGTTGCATAGTATTCCATGGTGTATATGTGCCACATTTTCTTTATCCAGTCTATCATTGATGGGCATTTGGGTTGGTTCCAAGTCTTTGCTATTGTGAACAGTGCTGTAATAAACATACGTGTGCATGTGTCTTTATAGTAGAATGATTTATAATCCGATGGGTATATACCCAGTAATGGGATGGCTGGGTCAAATGGTATTTCTAGTTCTAGATCCTCGAGGAATTGCCACACAGTCTTCCACAGTGGTTGAACTAATTTACACTCCCACCAACAGTATAAAAGCGTTCCCATTTCTCCACATCCTCACCAGCATCTGTTGTTTCCTGACTTTTTAATGATTGCCATTCTAACTGGCATGAGATGGTGTCTCATTGTGGTTTTGATTTGCATTTCTCTAATGACCGGTGATAATGGGCTTTTTTTAATATGTTTGTTGGCCACATAAATGTCTTATTTTGGGAAGTGTCTGTTCATATCCTTTGCCCACTTTTTGATGGGGTTGTTTGGTTTTTTCTTTTTTTTATTATACTTTAAGCTTTAAGGTACATGGGCACAACGTGCAGGTTTGTTACATATGTATACATGTGCCATGTTGGTGTGCTGCACCCATTAACTCATCATTTAGCATTAGGTATATCTCCTAATGCTATCCCTCCCCCCTCCCCCCACCCCACAACAGACCCCAGTGTGTGATGTTCCCCTTCCTGTGTCCATGTGTTCTCATTGTTCAATTCCCGCCTATAAGTGAGAACATGCGGTATTTGGTTTTTTGTCCTTGTGATAGTTTGCCGAGAATGATGGTTTCCAGCTTCATCCATGTCCCTACAAAGGACATGAACTCATCATTTTTTATGACTGCATAGTATTCCATGGTGTATATGTGTCACATTTTCTTAATCCAGTCTATCATTGTTGTACATTTGGCTTGGTTCCAAGTCTTTGCTATTGTGAATAGTGCCGCAGTAAACATACGTGTGCATGTGTCTTTATAGCAGCATGTTTTATAATCCCTTGGGTACATACCCAGTAATGGGATGGCTGGGTCAAATGGTATTTCTAGTTCTAGATCCCTGAGGAATTGCCACACTGACTTCCACAATGGTTGAACTAGTTTACAGTCCCACCAACAGTATAAAAGTGTTCCTATTTCTCCACATCCTCTCCAGCATCTGTTGTTTCCTGACTTTTTCATGATCGCCATTCTAACTGGTGTGAGATGGTACTCATTGTGGTTTTGATTTGCATTTCTCTGATGGCCAGTGATGATGACCATTTTTTCATGTGTCTTTTGGCTGTATAAATGTCTTCTTTTGAGAAGTGTCTGTTCATATCCTTCGCCCACTTTTTGATGGGGTTGTTTGTTTTTTTCTTGTAAATTTGTTTGAGTTCATTGTAGATTCTGGATATTAGCCCTTTGTCAGATGAGTAGATTGCAAAAATTCTCTCCCATTCTGTAGATTGTCTGTTCACTCTGATGGTAGTTTCTTTTGATGGGGTTGTTTGTTTTTCTCTTGTAAATATGTTTAAGTTATTTGTAGATTCTGGATATTAGCCCTTTGTCAGATGGATAGATTGCAAAAATTTTCTCCCATTCTATAGGTTGCCTCTTCACTCTAATGAGAGTTTCTTTTGCTGTGTAGAAACTCTTTAGTATAATCAAATCCCATTTGCCAATTTTGGCTTTTGTTGCCATTGCTTTTGATGTTTTGTTCATGAAGTCTTTGCCCATGTCTATGTCCTGAATGGTATTGCCTAGGTTTTCTTCTAAGGTTTTTATGGTTTTATGTCTTACATTTAAATCTTTAATCCATCTTGAGTTAATTTTTGTATAACGTGTAAGGAAGGTATCCAGTTTCAGCTTTCTGCATATGGCTAGCCAGTTTTCCCAACACCATTTGTTAAATAGGGAATCCTTTCCCCATTGCTTGTTTTTGTCAAAGGTCAGATGGTTGTAGATTTGTGACGTTATTTCTGAGGCCTCTGTTCTGTTCCATTGGCCTATATATCTGTCTTCATATCAGTACCATGCTATTTTTGTTACTGTAGCCTTGTAGTATAGTTTAATTTGCGGTTGTAGGTCATTCTTAGAACTGCAACAATTATGCAGGGAAAGTAGTGGATGAGAAATAAACAGTCAAGCTTGTGTTCTCTGAATGACTTTGTGAACCAGATTGAACCACCATCAACTAAACTAGTTCTAGAGCAGAGCTTGCTTATAGCCTTCTTGCAGCCACTTTTCAGTCCCCTCCTTAGACAGGAATACACTCATGTTCACTTAGTTGAGGTAACTTTGTTGGGGGTAGGGTGGTAATTATGGAAAAATTTCTCCTTGATTGATTGCCTTGATACTTCCTGTGTAGCAGTTAGTATTTTAAAGACTCATGTATTTCAGAGATGTGGTGTATCCAACTAACCTGTCTATAAATCACAAGGCAAAACTATGTCAGTGGGTAATATTGATTAATAACTGTTACCAGATATTACCTATACCCTATTCACATACTCACATACACAAATATCCACACATCATCACCACATCAAAGGGAGATGTAAAATCAGTCTTCTCTGGAATAAAGAACAAAACCAAAAATCAAAGCCCATTCATTTATAATCAGTACACTTACATTCTCTTTAGAGTGCTATCAATAAAATCTGTCAAATTTCAATTTACCACATACATGAACAGGAGAAAAGGCATAGGTAACATCAAAAGTCATTCAGACTCAAATGTGGAATGCATTCAGATACCTAAACTGAAATGTTCAAACTGTAGCCTCTTCTAGCCAGGGCCAGCTCAGTTCCCTCCAATGCATCCCATCTGTTAGTGGCCAGAAATTACCCAAGGAGTTGACCCTAGCTTACCACAGGTAGCCACAAAGCGAGACCCCACATGTGGATAATTGCCCTGAAAATCTGCAGTCTAGAGATGGCTCACTCTGGCTCTTTCCCCTAGTTCCTAATAACCTTTCTGCCATGCACACCAAATAAATAACAGTGCATTTGCGCATTGTCTTTCACCAATTCACACCAGCTTATCTCCACTGTATTTAGTGTTTCAGAGACTGGTCATCTTTCTTGAAAACTTAGAATCAAAGCAGTGAGATAATTGGATATAAATTGGTATCATCATCATTAAGTGATATGTATGAAGCTTGCTGTGTGTGCATATTGCCATACTGGGCATTTTGGGAAGCAAACTATAGAGTTCTTACAAACAAGAAGTTAACACTGATGCAGACACACAAATAAGATATGGAAATCGAGAGCAATATAGCAACTAAATAATGCTATTGTAAGAGCCCATTCCACCATGGCTTTAGACAATGAGACTAAATATGGCTAAGAACCCCCCTCTTGTTTTTAAGAGGATTATAACCTTCACAAAAGTCTATGTCAGCTGCAATAGGTCACTGCCTTTCTTTTCCCATCAGCCCTGGTGATGGACACTCCTTCCCTATGAGGTCTATGAATGAGTCACAGAACCCACTGCTAGCAAATGAAGAAACCTGGGAAGACAACGAGGATGACAACCAAGGTAAGTGGGGTCAAAGACTATGAAGTCCACATTAATACAACCAATGTAATGTGGTGAGTAAATAGTGTCCAGAAAGATTTTATAAGCATGTCAACCTCATAAGTGTCCTCTGGATGGTGGAGAGCAAGTATGGCCATATTTGTTTAGTAACCATGGGTAGTTTAGATAAGATTAGATTGCAGCTTGGGAGGCTCCTTACCAGCTTTGTGATTCTGTGATTTATATTACCAGTCAGATATACATCTGGATATATATGGATTTCTAAACAATCCTGCTGGGTAGTCACTTGTAGTACTTTGCTTGAATGTGGAGTTCAATTTAATCAATGGGCAACATTGCACCTTTCTCCATCCTCTTTCATTCACATTGGTTAAATTTTCTTTAAAATCCTATACTCACTCTCTTTTTAGAATGGTTTCAATACACTAAAAACTAAAAGATAGTAATGGGGCAAGCCTACACATGCATGTAGTCTACTTTTCTAAAAGGAAGAGGGGCAAAGGAAAATAAGCTTCAACTTTCTCCTACCAGGTCACTGGGTCATCCTAAGGCATTTTGTAAAGAGCTAAAAGTTGAGTTCTCATATAATGTATCCCCATTGCCAGCCCTATTCCTTGTCTCCACCTGTTGCTGTGCCTACTTTTGTGTCTCCAACATTTACTTATGTTGCTAATACCAACCATTAGAAAGTAGTTTTGGCTACTGTTCCCAATAATGCAGTAGCTGGCAGCAATTTTGAGTAGGAACTTGTAGTAGCTATCACAAACTGTACCTGGGGTGAAGGAGGCTAAATGAAGACATGGAAAAGTATTGAAGTGGGAGCAGCGGTAGAGAACAAGCCTTTCTAATTTTTTACCCAGTTGGATTATCCAGGCCCTGATTACCAGGAAATCTAGTTTTAGAGAAAAGCATGTTACTAGGCCCAAGGAATACAAAACAGCCACAAATCCATAGATAAAAAAGAAAACAGTTATTGTCCATCCCAAAGAACTTACAAGGGCAACTCCCTTACTTCCTCCTGCTGACTATTGGAAAATTGACTATATTTTGACCTGTCTTCCTTCAGTCTTCAGTCTTTCTGAACTGACTTTTACTTACAGCAGTCACAAGTTATAACAACTCTTATTTTGGTATTAAACCCAAACTCTAATAGAAGCCAAATAATTATCAGGTCTTTACCTGGTTTGAAATAATTCACAATGAAAAAAGCTATTCATAGCTGAGCTTTGTGTTGGCAAGTGGAATACTTTAAATGTAGATATAGCATCACATCATAAAGAGGTTATATTTTGAAGCAGTCTCCAATTCCAGACCTTTTCAAAAATATTCAATCATTAAAAATTAGTATGTTATTTTATAGTTTACAAAGTGCTTTCCTATATTTTTTCTTCATATCCTTTGACCCTCACAACTTTCAGGTTAGATAGGCAGTGTTATTAATAGCATCCCTATTTTATAATTAAGAAACTAAAATTGAGAGATGTTAATCTCACATGTCAAGGTATCTTGATTCCAAATCCTAGTTTTTTTCCACTACAATGCTAGGTCTCTCCTTTGGACAAGTACATATGAGACACAGTGCTGTGATTGCATGCCATTTAGTGATCTGAAGCATTCAACTGCTTCTTACATAATCATAAAATCATAAACTGTAAGGTGCCTTTAGCTTTAGCAAGACCACTATGCCATCTTAGATAGCTGAGGGGTTTTTTTTAAGTTCATTGAAGGAGACTCCACAATCCTCCTTTGTAACCCATTCTAGTATCTAATGCAAGTTCTCATGCTGTGTTATTTGTTAGGTTGATTCTATGTTAACTTCAGTTGCTCCCATTTTCTGTGCATAACTGTCATAGACAAACAGTTCTTACATTTTTAACAACTTAGATTCCTAGGAAAGGTGCTGTAAGTTGAAATTACATGTGTGTATTTAAGTTAATTTCTTTTAGGAATCAAGTGGAATTTTTATTCCTAGCCCAAAATATAACATTTCATTTAGTATAAATGTGCTTGTATGGCCGGGCGCTGTAGCTCACGCTTGTAATCCCAGCACTTTGGGAGGCTGAGGCGGGCAGATCACCTGAGGTGAGAAGTTTGAGACCAGCCTGGCCAACATGGCAAAACCGCATCTCTACTAAAAAAGTACAAAAAAAAAAAATAGCCAGGTATGATGACACACACCTGTAATCCCAGCTACTCGGGAGGCTGACACAGGAGAATCACTTGAACCCAGGAGATGGAGGTTGCAGTGAGCTGAGATCGTGCCACTGCACTCTACCCTGGGCGACAGAGTGAGACTCTGTCTCAAAAAAAAAACGTACTTGTACATTGCATAATATAAAACAAACTTTTGGCTGGGCGTGGTGGCTCACACCTGTAATCTCAGCACTTTGGGAGGCCGAGGCAGGCAGATCACGAGGTCAGGAGATCAAGACCATCCTGGCTAACACAGTGAAACCCCATCTCTACTAAAAATACAAAAAAAAAAAAAAAATAGCCAGACGTGGTTGCGGGCACCTGTAGTCCCAGCTACCCGGGAGGCTGAGGCAGGAGAATGGCATGAATCGAGGAGGCAGAGCTTGCAGTGAGCCGAGATCGCGCCGCTGCACTCCAGCCTGTGCGACAGAGCGAGACTGTGTCTCAAAAAAAAAAAAAAAAAAAAAGATAAAATATGCTAACAATAACCTGTTAGGTACAAATATAATATCACAGTCAGGAACTACATAAAGCCTTTGTGTTCTTTGAAATCATGGCCTTGTATTAGCACAGCAAATTATAAGGTAAAGAAACACCTTTATGAAATCAAGGGATTTAAATAGGCTTCTCTGATGTCATTTTTGAAAATAAAAGGTTTAATTAATGCACAAATATATAGAAAACGCATAAATACACAGTGTATAGATCCATGTAGTCTTCTGAGGAGATTTAACAGGCATCTTTTTAAAGACTTTTGAGTCTTGGGGCTATATTTTAGCTTTTTGAGGAAATGATCCAGAGATGTCTGTTATATTACCACTTTTGCTCATTATAAATTTTCCTGTAGCTTACATAATGAAAATTAAAGATTACAGTATAATTCTTTCTGCTCTATTCAAATTGGGATCCATTTCCTTCAAATTGGATGGGTGGCATCTATGGCTCTACCTGTCATGAGTATCATGAATAATAAGTTGGGTATGATTGTCAGGGTGATTCTTAAATGAAAACTGCTGTGGGTCAGAGCTTGCCTGTATGTGAAGCCCATAAAGAACTTCTTCAGCTTTCTCGGGGTCGGGGGCTGGGAGTAATCTTAGTTCCTTAATATTTCTTGTACAGCTGATTTCTCAGTTTTTTACATCTTTATGGCTCTGGTGCCTTTTTGAATGTTCTGTGTTTTTTTTTGTTTTGTTTTGTTTTTGTTGTTGTTGTTTGTTTTTTTTTTTCTTGAGACGGAGTCTCGCTCTGTCATCCAGGCTGGAGTGCAGTGGCGCAATCTCGGCTCACTGCAACCTCTGCCTCCCGGGCTCAAGTGACTCTCCTGCCTCAGCCTCCCAAGTAGCTGAGACTATAGGCATGCGCCACCATGCCTGGCTAATTTTGTATTTTTAGTAGAGTTGGGGTTTCACCATGCTGGCCAGCTGGTCTTGAACTCATATGTTTCTTTATTGTTTCAGTAGTAACAAAGGCTCTGCCATTTTCCAAGTGTCACTCCTTTCAAATTAGTTGCCGAACTCTTTGATTGTGGTCATTTATTTGAGATGCAGTATCCCTGGAAATCTGCAGGAGACAGCCACAGTTAATATTCTCTATGAAATAAAGTTAACAGCAACATTGACAAAGACTCCAGCAGCAGAGCAATGTTTCTTTCTATTTGCAAAGGAATAACTCTAGTTTTTAAATATGTATGCTTATTTATTTGTTTTCTTTCATTGTAAAAATTTAAGATGTACAACATGATATTTTGAAATACAAATACATAGTAAAATGATTACAAGTAAGCAATTTAACAAATACATCATCTCACATAGTTACCTTTTTTTGTGGGATAAGAGTACTTATAATCTATGCTCTTAGAAAATTTCCAGTATACAATACAATATTATTAACTATAGTCCCCATGCTGTACTTTAAATCTCTAGATTTGTTCATCCTAAATAACTACTTACTTTGTACACTTTGGCCTACATTTCCCCCAACCCTGCCTGCCTCTGGTAACCACTGTTGTATTCTCTGGCTCTCTTTGTCTTAGAATCCACACATAAGAGAGATCATGCAGTATTTTTCTTTCTGTGTCTGGCTTATACCACTTAACATTATCCTCCAGTCTCATCCATGTTGTTGTAAATGGAAGAATGGCCTTCTTTTTAAAAACTGAATAATAGCCAGGCGTGGTGGCTCACACCTGTAATCCCAGCACTTTGGGAGCCCAAGGTAGGTGGATCACGAGGTCAGGAGATCGAGACCATCCTGGCTAACACAGTGAAACCCCATCTCTACTAAAAATACAAAAAATTAGCCGGGCGTGGTGGCACGTGCCTGTAATCCCAGCTACTCGGGAGGTTGAGGCAGGAGAATCGCTTGAACCCGGGAAGTGGAGGTTGCAGTAAGCCAAGATCTCGCCACTGCACTTCAGCCTGGGCAACGGAGTGATACTTCCGTGTCAAAAAAAAAAAAGAATAATAATCAGTTGTATATCTGTCCCGCAATTTCTTTATACATTCATCCATCCACAGACACGTCAGTTGTTTCCATAGCTTAGTTACGGTGAATAATTCTGTGGTAAACATGGGATTGCAGATATCTCTATGAGGTACTGATTTTATTTTATTGGATATATACACAGAAGGGGGATTGCCAGATCATATAGTAGTTCTATTTTTCAATTTTTGAAGAACCTCCATACTGTTTTCTGTAATGGCGATATCAATTCAAATCCCCTCAACAATGGATAAGGATTCCCTTTCTCCATATCCTCACCAACGTTAGTTATCTTTTGACTTTTTGAGAATGACCATCCTAACTGGTGGAAGGTGATATCTCATGGTGGTTTTGATTTGCATTTCCATAAAGATTGGTGATGTTGAGCATCCTTTCACACACCTGTTGGCCATTTGAATGTCTTCTTTTGAGAAATGTCTATTCAGGTCCTTCACCCGTTGTTTAATCTGTTTATTTGTTTTTTTGCTATTGAGTTGGATGAGTTCTTCATATATTTTGGATATGAACCCCTTATCAGGTATACAGTTTGCAAATATTTTGTCTCATTCTGTAAGTTGCATTTTCATTTTTTTAAGATTTCAAAATTCCAGTTTCTTGTTTCTTTTTTTTAAATTTTGGATGTATCACTATGAGGAAACCATACTTATTTTACTTGAAATTATTAACACAAAGAATCTAGGAACTCAAAATTGCACTGTGGTTTTAAAAATATTTTTATAATAGATGTACATATTTAAGGGGTACATGTGATATTTTTATACATTCATAATGTGTAAAGATTAAATCAGGTTAATTGGGATATCTATCACTTTAAATATTTATCTTTTATTTAGGCTAGGAACATTCAAATTATTCTCTTCTAGCTATATCGAAATGTACAGGCTGGGCGCGGTGGCTCGCGCCTGTAATCCCAGCACTTTGAGAGGCCGAGGCGGGCGGATCACGAGGTCAGGAGATCGAGACCATCCTGGTTAACAGGGTGAAACCCCATCTCTACTAAAAATACAAAAAATTAGCCGGGCGTGGCGGTGGGCACCTGTAGTCTCAGCTACTCGGGAGGCTGAGGCAGGCAGGAGAGTGGCGTGAACCCCAGAAGCAGAGCTTGCAGTGAGCTGAGATCACACCACTGCACTCCAGCCTAGGCGACAGAGCCAGACTCCATCTCAAAAAAAAAAATGTACAATAGATTATTGTTAACTATGGGCAACCTACTGATCTATCAAACACAAGGTCTTATTTCTCCTATCGAATTGTATACTTACACCCATTAATCAACTTCTCTTTATTCTCCTCTCCTCCCTAATCTTCCTGGCCTCTGGTAACAACCAATCTACTCTCTATCTTTGTGAGATCCACTTTTGTAGCTCCTACATATGAGTAAGAATATGCAATATTTGTCTTTGTGTGCTTGGCTTATTTCCTTAACGTAATAACCTCCAGTTCCATCCATGTTGCTGCAAATGACAGGATTTTAACGTTTTTATAGATGAATAATATTCCATCGTGTACATATACCACATTTTCTTTATTCATTAGTCCACTGAGGAACATTTAAGTTGGTTCTAATATTTTGGCTCTTATAAATAGTGCTTCAGTAAACATCATAGGAGTACAAATATCTCTTTGATACACTGATTTCCTTTCTTTTGGATGTGTACCCAGTAGTGGAATTGATGGATCCTATGGTAGTTCTATTTTTAGTTTCTATTAGAACTTCTGCACTATTTTCCATAGTGACTGTACTAATTTACATTTCCACCAACAGTGTGCAAGCATTCCCCTTTCATGTGCTTGGTAGCATCCATTATTCACGGTCTTATTTTAACAAGGATTACATGGTATCTCACAATGGTTTGATTTTCATTTCCCTGAAGATTGGTGATGTTGAGCATTTTTCATATACCTGTTGGCCATTTGTATGTCTTCTTGTGAGAAACATCTATTCAGATATTTTGCCCATTCTAGAATCAGATTACTTGGCTTTTTCTTTTTTCTTTTCTTTTTTCTTTTCTTTTTTTTTCTTTTTTGCTATTAAGTTGTTTGAGCTCCTTATATATTCTGGTTATAAATCCTTTGTCAGATGGATAGTTTGCAAATATTTTCTCCCATTCTATGGGTTGTCTCTTCACTTTGTTGGTTGTTTTCTTTGCTGTGCAGAAGCTTTTTACCTTTATGTAATCCCAATTGTCTATTTTTGCTTTGGTTGCCTGTGCTTTCAACGTCTTGTCCTGGAGCATTTCCCCCAAATTTTCTTCTAGTCAATTCATAATTTCAGGCTTTAGATTTAAGTCTTCAATCCATTTTGATTTGACTTTTGTATACGGAGAGAGATATGGGTCTAGTTTCATTCTTCTGTATATGGTTGTCCAGTTTTCACAGCACCGTCAGCTGAAGAGACTGTTCTTTCTACATTGTATGTTCTTGGCACCTTTGTCAAAAATGAGTTGACTGTAAATGTGTAGACTTAGACCTGGTTTCTTTATTGTCTTCATTGGTCTATGTGTGTTTTTATCCCAACACCATGCACCATGCTGATTTACTTAACATTGCTTTGTAGTGTTGTTGTTGTTGTTTTTTTTTTTTTTTTTTTTTTTTTAGAGATGGGGTCTCATTCTGTTGCCCAGGCTGCAGTACAGTTGCTCAATCTCAGCTCACTGCAAGCTCCACCTCCCAGGTTCATGCCATTCTCCTGCCTCAGCCTCCCAAGTAACTGGGACTACAGGTGCCTGCCACCACGCCCAGCTAATTTTTGTATTTTTAGTAGAGACGGGGTTTCACCGTGTTAGCCAGGATGGTCTCAATCTCCTGATCTCATGATCCGCCCGCCTCAGCCTCCCAAAGTGCTGGGATTACAGGCATGAGCCACCACTTTGTAGTGTTTTTTTTTTTTTTTTTTTTTTTTTTTTGGCAGGGACTTCCTTGGTTGCCTGGGCTGGAGTGTAGTGGCACAATCTCAGCTCACTGAAATCTCCACCTCACAGGTTCAAGCAATTCTCTTGCCTCAGGCTCCTGAGTAGCTAGGATTACAGGCGTACACAATGCCTGTCTAATTTTTGTTTTTTAGTAGAGACAGGGTCTTGCCATGTTGGCCATGCTGGTCTCAAACTCCCGGCCTCAAGTGATCTGCCCACCTGAGTCTCCCAAAATGCTGGGATTACAGGCATGAGCCACAGTGCCTGACCACTTTGTAGTATATTTTGAAATTAGGTAGTGTGGTGCCTCCAGTTTTGTTCTTTTTGTTCAGGATTGCTTTGGCTATTTGGGGTCTTTTTTTGTTCCACATACATTTAAGAATTATTTTTTCCATTTCTGTGAAGAATGCCATTGGTATTTTGATAGGGATTGCATTGAATCTGTAGATTGCTTTGGGTAGAATGGACATTTTAACAATATTGATTCTTCTTCCAATCCATGCACATGAAATATTTTTCCATTTTTCCTTTATATCCTCTTTAACCTTTTTCATCAATGTTTTATAGTTATCCTTCTATAGATCTTTCACTTCTTAAATTAATTCCTAGGTATTTTATATACTTTGTAACTATTTGAAATGGAATTACTTCCTTGATTTATTTCTTAAGATTGTTTGTTGTTGGTGTGCATAAATTCTACTGATTTTCGTAGGTTGATTTTGTATCTTGCAGCTTTACTAAATTCATTTATTAGTTCTAACAGTTTTTTGGTGGAGTTCTTAGGGTTTCCTAAATATCAGGTCATCTGCAACCAAGGATAACTTGGCTTCTTCCTTTCCAATTTGGATCCCCTTTATTTATTTCTCTTATCTGATTGCTTTGGCCAGGATTTCTAGTATTATGTTGCATAAAATTGGTGAAAGTGGGCCTCCTCATCTTGTTCCAGATCTTAGAGGATCAGCTTTCAATTTTTCCCATTCAGTATTATGTTAGCTGTGGGTTTGTCATATATGGCCTGTATTAATTTGAGGTATGATCCTTTTATACCCAGTTTGTTAAGGGTTTTTATCATATAGGGAACTTGTATTCTATCAAATGCTTCTTCAGCAGCTATTGAAATAATCATGTGCTTTTTTTCTTGGTTCTGTCAATGTGATGCATCAAATTTATTGATTTGTGTATGTTGAACCATCCTTGCATCCCTGGGATGAATCTCATTTGACTGTGGTGACTAATGTTTTATTTATTTATTTTTTATTTTTTTTTAGTATTTATTGATCATTCTTGGGTGTTTCTCGGAGAGGGGGATTTGGCAGGGTCATAGGACAATAGTGGAGGGAAGGTCAGCAGATAAACATGTGAACAAGGGACTCTGGTTTTCCTAGGCAGAGGACCCTGCGGCCTTCTGCAGTGTTTGTGTCCCTGGGTACTTGAGATTAGGGAGTGGTGATGACTCTTAACGAGCATGCTGCCTTCAAGCATCTGTTTAACAAAGCACATCTTGCACCGCCCTTAATCCATTTAACCCTGAGTGGACACAGCACATGTTTCAGAGAGCACGGGGTTGGGGGTAAGGTTATAGATTAACAGCATCCCAAGGCAGAAGAATTTTTCTTAGTACAGAACAAAATGGAGTCTCCTATGTCTACTTCTTTCTACACAGACAACGCAACAATCTGATTTCTCTTTCTTTTCCCCACATTTCCCCCCTTTCTATTTGACAAAACTGCCATCGTCATCATGGCCCATTCTCAATGAGCTGTTGGGCACACCTCCCAGATGGGGTGGCGGCCGGGCAGAGGGGCTCCTCACTTCCCAGATGGGGTGGCCAGGCAGAGGCGCCCCCCACCTCCCAGACGGGGCGGCTGCTGGGTGGGGGCTGTCCCCCACCTCCCAAACGGGGCAGCTGGCCGGGCGGGGGCTGCCCCCCACCTCCCTCCCGGACGGGGCGGCTGGCCGGGCGGGGGCTGCCCCCCACCTCCCTCCCGGACGGGGCGGCTGGCCAGGCGGGGTGGCTGACCGGGCGGGGGCTGCCTCCCACCTCCCTCCTGGGCAGGGCAGCTGGCTGGGTGGGGGCTGCCCCCCACCTCCTGGACGGGGCGGCTGCCAGGTGGAGACACTCCTCACTTCCCAGACGGGGTGGCTGCCGGGTGGAGGGGCTCCTCACTTCCCAGATGGGACGGCTGCTGGGCGGAGGGGCTCCTCACTTCTCAGACGGGGCGGCTGGGCAGAGACGCTCCTCACCTCCCAGATGGGGTGGCGGTCGGGCAGAGACACTCCTCAGTTCCCAGATGGGGTCGCGGCCAGGCAGAGGCACTCCCCACATCTCAGACGATGGGCAGCCGGGCAGAGACGCTCCTCACTTCCCATACGGGGTAGCGGCTGGGCAGAGGCTGCAATCTCGGCACTTTGGGAGGCCAAGGCAGGCAGCTGGGAGGTGGAGGCTGTAGCGAGCCAAGATCACGCCACTGCACTCCAGCCTGGGCAACATTGAGCACTGACTAATGTTTTAAATTTGTGATTGAGTTCAGTTTGCTAGTATTTTGTTGAGGATCTTAACATTTTGTGTTCATCCGTGATATTGGCCTGAGTTTTCTTTTTTCACTGTGTCCTTGTTTGGTTTGGGTATCAGGGTAATGCTGGCCTTGTAGAGTTTAGTAGTATTCCCACCTCTTCAATTTTTGTGAAAGGTTAAGTAAAATTGTTATTAGTTCTTCCTTAAACATTTGGTAGAATTCAGCAGTGACGCCATCTTTTTTTTTTTTTTTTTGATGGAAGACTTTTTTTTACACCATCAATCTCATTACTCATTGGTTTATTCAGCATTCTGTTTCTTCATGGTTCAACCTTGGTAGGTTGTATGTGTCAAGGAATTTATCCATTTCTTCAAGGTTTTCCTATTTGTTGGTGTATAGTTTTTCATTATAATCTCTAATGATTCTTTGTATTTCTGTGGCATCAGTTGTAATATCCCATTTTCACTTCTGATTCTATTTATTTGGGTCTTCTCTCTTTTTTCCTTGGTTAATCTTGCTAATATTTTGTCAATTTTATCTTCAAAAATCCAACTTTTTGTTTCATTGGTCTTCTGTATTGCTTTGGAAAATATTAATTTTATTTGTTTCTGATCTGATATTTATTATTTCTTTCCTTCTACTAATTTGGTGTTTGGTTCATTCTTGCTTTTCTAGTTCCTTAAGGTGCATGGTTACGTTCTTTTTTCAAGTCTTTCTACTTTTTTGATGTAGGCATTTATATAAACTTCCCTTTTAGTACTGCTTTGCTGTGTCCTATAGATTTTAGTATGTTGTACTACCATTTCCATTTGTTTCAAGACATTTTTTAATTTCTTTCTTAATTTTCTTCATTGACTCATTGGCCCAGGAGCATGCTTTTTAATTTCTATGTGTTTGTGCAGGTTCCAGGGTTCATCTTATTTATTTCTAGTTTTATC
Source organism: Homo sapiens (assembly GCF_000001405.40). Classification (NCBI taxonomy): domain Eukaryota; kingdom Metazoa; phylum Chordata; class Mammalia; order Primates; family Hominidae; genus Homo; species Homo sapiens. The sequence goes on along the minus strand of NC_000023.11, from coordinate 75,406,025 downwards.
CATTGTGGTCAGAAAAAATACTTTTTAAAAATCAGGACAGAAAATGAAGCTCAAGAAAATGTAATTGATATGATTTCTACTTTTTAGAATTTGGTGATGCTAGTTTTGTGGCCTAAGATCTGGCCTATTCTAGAGAATGCTCTATGTGCTGAAGAAAAGAATGTATATTCTGTAGCAATTGTGTGAAATGTTCCATAAATGTCACTTGGGCCTATTAGGTATAGTGTGTAGTTTAATTCTGATATCTTTGTTGATTTTCTGTCTGGAGGATACTCCCTTTACTGAAAATGGGGTGTTAAACTGCCCTACTGTTATTTTATTGCAGTCTATCTCTTCCTTTTAGATTTAGTGATGTTTGTTTTATATACTTCAGTACTCCTGTGTTGAGTGCATTGATATTTATAATTGTTATATCATCTTGTTGAATTGACCCTTTATCATTATATAGTGACCTTCTGTGTCTCTTTCTATATATTTTATTTGTAATTCATTTTATCAGATATGAGTAAGTTACTCCTGATCTTTTTTGGTTTCCAGTTGCATGGAGTATCATTTTCCATTTATGTACTTATGTGTGTCTTTATAGGTGAAATAGATTTCTTGTAGGCAACATAGTTAGGTCTTGTTTCTTATTTTTTATTTTTTATTTTAGGTTTGGTGGTACACGTGAAGGTTTCTTATATAGGTAAACTCATGTCACGGGGATTTGTTGTATGTATTATTACATCACCCAGGTATTAGGCTTAGTACCTAATAGTCATCTTTTCTGCTCCTCTTCCTCCTCTCACCCCCTGCCCTCAAGTAGACACCAGTGTCTGTTTTTTCCTTCTTTTTGTTCATAAGTTCTCATCATTTAGCTCCCACTTATAAGTGAGAACATGCAGTATTTGGTTTTCTGTTCCTCAGTTAGTTTGCTAAGGATGATAGCCTCCAGCTCAATCCATATTCCCACAAAAGACATGATCTCATTCTTTTCTATGACTGAATAATATTCCATGGTGTATGGGTGCCACATTTTCTTTATCCAGTCTGTCATTGATGGGCATTTAGGTTGATTCCACATCTTTGCTATTGTGAACAGTGCTGCAGTGAACATTTGTGTGCATGTGTCTTTATGGCAGAATGCTTTATATTCCTCTGGGTATATACCCAGTAACAGGATTGCTGGGTGAAATGGTAGTTCTGCTTTTAGATCTTTGAGGAATTGCTATAGTGCTTTCCACAATGGTTGAACTAATTTACACTCCCACCAGCAGTGTATAAGGGTTCCCTTTTCTCTGTAACCTCACCAGCATCTGTTATTTTTTGACTTTATTATAATACCCATTCTGACTGCTGTAAGATGGTATCTCATTGTGGTTTTGATTTGCATTTCTCTAATGATCAGTGATATTGAGCTTTTTTTATATGTTTGTTTGCTGCATGTATGTCTTCTTTTGAGAAGCATCTGCTCATGTCCTTTGCCTACTTTTTAATGGGGTTGTTTGTTTCTCTCTTGTAAATTTACCTAAGTTCCTTATACATGATAGATATTAGACCTTTGTCAGATGCACAGCTTGCAAATATTTTCCTCCATTTTGTAGGTTGTCTGTTTACTCTGTTGATATTCTCCTTTGCTGGGCAGAAGCTCTTAGGTTTAATTAGATACTATTTGTCAATTTTTGCTATTGTTGTGATTGCTTTCAGTGTCTTTGTCATGAACTCTTTATCCATTCCTGTGTCCAGGATAATACTGCTTAGATTGTCTTCCTGGGTTTTTGTAGTTTGGGGTTTTATACTTAATTCTTTAATCCATCTTGAATTGATTTTTGTATATGGTGTAAGGAAGGGGTCCAGCTTTAACTGTCTGAATATGGTGAACCAGTTATCCCAGCACCATTTATTGAATAGGGAGTCTTTTCCCCATTGTTTATTTTTGTCAGCTTTGTCAAAGACCACATGTTCATAGATGTGCAGCCTTATTTCTGGGCTCTCTATTGTGTTCCTTTGGTCTATGTGCCTGTTTTTGTACCAGTACTATGCTGTTTTTGTCACTGTATCCTTGTAGTATAGTTTCAAGTTGGCTAACATGATTCCTCCAGCTTTGTTCTTTTTGCTTTGGATTGCCTTGGCTATTCAGGCTCGTTTTTGCTTCCATGAGAATTTTAAAACATTTGTCTAGTTAAGTGAAAAATGACACTGGTAATTTGATAGGAATAGCATGGAATCTGTACATTGCTTCCAGCAGTATAGCCATTTTAATGATATTGATTCTACCTGTCCATCAGCATGGGATATTTTTCCATTTGTTTGTGTCTTCTCTAATTTCTTTGAGCAGTAGTTTGTAATTCTCATTGTAGAGATCTTTCACCTCCCTGGTTAGCTGTATTTCTAAATATTTTACTTTTTTGTGGCAATTGTGAATGGGAATTCGTTCCTGATTTGGCTCTTGGTTTGACTGTTGTTGGTGTATAGGAATGCTAGTGATTTTTGTACATTGATTTTGTGTCCTGCAACTTTGCTAAAGTTGTTTATCACCTGAAGGAGCTTTTGGCCAAGACTATGGGGTTTTCTAGATAGAGAATCATATCATCTGCAAACAGATATAGTTTGACTTCTTCTCTTCCTATTTGGATGCCACTTATTTATCTCTCTTTCCTGATTGTTTTGGCTAGGACTTCCCATACTACGTTGAATAGAAGGGATGAGAGAGGACAACCTTGTCTTGTGCCGGTTTTCAAGGAGAATGCTTCCTGCTTTGGCCCATTCAGTATAATGTTGGCTGGGACTTTGTCATAGATGGCTCTTATTATTTTGAGGTATGTTACTTCAATACCTAGTTATTTTAACATGAAGGGATGTTGAATTTTATTAAAAGCATTTCTTGAATCTATTGAGATAATCATGTGGTTTTTGTCTTTAGTTCTATTTATGTGATTAATCACATTTATTCATTTTCATATGTTGAAACAACTTTGCATTCCGGGGATGAAATCTACCTGATCATGGTGGATTGGCTTGGTGATATGCTGCTGGATTCAGTTTGCAAATATTTTATTGAGGATTTTTGCAACAATTTTCATCAAGGATATAGGCCTGAAGGTGAATTGTTGTTGTGGCTATTGTTGTGTCTCTGCCATGTTTTGGTATCAAGATAATGCTGGCCTCAGAATGAGTTGGAGAGGAGTCCTTCCTCCTCATTTTTCTGGAATAGTCTCGGTAGGAATGGTACCAGCTCTTTGTAATCTCGTAGAATTTGGCTGTGAATCCATCAGGTCCTAGGCATTTTCATTTAGTAGGCTGTTTATTACTGATTCAATTTTGGAGCTCATTCTTGGTCTTTTCAAGGAGTCCATTTCTTCTTTGTTCAGCCTTAGGAGGGTATATGTGTCTAGGAATTTATCTCTTTTAGGTTTTCTAGTTTGTGTGCATACAGGTGTTCATAGTAGCTTCTGATGGTTTTTACTTCTGTGGGGACAGTAGTAACATTCTCTTTGTCATTTCTGATTGTGTTTATTGGATCTTCTCCCTTTTCTTCTTAATTAGTCTAGCTAGTGGCCTATCCATTTTTTTAATGTTTCAAAAAAACCAGTTCCTGGATTTGTTGATCTTTTGAATGGTTTTTCATGTCTTGATTTCCTTCAGTTCAGCTGTGATTTTTGTTATTTCTCATTTTCTGCTAGCATTTGGGGTTTATTTGTTCTTGCTTCTCTAATTCTTTCAGTTGTTATGTTAGGTTGTTAATTTGAGATCTTTCTAGCTTTTTGATATGGGCATTTAGTGCTATGAATTTCCCTCTTTAATACCACCCTAGCTGTGTCCCAGAGATTCTGGTATGTTGTATCTTTGATCTAATTATTTTCAAAGAACTACTTAATTTCTGCCTTAATTTCATTATTTACCTAAAAGTCATTCAGGAGCATGTTGTTTAATTTCTATGTAATTGTATAGTTTTGAGCAATTTTTATTGTGTTTACTTCTATTTTTATGGCACTGTGGTTCCAGAGTGTGTTTTGTAAGATTTTCATTCTTTTACTTTTGTTGAGGATTGTTTTATGTCCATCTATGTGGCTGATTTTAGAGTATGTGCCATGTGGCAATGAGAAGAATTTATATTCTGTTGTTTTTGGGTGGAGACTTCTGTAAAGGTCTCTCAGATCCATTTGGCCCAATGCTGAGTTTAGGTCCTGAATGTTTTTGTTAATTTTCTGTCTCATTTATCTGTCTAAAACTGTCAGTGGTGTGTGGAAGTCTCCCACTATTATTGTGTGGGACTCTGTCTCTTTGTACATCTCTAAGAACTTGCTTTATGAATCTGGATACTCCTGTGTTGGGTACATATATATTTAGGATACTTAGGATCTTCTTGTTGAATCGAACCCTTTACCATTATGTAATGCCCTTCCTTGTCTTTTTTTATATTTGTTGGTTTGCAGTCTGTTGTCAGAAATTAGGATTGCAACCCCCGCTTTTTTCTGTTTTCCATTAGCTTGGTAGATTTTTCTCCATCCCTTTATTTTGAGCCTATAAGTGTAATTACATGTGTGATGGGTCTCTTGAAGACAGCATGCCATTGGATCTTGCTTTTTAACTCAGCTTGCCACTCTGTGCCTTTTAAGTGGGGCATTTAGCCCATTTACATTCAAGGTTAGTATTGATATGTGTGAATTTGATCCTGTCATTGTACTATTAGCTGGTTGTTATGTTGGTTTATTTGTGTGCTTGCTTTGCAGTGACACTGGTCAGTGTGTTTAAGTGTGTTTTTCTTTTTTCTTTTCTTTTTTTTTTTTTGGAAACAGCACAGGAAAAGTGACTGCTTTAATGTATTAGGCAAAACTTTACATAAAATCAGAAATCTATGATCTGTCCGTGCTCCAATTTGTAAAAAAACACAAGATTCATCAGAAGCCATGTGCAGTCAGACCCCAGCTGGCTGGCAGTGCAGATCTGGAGTCCAGCCTCAGTGATGCGCTACTTTCCATCCTCTTCATTGAACATTTGTTCTGTCAGCATCCGTTCCAGCTTCACTATTCACTGGTAGCAGTCTTTCCTTTCTATATTTAGTGCTCCTTTCAAGATCTCTTCTGAGACAGGTCTGGTGGTCGTGAAGTACTTCAACATTGCTTATCTGAAAAGGATCTTATTTCTCCTTCACTTAGGAAGCTTAGTTTGGCTGGATATGAAATTTTTGGTTGAAGTTTTTTTCTTTATAAGTGTTGAATATAGGCCCCCAGTCTTTTCTGGCTCATAGGGTTTCAGCTGAGAGTTCCATTGTTAGCCTGATGGGGATCCCTTTGAAGGTGACCTACCCTTTCTGGCTAGCTGCCTTTAACATTCTTTCTTTCATTTCTACCTTGGAAAATCTGATGATTATGTGTCTTAGAAATGATCTTCTTGTGTAGAATCTTGCAGGGGTTCTCTGTATTTCTTGCTTTTGACTGTTGACCTCTCTAGCAAGGTTGGGGAAGTTTTCATGGACAATATCCTGAAATGTATTTTCCAAATTATTTGCTTTCTCCCCCTTCCTTTCAGGGATGCCAATGATTTGTAGCTTTGGCCTCTTTACATAATCTCATACTTCTTGGAGGTTTTGTTCATTTCCCTGTATTCTTTTTTCTTTATTTTTCTCTGATTGTCTTATTTCAGAGAACCAGTCTTCAAGTTCTGAGATTCTTTCCTCAGCTTGGTTTATTCTGCTGTTAGTATTTGTGATTGCATTGTGAAATTCTTATATTCTGTTATTCCACTCTGTCAGACCCATTAGGTTCTTTTTTATACTGGCTATTTTATCCTTCAGCTCCTGTATCACTTTATTATGATTCTTATTTTCCTTGGATTGGGTTTTGCCATCCTCCTGAATCTTGATGATTTTTGTTCCTATGCATATTCCGAATTCTACGTCTGTCATTCCAGCCAGTTCAGCCTGGTTAAACACTCTTTTGGGAGAAGTTGTACAATCATTTGGAGAACATATGACACCCGGGCCATTTGAGTTACCAGAGTTCTTGCATTGGTTTTTTTCTCATCTCTGCGTGTGGGTGTTTCTTTAACTGCAGTGTAGCTTGAGTACAGTCAATATACTTCTTTTCTGGATGTTTTCACTGGGCTGAGGCTTTGTGTAGTGTCTTTATTTGAAGCTGATTTCTTGTCTCTGGTATCAGAGGGGGTTATTTTAGTGATGAATTTTTGGTGTTGAAGTTTTGGGGTATGAACCAGCAGGTGACACTCAGGCTTACTGGTCATTTGGTAGACTCTTGCTCAGTTGTGTAGCTCCCCTATTTTTTCTCACAGTTGCAGCCATATTTCCTCTCAGTGCTCTGAAAGTGAAGGTTCCTCTCCCCCTTTAGTCTGGCTGTAGTTCATGACTTGGCACAGTTGGGCTGCCCACTGGAGCTCTGGGGTGATCTTAGTGCTTATGTTCCTTCCCCAGCGTAGAGGCAGCAGAGGAGGAGATCTTAGTAGTGGTTGTGACCAAGGGTCGTTTACTTGACTCCTGGAGGCTTTACTCCAGAGAGATACAGGTCAGCAATTGCTCAGTGCAGTCAGCCCAAGGTGAAGGGTTTATGCCCAAGCCAGGGGTTCCCTGTCTGGTGATGAGCCATGGGTGGTGTTTAGGACCTGTGGGAGATGGACTGGCCTCCTCTCCTTGGGTCAACTACAGCTTGTTGGAGGTATGGATAAGACACTTAGGGTCTTTGCTCCTTTGTTACTCCAAGGGTGGCAAGAGTAGTTCCACTACAGAGGCAGTGGCTAAGAGGCTTTGCTTTCAGTTGCCCCTGGAGGCTCTGTCCAGGGAGTTGCTGAGTTGGTACTAGCTTAGTAGCTCTGGTGGGGGGTGGCTGGAGGGCCAGGCCTGGAGGACCTGCCCATTGAGGAGATATGAAAACGGGCAACCACATAACAGTCTGGCCACTTTTTCATAGGGCTGCTGTGGTATGCTTGGGGCCTACTCCAGATCCTAATCACCTCAGATTTTCCACAACCTGGAGGTGTCACCAGTGAAGGCTGTGAAACATCAAACATGGCAACTTGTCCCTATTTCAGGGAGTTTTGTCCCAGGGAGTTACAGACCTGTTGCTGGCCCAAAGGCACCTGTAGGAAGTGGCTGGAGACCACAGTTGGGAGGTCCCGGCCAGTGAAGATGAACAGGATTGGGAACTGCTTAAAAAGCAGTCTGATCCTGTTTTGATAGAGCAGCTGCGTTGTGCTGGGGGTCCACTTCAGCCCTTGGTCACCTCACACTCTGAAGCCCAAAGGCTGGAATGGGTAAGATGCCCAAAGAGCAATGATGGCAGCCCACCCCTCCCTGTGGGAGTGCTGTCCCAGGGGGAGTTCAGATCTCTGTTGGCTGGAGAGCTTGGGTGGGGATAGCTGGAGGCCCCAGTTGGGAGGTCCCGCCCAGTGAGGAGGAACAAGATCAGGACCCACTTATAAAGGCAGTTTGGCCATGTTTTGTTAAAGCAGCTGTGCTTTGCTGGGGGGTCCACTTCAGACCCTGGTCACCTCAGACACCCCAAAGCCCAAAGGTTGGAATGGCTAAGTCATCCAAAGAGCAAAAATGATGGTCCATCCCCCTCTGGGAATGCCTTTTGAGGGGGAATTCAGATCTCTGTCAGTTGGAGAGATTGGGTGGGGGTGGCCGGAGGCCCTGGTTGGGAGGACCTGACCAGTGAGGAAGAACAGGATCAGGCGCCGGCTTAAAGCAGCAGTCTGGCTTTGTTTTGGTAGAGGAGCTAGGCTGTGCTGGGGAATCCCTTTTGCCCCAGGTCAGCTAGACTCTCAAAGCCTGAAGGCTGGAACGGCTAAGGCACCTGAAAAGCAAAGATGGTGGCTCGCCCCTCCCACCAGGAGCTCCTTTTTAGGGAAGTGCAATGCTGCTACTGCTAGCTGACTGGAATTCCAAGCCAGTGGGTCTTATCTTGTGAGGTGCCATGGAAGTGAGGCCTGTGGGCTGTTACTGCTCAGCCCCCTGGATTCAGCTTCTTTCCTAGGGCTATGTACAAGAGTCTAACCTCCCACTTTGTGGGAGCTGCAGCTACTTTTGCTGAAACGCCCAAGTTTCTAAGGCTCCAGTGTCTCCACACATGCCTGAGCGGCTGCTCTGCCAAGACTCCATGTAACTCTATTTGTCAGACTGAAGACTGAAGGCCCTGGTGGGGTGGGTTCACAAGGAAACCTCCTTACCCAAGGGTTGCAAAGATCTGTGGGAGAAGCATGGCTTCCCTGGGTGGAGGAGGATTCACCTGCCTCCGTGTTGCTCCCAGATGGGCCGTTGTCCTCTTGCTTTTCTTTGTTCTCTGTGGGTCAAGTTGTTTCCTAGATTAATCCCAATGTGAGTACCTGAATATTTCGGTTGAAGGTCTTGTATTTATTCACCCCTTCTGTTCCTCTTCATGAGAGCCACACAACCTAGCTGCTTCTAGTTGACCATCTTGGCCACTACTCCCCAGGTTGTTTCTTTATTCATTCAGCCACTCTATGCCTTTTAAAACAAGTTTTTTTTTATTTTTAATTTTTCTGGGTACATACTAGGTGTATATATTTATGGGGTATATGAGATATCTTAATACAGGTATACAATGTGTAATAATCAAATGAGGATAAATTGAATATCTACAACTTCAAGCATTTATCCTTTATTTCTGTTACAAACAGTCCAATTATACTTTTAGTTATTTTAAAATACTAAATCTTGTTTATTCTAACAATTTTTTTTTTTTGAGATGGAGTCTCACTCTGTTGCCCAGGCTGTAGTGCAGTGGTGTGATCTCAGCTCACTGCAACCTCCGCCTCCTGGGTTCGAGTGATTCTCATGCCTCAGCCTTCTGAGTAGCTGGGATTACAGGCATGCACAACCATGCCTGACTAATTTTTGTATTTTTAGTAATGACGGGGTTTCACCATGTTGGCCAGGCTGGTCTCGAGCTCCTGACCTCAGGTGATCCACCCGTCTTGGCCTCCCAAAATGCTGGGATTGCAGATGTGAGCCACCGCACCCAGCCAATATTTTTATAAGTGTTAACCATCCCAACTTCCCCGACCCCCAAACACCATTCCCAGCCTCTGGTTACCATCATTATACCCTCTATCTCCATCAATTAAATTGTTTTAATTTTTAGCTCCCCAAAATAATTGGGAACATGTGACGTTTGTCTTTCTGTGCCTGGCTTATTTCACTTAACATAATGACCTCCAGTTCCATCCATGTTGTTGCAAATAACAGGATTTCATTATTTTTTTATGGCTCAATAGTACTCCATTGTATGTATATACTACTTTTTATCTATTCATCTGCTGATGGACACTTAGGTTGCTTTTAAATCTTGGCTATTATGAGTTGTGCTCCAATAAACATAGGAATGCAGATATCTCTCCAATATACTGATTTTCTTTCTCTTCAGTATATAACTAGGAGTAGAATTGCTGGATCATATGTTAGCTCTATTTTTAGTTTTCTGAGGAAATGCCAAACTATACTCCATAGTAGTTTTAATAAAACATACATTTGCACCAATACTGTTCAAGGGTTCTCTTTTCTCCACATCCTCACCAGCATTTGTTATTGCCTGACTTTTGGATAAACTTTAACTGGGGTGAGATTTGGTCTCATTATAGTTTTGATTTTCATTTCTCTGATCAATGATGTTGAGTACTTTTCCATGTACCCGTTTGCCATTTGCATGTCTTCATTTCAGAAATGTCTATTCACATCTTTTGCCCATTTTTAATCAGATTATTAGATTTTTTCCTATAGAATTGTTTGAACTCTTTATGTATTCTGGTTATTAATCCCTTCTCAGATGGGTATTTGCAAATATTTTCTCCCATTCTGTGGTTTGTCTTTTCACTTTGTTTATTGTCTTCTTTGCTGTATGGAAGGTTTTTAACTTGATGTGATCCCATTTGTCTATTTTTGCTTTGGTTGCCTGTGTGTTAGGGGGTATTACTCAACACATCGTTGCCAATTCCAATGTCCTGAAGAATTTCCCCAAAAGTTTTATTTCATAGTTTCATATTTTGAGGTCTCAGAGTTAGGTCTTTAATCTATTCTGATTTGACTTTTATATATGGAAAGAGGTAAGGGTGTAGTTTCATTCTTCTGCATATGGATATCCAGTTTTCCCAGCACCATTTGTTGAAGAGAGTGTTCTTTTCCCAGTGAGTATTCTTGGCATTTTTGTTGACAATAAGTTTACTCTTTGTTCTCTATTCTGTTCCATTGGTCTATGTGTCTCTTTTTATGCTAGTTCCATTCTGCTTTGCAGTCAGGTAATGTGGTTCCTACAGTTTTGTTTATTTTGCTCAGGATAGCTTTGGCTATTCTGGGTCTTTTGTGGTTCCATATAAATTTTAGGATTATTTTTCCTATTTCTATGAAGGATGTCATGGGTATATTAAGAGGGATTGCATTTAATCTGTAGATTGCTTTGGGTAGTATGGACATTTTAACAATCTTCTTCCAAATCATGAACATGGAATATCTTTCTATTTTTTTGCTTCCTATTCAATTTCTTTCAATGTTTCACAGCTTTTCTTGTAGATATTTTTCACTTCTTTGGTTAAGCTAATTTATGGGTATTTTATTTTACCTATTGTGAAGGGGGTTACTTTCTTGATTTCATTTTATGTTGTTCACTGTTAGCATACAGAAATGCTACTAATTTTTGCATGTTGATTTTGTATTCTGCAACTTGACTGAATTTGTTTATCAGATCTAATGTTTTTTTTGTGGAATCTTTATGTTTTTTCAAATATAAGATTATATCATCTAAAAACAAGGATAACTTGACTTTTTCCATTCCAATTGGGATGTGTTTATTTCTTTCTCTTATCTGATTGCTCCAGCTAGGACTTCTAGTACTGTGTTGAATCACAGTAGTGAAAGTGGGCTGAAATTTTTCACTTCCCTTCTTAATTTCTTTATTGATCTACTGGTAATTCAGGAGCATATTATTTAATTTCCATGTGTCTATATACTTTCCAAACTTCCTCTTGTTATTGATTTCTAATTTTATTCCACTGTGGTCATATAAGGGATTTGATATTATTTCACTTGTTAAATTTTTTTAACACTTGTCATCTAACATATGGTCTGTTCTTCAGAATGATCCATGTGCCAAAGTGAAGAATATGTATTCTGCAGCTGTTGGATGAAATGTTCTGTAAATATTTTTAGGTTCACTTCATCTGTGGTGCATATTATCTGATGTTACTTTGTTGATTTTCTGTCTGGGTGATCTGTTCAATGTTGAAGGTGGGGTATTGAAGTCTCCAGCTGTTATTGTTTTGGAGTCTTTCTCTGTTAAGCTCTAATAATATTTGCTTTATACCTCTGGGTGTTCCAGTGTTGAGTGTAAGTATACTTAGAATTGTTATATTCTCCTGCTGAATAGACCCCTTTATCATTATATAATCACCTTCCTTGTGTCTTCTTATAGTTTTTGTCTTAAAATGTATTTTCTCTGATATTTTTGTAGCTACACATGCTCTGTTTTTGTTTTCACTTGCATGGAATATCTTTTTCCATTCCTTTATTTTCAGTCTATTTGTGTCTTTATAGATGAAAGGTGTTTCTTGTAGGTAATAGATCATCGGGTCTTGTTTTTTTTTTTCATCCATTCAGCCACTTTTTCTCTTTTGATTATAGTTTACTCCATTTACATTCAATGTTATTATTGAAAAGAGCTTGCTCCTACCATTCTATTACTTGTTTTCTGGTTGTTTCATGGGTTTTTGTTTTGTTTTGTTTTGTTTTTGTTTTTGTTTTTTGTCCTTCCTGTCTTCTTTTAAGTAAAGGTGATTTTCTCTTGTGGTATGTTTTAATTTCTTGCTTGTTATTTTTTGTGTATCTGTAATATGTTTTTTGATTTGCAGTAACCATATGATGGTTAGTACTGAGTGTCAACTTGATTGCTTGAGTGGATTGAAGGATACAAAGTATTGATCTTTGGTGTGTCTGTGATGGTGTTGCCAAAGGAGGTTAACATTTGAGAATCAGTGGGTTGGGAACAGCAGACTCATTCTTAATTTGGGTGGGCACAATCTAATCAGCTGCCAGCACAGCTAGAATATAAGCAGGCAAAAAAATGTGAAAAGATGGACTGTCCTAGCCTCCCAGCCTACATCTTTCTCCCATGCTGGATGCTTCATGCCCTCAAACATCAGACTCCAAGTTCTTCAGTTTTGTAACTTGGACTGGCTCTCCTTGCTCCTCAGCCTGCAGACAGCCTATTGTGGACCTTGTGGTGGTATAATACTTAATAAACTCATATATATAATTCCATTAGTTCTGTTTCTCTAGAGAACGCTGACTAATACAGATTTTGGTACCAGCAGTGGTTCTAGAAGAACAGAATATTAAGGATGGAGTTCTTTTGTTGGTTTGGGGGTTTCTGGAATTGGCTGCTTAATATGATTAGACACAAAAATGTTAAGGACTCTACTTCTAATAGTATGGAGAACACTGATGGTCCTTGGCATGAACTGTTTAGAGAGTTAGTAAAATAAATACACTCGACACTCCTGATTCATTGCTCATGAGAGGCAAGGAGTTTAGTGACTCTATACATAATACTTTTGACCTTATGTGGAGAACCAAGGAACATAATGAAGCTGGTTGGCTGCTCCTAAGTTCAGTGGAAAAACTGGTGAAGGAAAATGATGAACTCAAGGATTCTGTCTCCTGGCTTCAGAAGCAGATACTGAGTCTCAAATCTGCTAAGATTTCCCTCAGTGAGAGTCTTATTTCAGAGGGAGGAACACTGCCACCAGGAGACACAACAAGGATTCCATTAAACAGGAAGTTATGATTGCCACCTGAACATTTTGGGCTCCTCCTACCTTTAAGTCAACAGGCTAAGAATGGAGTTACAGTGTTGTCTGGGGTGATTGACCCAGACTATCAAGATGAAATCAGTCTACTACTGCACAATGGATGTAAGAAAGAGTATGCATGGAATACAGGAGATCCATTAGGGCGTCTGTTAGTATTACCATGCCCTGTGATTATGGTCAATGGGAAACTACAACAGCACAATCCAGGCAGGACTACAAATGACCCAGACCCTTCAGGAATGAAGGTTTGGGTCACTTTATCAGGAAAAAAAAAAAAACCATGACCTGCTGAAGTGCTTCCTGAAGGCAAAGGGAATACAGAATGGGTAGTAGAAGAAGGTAGTCGTCAGTACCAGCTACAACCACATGACCAGCTGGAGAAATGAAGACTGTAATTGTCATGAGTATTTCCTCCTTGTTTTGTTAAAAAAAATGTTTATGCCTATATACACTTGTACTAAGAAAATATCTTCATTTTATTTCCTTTCTCCTTTATCATGTGACATAAGATTTATTGACTTCACATCAACATTTAAGTATTGTTAACTTTATGTAATAGTATTTGGGTTGGGGATTGATGCGGTTGCAGTTGTACAAAGGATAGTTGTATTATGTTTGGTGTAACTATGACCTTATTATCATCTATATTTGAATATTATGTATGATCTCAGGAGATGTGTATGGGTTCAAGTTGACAAAAGGTAGACTTGTGATGGTTAATACTGGTCAACTTGATTGGACTGAAGAATACAAAGTATTGATCCTGGGTATTTATGTGACAGTGTTGCCAAAGGAGATTAACATTTGAGTTGGTGGGCTGGGAAAGGCAGGCCCACCCTTAATTTGAGTAGGCACAATCTAATCAGCTGTCAGTGTGGCTAGAATATAAGCAGACAGAAAAATGTGAAAAGAGAGACTGGCCTAGCCTCCTAGCCTACATCTTTCTCTAGTGCTGGATGCTTTCTGTCCTTGAATGTTGGACTCCAAGTTCTTCAGTTTTGGATCTCGGACTGGCTCTCCTTGCTCCTCAGCCTGCAGACAGCCTATTTTGAGACCTTGTGATCATGTGAATTAATGCTTAATAAATTCCCCTATAGATATATTCCATTAGTTCTGTCCCTCTAGGGAACCCTGACTAATACAAACTGTAAGGCTTGCAATAATATAACCCATTATTTTAAACTGATGACAACACTAATTGCATAAACAAACAAAGATAAAACTAATAAAAACTGCAAATGAACTTCATCCTCATGCTTTTAATTTTTTTATGTCTATTTGTATCTTATTGTACTGCCTATGCCTTCAAAAGTTGTTATAGTTATTTTTGATCAGTTCATCTTTTAGTCTTTCTACTCAAGATATGAGTAGTTTACATATCACACCTACAGTGTTACAATATTCTGTGTTTTCTGTGTGCTATTACCAGTGAGTTTTGTACCTTCAAATTTGTATTTTTTGCTCATTAACATTCTTTTCTTTCACATCAAAGAACTCCTTTTAGCATTTCTTATAGAACACTTCTGCTGTTGATGCTTCAGTTTTTGTTTTTCTGGGAAAGTTTTTATTTCTCCTACATGTTTGAAGAATATTTTTTGCTATATATACTATTCTAGGGTAAAAAGGGATTTTATTCCTTCAACACTTTAAATATGTCATGCCAGTCTCTCCTGGCCTGTGAGGTTTCCTCTGAAAAGTCTGCTGTGAGATATGTTGAAGTGCCATTGTATGTTGTTTCTTGCTGCTTTTAGGATCCTTTCTTTATTTGTCACCTTTGGAAGTTTTATTATCAAATGTCTCGATGTAGTCCTATTTGGCTTAAATCTGTTTGGTCTTCTATCACCTTCTTGTAATTGAATATTAATGTCATTCTCTAGGTTTGGGAAATTCTGTCATTATTCCTTTGAATAAACTTTCTACCCCTATCTTTCTCTCTACCTCCTCTTTAAGGCCAGTAACTCTTAGATTTGCCAGTTTTAGGCTATTTTCTAGATCTTGTGAGTGTGCTTTTTTCTTTATTCCTTTTTTTGTCTCTTCTCTGTGTGTATTTTCAAGTAGCCTGTCCTCAAGCTCACTAATTCTTTCTTCTGTTTAGTCAATTCTGCTGTTAAGAAACCGTTTTGCATTCGTCAGTATTCAATTGAATTTTTCAGCTCAAGAATTTCTGCTTGGTTCCTTTTAATTATTTCCATCCCATTTTAAAATTTATCTGGTAAGATTCTGAATTCCTTCTCTGTATTATCTTGATTTTCACTGAGCTTCCTTAAAACAGCTATTTTGAGTTCTCCTGTCTGAAAGGTCTACTATCTCAGTCTCTCTGAGATTGGTCATTATGCTTAATTTACTTTGTTTGGTGAAGGCATCTTTTCCTGGATGGTCTTGATACTGTGTCTGTTCATCAGTGTCTAGGCATTGAAGAGTTAGATATTTATTGTTGTCTTCACAGTCTGTGCCTGTTTGTGCTTGTCCTCCCTGGGAAGGCTTTCCGAATATTCACAGGGATTTGGGTGTTGTGATCTAAGTCTTTGATCATTGCATTATATGTACATTTGGTGGCTCCTCAAGCCCAGTAATGCTGTGGCTCTTGCATACTCATATAAATACCATCTTGGTGGTGTTGGATAAGATCCTGAAGAATTCCATGGATTACCAGACAGAGGCTCTCGTTCTCTTCCCTTACTTTCCCCCAAACAAACAAAGTCTCTTTCTGTGCTGAGCTGCCTGGAGCTAGGAGAGGGGTAACACAAGTGCCCCTGTGGCCACCACCACTAGGGCTGTGCTGGGTCAGCCCTGAAGCCTGTACAGCACTGATTCTCACCCAAGACCCATCATAACTACTGCCTATATTCTCTCAAGGCCCTAGGGCTCTACAATCAGCAGGTTGCAAAGCCAGCCAGGTTTCTGTTCTTCCCTTCTGGGTGGCGAATTCCCCCAGGTTCCAGGCAGTTCCAGAGATGCCATCTGGGAGTCAGCACTTAGATTTAGAAATCTTAAGTATCAACCTGGTGCTCTGTTCCAATGTGGCTGAGCAGGCACCAAAGCCAGAAGACAAAGTCCTTTTCACTCTTCCCTCCCCTTTCCACAAATACACAGTTATCTCGCTGTGGCCACTACTGCCCCAGGCCCACAGCACCTACTGCCTGGCTACTGGCAATGTTCACTCAAGGCCCAAGGGCTCTTCAATAAGGGTATGGTGAATCCTGTCCGATCTGGGACTCACCCTTCAGGGCAGTGAGCTCCACTCTGGCCCTGGGTAGGTATAGAAATGCCATTCAAGAGTCAAGGCCTAGAATTGGGGAACCCAAGAGCCTGCTTGGTGCTCTTCCTCACTGTGGCCAAGCTGGTACCTAACCTGCAAGTCAAAGTCTCCTTTATCTTCCCTTTGCTTTTATCAAGCAGAATGAGTCTCTGCTCATCGTCACCATAGCTGTGCATATGTTGGGTGACACCTAAAGGTAGCATATCTCTGAATCTCACCCAAGGCCCATGGTAAGTACCGCCTGGCTACCTCTAGTGACTATTCGGGGCCCAAGGGCTCTTTAGTTAGCAGGTGATAAATCCTGCAGGACTGGGTCTTTCACTTTAATACAGCATGTTCCCTTCTGGCACAGGGTGTGTCTAGTAATGTCACCCATGAGCTAGGACCTAAAATTGAGGCCTCAGGACTCTTCCTGGTACCCTATCCTACTGTGGCTAAGTTGGTATTCAAGTTACAAGACAAAGTCCTCTATTCTCCCTTCTCCCTCCTCAAGCAGAAGGAAGGAGTCTCTCCTAGAGCTGCAAGCTGCACTGCCTGACGTTGTGGGAGGGGTTACACAAGCAATCCCTTGACCACCCTGGCTGGTATCTCACTAGGTCATGTGTACCCCACATTCACTGGCTTCGAGCCCAGCAAAGCACCAGGATTTGCTCAGGAATTGCAGTCCTTGTGCCCTAGACTGCCTTTCAAGTTTATTTAGGACCCCAGAGCCTCAGCTTGCAGTAGCGGTACTTTCTAGAACTCAGGTTCTGACCACTGGGATTGGCATTTCTTATCTGATTAGGGCTTGTCTAAATGTTCCCTCTGTGGGCACCAGCTGAGTTCTGCCCAGTATTGCTTTCTGCTGTGACAGGGCAGCACTGAGTTCCAACACAAACTGCCACAGTCACTGCACTCTCCCTCTCCCAAGTTCACAGAGTCTGTCTCCATACCATGCAACCACTGCTAGGAGATGGGAGAGGGGTGGTGTAGGCAATTCAAGACTGTCTTCCCTACCCTCTTCAGTGCCTCTTTCCTTAAAATGATGTTGAAACCAGGTACTGTGATCTCTCACATGATTTTTGGTTCTTATGAAGGTGCTTTTTGTGTAAGTAGTTGCTCAATTTGGTGTTGCTGTGGGGAGGATGATTGGTGGAGGCATCTATTCAGCCATCTTGCTCCACCCAGTCTCTTCTATGCTTTTAATTGGAGAATTGAACCTATTTACATTCAATGTTGTTATTGGCAAGTAAGGACTTTCTACTGCCCTTTTTTGCTTGTTTTCTGGTTGTTTTGCAGCTCCTCTCTTCCCTTCTTTCTTTCTTCCTTTGTAGCTGTGTTATTTTCTCTGGCATTAAGTTTTAATTGCTTTTTATTTTTAGTGAATCTATTACAGGTTTTTGCATTCTGGCTATCATGAGGCTTACCAAAAAATATGTCATAGATGTAACAAGTTATTTTAAAGAGAGGACAGCTTTTCTTAAATCACAAAGAAAATAATAGAAACAAAGAAAAAAATTCTACAATTTAACTTCATCCCCTCTACGTTTTGATTTTAATCATCTCTACTTATGTATTTGTATACTACCTATCTTTTAACAGGTTTCTTCAGTGATTATTGTTTTTGATAGATTTGTCTTCTGGGCTTCATACTAGAGTTTTGAGTTGATTACACAATTAAAGTAGTAGAGCACTCTGGGTTTGTCCATGTACTTAATTTTGCCAGTGGATTGTATACCTTCAAATGTTTTCTTTTTGCATTCTTTCAAATTGAAGAGCTCCTTTACCATTTCTTGTAAGATTGGTCTGGTGATGGTTAATTCTCTCAGCTTTTGTTTATCCGGGAAAGACTTTATCTCTGCTTTATTTTTGAAGGATAACTTTGCTGGATACAGTATTCTTGGATGACAGCTTCCTGCTCCCTGCCCCTCAGTAGTTTGAAAATGTCATCCTACTCCCTCCTGGCCTGTGTGGTTTCCATTGAGAAGTCTGTTGCCAAATAAATTGAAGCTCCTTTATATGTTATGCACATCTTTTCTCTTGCTGTATTTAGGATCTTCTCTTTGACCTTGACCTTTGAGAGTTTGACTATTATATGCCTTGGGGTAGTTTGACTATTATGTGCCTTTGAGGTAGACGATTTTGGTTGAATCTTTTGGTGTGCTCTGACCTTCTTATACCTGGATATTTATCTTTCTCAAGTTTTGGAAAGTTTTTGTTATTATTTATTGAATTATGCTTTCGATCCCCTTGCTCTTGCTCAACTCCCTCTTGTACACAAATAATTCTTACGTTTGATGTTTTGAGGCAGTTTTCTGTATCTTGTAGGTGATCTCTTTTCCTTTTCATTCTTTTTCTCTCCTTTATTTTCAAAAAGGTTTTCTTTGAGCTCACTGATTCTTTCTTCAGCTCCATTTTGTTATTGAGAGCCTCTAATGATTTTTTTCAGATTAGCAAATGTATTTCTAAGTTTCATGATTTCTGTCTGATTTTTTCTATTTAAATTTTTTATTAACTATTTCTGATAAATTTCTGAATTGCTTCTCTGTGTTGTCTTGGAAATCACTGAGTTTCCATAATATTGCCATTTTGAATTGCTGATCAGAGGGCTCAAATATTGCTGTCTCATTAGGGTCAGTCACTGGTTCCTTGATTTGTCCATTTGGGAAGGTTATGGTTCCCTGTTCAGTATTACTTCTTGTGGATGCATGTCTGTTTTTGCATTGAAGAATTAGTTATTTATTCCAGTCTTCTCTGTCTGTCTTGTTTTGGTTTTTATTCATTATGTTTGCTTAGAGATTATTTGTAATTTGCCTGTTGGATTTCAGTTTTTTTCCTCACTAGGTCACTGTCTTCTTTTCAGTAGTAGATGGTGCCTTAAGCTCTGTTTTTCCTAGGATCTAGTAAACAATGGGAGCACTGCCCATCCAAAATGTGGAAACTTCCAAAGAGGAACTGTCAGTTTTAATTATATGACCTCTATCCATTAGGTGTAGTTCCTTTATTTCCTAGTAAGGAAGGTAAAATCAGTTTCTCTCCTCACTGAGCTCTTCTTTCAGCCTGGTTTGAAAATCCAGTAGAGAGCTCCAGGTCACAATCAAGCCCCGGGGTACATGATAATTATGCATAGCTTATTCCAGTTACTCTCTATCAGTATAGTAACCATGACAAGAAAAATAATTTAAAAAGAATCCAGCTGGCCAGGTGCAGTGGCTCATGCCTGTAATCCCAGCACTGTGGGAGACTGAGGCTGGCAGACTGCTTGAGCCCAGAAGTTTGAGACCAGCCTGGGCAACATAGTGAAACCTCTTCTCTATGAAAAACTACAAAAATTAACTGGGTGTCGTGGTGTGCATCTGTAGTCCCAGCTACTCAGGAGGCTGAGAGGTGGGAGGATCGCTTGAGCCCAGGAGGTCAAGGCTGGAGTAAACTGACCACACAACTGCACTCCAGCCTGGGCAACAGCGTGAGACCCTGTCTCAAAAAAAAATCTAGCAATAAAAGAACTGAACTTTTCTGAACTAAACAGCGGCTTTTCCCTTGAGCTAATGTGATAAATTGCCTCTTTATTTTGATAATTTTTATAGAATATATCCTAGAAGGCATATTTTTATCAAGTAAAGGTATAATACAAAAATAAAAATTTTCTTGAGTGTGCTAATACAACCTTCCAGTGTTAATGATAATCAGGACTGGGGGGAATTAATCTCCTTCCTGTGAAATGCTGAACACTTGTCCTGAAAAAATACTGACATCAGACTCTAGTATATTCAATGTTTTATATATTGTGGCCTATTTCCTCTTTTGTTATTTGGATAAAACTTTCTTTATATGACACCCATTAATACTGCCCACAGTAGAAGAAATTTCTGATTTATTTTCAATCTGGTACTTTATGCTGCCATGACAAATAACCTGTTAGAAAGAATAACAGAAAAAATAAACTAATATTTATTGAGAGAATATTAAAGTTATGAGATTGGACCCAGAAGGGGTGTTCAGGCAATACAATATATTGTCTCAGCTCAAGGGTATTTTATTTATTTGGGGAGATAAGATACATAAAGTTCCCTAACAGAACACAATACAGGATACATTATTTGCCAAATGATTAAAACCATAAAATTTGTGCTATAAGAATTCAAAGGAAAGGTGATTTGCTGTGGGCCAGGGTGGTCAGAAAAGGCTTTAGATAAGTAGAATTTGGACCTTGAAGATTAGATAGGATCTAGATTGGTGGCAAGGAATGCAGAGGCCAAAGGTAAAAGGAAAGTCACAGGTTGTAATGCGCAACACCCCAAGCTAAGTGAGGGGGACATGAAGAAAGTAGCCTGACTCCAGTAGAAATTTTGGGCAGTAAGGGAATAGATGGGAACTCATTAAAATAAGAGAACTCATCATCTTTATTTCAGTATTCTCTGCACCTCTTTCAAAACAGGGTTACATGTAGAAAATGATTATTAGATTAATTCAGCAGGTAAATTGGTATCAGTTTGGGTGGGACCTTAGACGTAAGACTAATAAGTTTATTCTGTGAGTGATGGGGAACTACTGAAGGTTTTTGAGCTGGGGCATGATGTGAAGGAAATGTTTCAGGAAGATGAGGAAGTGATTCTCCTATCAAAGCACACTTTCATCCTATGCCAGAGATTGCTGTAATCCCTGGACCTTCTGAGAGGATTGGTGAGAGCCCTTCTCCTCATCAGAATTCAGACTCTCCAAGTACATCCTATATACAAGAGCTCTGGTTCAGAGATGAGAGGCCTTTCACATCAAAAATTTTGTTGTTTAGAAGCATCTGTGGGTGACATTCTGTGCAATCACCTCCCAGTCAGAGACAATGATTAACTCTTGCTTGAAGAAAAAATTACTTTATCACTTAGTTCTTCAGACCTAACCAGACCTGTACGATTATTCCTAGGAATTTCAAAACTGCCACAGGACTTAGACAGAGTCATAAGTTAAATTCATGCCTTCTACCTCAAAGAAAGTACTTCTTCAAGGGTACCAAATTGCCCTTATGTATTTCCATGCATATTGGCGATAGTAGATAGTGCCAATGATGGAAGAGTCTTTAATCTTAGTCAATTATTTACCATCTTTTTTTTTACAGCCCAGATGTCTTTTATTTATTTTTTAACACCTATTATGCCATAAATTCATAGAGAATAGGTTCCAGCAGCTCAGGCTCCTTCCCATTGGTTCTCACAAAGTGTGCTTCTCTGGGTGGAGCAGGCTGGCACTTTAGTTGAACACAGGTACCTTTCTCTTTGGCTTATTTCTTTCTCTGATCATTTTCATTCATGCGTTTCAGGAAGCTATCTCGGCTCTTAGAGTGCTTAATGTGCTCAATACGCACATTAATTCTCTTGGCAAGAATCTTGCCCTTAACTTGTTTGTTTACAACAATGCCAACAGTATGCTGGGTAACATTGTAGACTCTTCCAGTTTTGCCATGGTAACACTTGTGGGGCATTCCTTTTTGAACAGTACCCATTCCCTTGATGTCTACAATATCACCTTTCTTATAGATTTGCATATACGTGGCCAAAGGAACAACTCCATGTTTTCTAAAAGGCCTAGAGAACATATATTGGGTGCCTCTCCTCTTTCCCTTTGTGTTCGTCATTTTGGCGAATTACTGGAAGATGGCGGTTCCAGCCAAAAGGGCATTTACCAGCTTTCTATATAGGAATTCAAGATACCTTGGCCTATACTAACATTTTACCAGTGTATTCTTCACATGAGTTGTATACTTTTGATTACATATTTGGGATGATTAGATAAGTGGATGTTTTCCAAAAGCTTTTTTCTCTTTTATTCCCTCATATGAGGAATGAAGAGGCATTACCATTCTGGGGTAGGATGGCTGTCTGGTTGACCAAGTATATAATAGGAAAAAGGAGAGAGAATAGGGAAAAACTAACATTTCTGGCCGGGTGCGGTGGTTCACGCCTGTAATCCCAACACTTTGGGAGGCCGAGGCGGGCAGATCACGAGGCCAGGAGATCAAGACCATCCTGGTTAACACAGTGAAACCCCATCTCTACTAAAAATACAAAAAAAAAATTAGCTGGGTGTGGTGGGGGATGCCTGTAGTCCCAGCTACTCGGGAGGGTGAGGCAGGAGAATGGCATGAACTCGGGAGGCGGAGCTTGCAGTGAGCCGAGATTGCAACACTGCACTCCAGCCTGGGTGACAGAGTGAGACTCCATCTCAAAAAAAAAAAAAAAAAAAAACCTAACATTTCTTAAATTTGGGGTAGTGGGGGTGATAAAATACATACGTGGAAAGCTGCCTAACAAAACACAATACAGGATATGTTATTGGTCAAATGAATAGAACTATAAAGTTTGTGCTATCAGAATTCAAAGGATACAATGATTTCCCGTGAGTTGATTTGGTCAGAAAAGGCTTCACAGAGGAGGGAGAATTTGGGCCTTGAAGACTAGATAGGATCTGTATTGTCAGAGAGCAGTGCAGAAGCAGAAGGTATAAGGAAAGTCACAGGTTGTAGTGCACAAGACCCCAAGCTAAGTGAAGAGGACATGAAGAAAGTAGCCTGGCTCAAGTAAAGAATTTGGGGACTAGATGGGAACTCACTGGAGTCAGAAACATCATCTTTATTTCAGTATTCTCTGCAACTGTTGGAAAATAAGGTTGCATATAGAAAATGATTGTTAGATTATTTCAAAGTGTGCAACTAACATTTGTTGAATGCCAATTATGTGCCAGGTATAACCACTTTGTGAGTTGTAAACATTAAATAACCCCATTTTGTAGATGAGGAAACTTAAGCTCAAAGAAACCCAAAGTCACACAGCTAGCAAGTGACAGATCCTGGCTCAAAAGTCCAAACTCTTTTAACAACTATACCACCCAGTATCTCTCCTTTGTTCCTGTTTACCTTTCAGTTTATAGATCTTTTAAGGACCACTTGAAAGAAAATTATTTTAGTTCCTGTACCTCTTTCACCAGAAAGAGAAGGTGTAAAAATATGGATAGAGCTCTAGCATGGGAAGCATCTCCCACCTCTGCCACTAAGTTCAATGCATGACTTTTGGAAAGCCTCTTCTCTCTGGACCTGTTTAAATTCCATGATCTTTAAGCTATCTTCAATTATAATATCACATTTTGATACCACCTTACACTGATGGGACAGATGTCAAGCTGACTAACCTCAACCTGATATCTTTCACCAAATGGCTCCAAGCTCAACCTGATATCTTTCACCAAATGGCTCCTTTACTTTTTCAGAAGGAATGCTATTATAATCTAGAGGCCACTGTAAACATGCAAATTGATTCATCTTCCACATTATAGAACCAAATTTCTTTCTTCGTGTATTCTCTCGATATACACTTACTTGTTCCCTCTTAACACATCTGCCCTAACATTTTGGCCACATGCCTATAAACAACCTGTTCATACACTTGTCATTTGCCTTTTTATGAGAGTAGGAATCCTAGGCCTCATTTCTGAAAACATCAAACACAATACACTGGGTTATAGAAGGGTACTCCTTTGGGTAGCGAGACATTTTCCAAGTAACTTTTCCCCCATGTTTCTAGATAAGAATGTATCCATACTCTCAGCTCTTGGAAAACTTACTTCATGCAGTAATATCATGGATGTTCATTTTATTCCTTTACCTTTGTTGTCAAACCCTAAGCTCTAAATTGGTGTGTGTTCCTGAAATAACGCAAGTCTCTAATCAATCAGTTCAATTCATAAAGCATTTCCTGAAGGTACATATCAAAAGGTCCTGTGGAGGGACATAGAGGTAAATAAATGGTGGCCTCTGTCCTCAAGGAGTTTGCAGTTGCAGGGAAAGACAATCTAACACAAGACTTGGTGTGCTCATTGCCATAAAAATGGTGCTACTAATTACATACCTAATATAGGCTTAGCTCTGCATTAAGCAATGTGTGATACATGTGGGAATTGTGTGATTGTTAGTGATGTTTAAACCTGAGTATATCAGTAAAGGGGGGAAGTGGGCTATTCTGGTGAGAGTTTTGAGGATGAGGCAAGACTTAAGCTAGATGTTATTGGAATGAGAAACATAAGGATAGATGCGAGGAAGAAGGAATTAGCATTCCAGGAAAGTGGGCTATTCTGGTGAAAGTTTTGAAGATGAGGCAGGACTTAAGCTAGGTGTTATTAGGATGGGAAACATCAGGATAGATGCTAGAAGAAGGAATTAGCATTCCAGGTCAGAGTTACAACATGAATGTGGTAAGAACACTGAAGCATAGGGTGGACATTGTGGTTGTGGGCTACAGTCTTAGAGAGGTAAGATACGGCCAGATGATAGAGGGTTTTATAGACTTGATAACATAGAAAATAGCTATTAAGTTTATGATCTTGAGTGATATATTGATATAAGGAAAGGTTAATTTTAGAAAGATTACTTGGGTGCTAGTATGCAGGATGGATTGAAATTTGGAGAGACAAGAACTGGAAAGAACAGCAAAAAACTGTGCATGTGTTGCAATGGATTCATGAGTGGTAGTAACACTATAAATTGAGAGGAATGATCAAACCCAAGAGACATTTTAAGTATCTGGAAATAGTCCCACTAACTAGAGAGATCTGGGAGTCATTTGTATAGAGATGGCAGTTAAATCCTTGGAGGTAAAGAAGAATCAATAAGGAGAGAATAAAACTAGGGAAGAAAGATAAAATGTAAAACTAGTAATCACCTAAGCAGTGTTGACATGCATCCACATGGACAAGGAAATAAATGAGGAAGAGAAAGCCAGAGGGTCAAGAATAGAACATTACACAATGCTCATAGTTTGGGGTAGAGTATCCCAAAAATACTATGAATGAAAGAGTATTGCCCCTATTTTACAGATGAAAAAGCTGAGGCTGGGGAGGTAATGCGACTTATATAAAGTCATAAAGCAGTGGTGACTCAACCTAAGTTTTCCCAGACTCCACTGTGTCATTTGCTCTGTTCTTCCCAATCTCTGAGAACCAATGGCTAGAAAGAAGTGTACCTATACTGCCAAAGTCACTTCACATAGCATCAAGGGTTTATGTGAGAACCTAGAATTTTAAAGTAAAGGAGATCTAGGAGAAGACAGGAAGAGAGCCAGAGCTTAACCAGCACACACTAAGACTAAAATAACATCATTCTTGGTTCAAGTAGACATATATTGAGTAAGTGAAATCACTACTACATAGGCAGCAAGGGCAGGTGTAGTTGGGGGAAGGAGTATAGGTGCAGATGGTAGGAGGTGAAGGTGAATTGACTCCCTAAATTCTGTGTTTGTCTTCTATTACCCAGAGCCTGATTTTTTTTAGGTATCTTCCTTTTTTAATTTAGTCCTCACCCGGTGAGCTACCTTTGCAACCTTAGCTTAATCTTATCCTGGGAGTGAAACCAAAGTTGATAATTGGGTTTTCAGCTCAAGCCTCAGTGTCTACAAGAGCAGGATTTTAATTCAAATAATTGCTTGGAGGAAAAATTTTCTGTGCCAAATAAGAGTGTATGTTGCAGTACGAAAAGGTAAAAGCATCCTAAAAGCAGAATCCAAACAGCCAACTTTTGGAAAGGTTCATCACCAAACCACACCTAAAAATTCTGAAATAGCCAACCATCAGCAAGGAGTGAACATTGAAAGAATTAGCATCACTTCTTTGGAACAGCAAGGCAAGGAAATTTATTGCACTTTCAGAACTGTCTTTCACTATTTTTCAGTTGCCTTCTTAGTAGAAATGTTGGGTAGGCAAGATGAGATATATGCTTAAGCACTTGCAACCTCTTTTTCTCTTTATTTGATAAACATAAAGTTATTTTCTGTGTATCTTTCACTGAAGACCTAGGCCAATACATTTGCTTTCTGCCCAAACTTAAAGGGAAGAATACCCTAAGGCTAGGATTCCAGACAAGACAGAATGTTGGGCCTACCATAGGGTCATGATTCCAAAGAGACATTCTCAGAGCCACTTTTATTTTTCCAGTTTTCCTGGAAGAAAGCAACCTGCTGTCTGGAATCTGCCTGTTTAACTCAGTGGCATGAGAGCTTGCAGCCTTCTGTGGCAAGGATAACTCACACTGACTGGCTGGCCTCTGTCTTTAGGAATCTAGATTTCACACTTAAGAAAGCACTCTGAATGGCACATAAAAGACACTGTGCTGTGCAGAAACTGTAGGGGATGGCTACTGTCAACTTTTTAATCTCAAAATGCCAAGTATATTATTATGCTGTGAGTATGAGAAAAGTGATTACCTGTACATTCAGCAAGCTGATTCAGAGTGTGCTCTCCCAAAAGGCTGGAGGTCAGAAACAAAAACATTTGTACCATAAATGATGTTGCTTGTTAATCCCAAAGCCTCTTATTTTCTAGATACCTCATTCCTTTTTTAGAAACACACCATCACCTAAAGTACTGTAATAGCTAACTCAATTATGTCCGGTGGAATAACAGCAAAACAGGGTAATTTTGTGGGTAGCAAGATGCAAAACATTCCATTAAAGTCAGATTATGTTGAGCTGTCATCATAGCTATTTAAGTCAAATACCAGCCAGTATTATAGATCAGATAATGCTGATAAATAATCTTAGTTCATAGTATAGCAGGCTGACTATTCTTAGAATGTGAATGTCTGGTTACAAATGCTTCTGTGTTACACATCAGTCTTTAGAGGTTTGCAGGTATCTGTTGCCTGCAGAGATTGAACAAGAAGGAAAACTGCCAGTGAATGAATACCCACCCATATAAGGCACGGGGACATTTGATCATCTTCACGTTTCAACCTTGCAGATTATCCAGAAGGCTCATCATCTCTTGCTGTGGAAACGGAAACATAGCAGTTTTCACATTTCCTGCATCTCTCAGACAGGTCAGTATTCTGAGGGAGACACATACAGTGGCACCTGGACTGCTAAGAAGGCGGCTTGGGAGAAGAACTAGAAAAGAAATAAGTTCTTATCCTGGGTGAAAAAGATTTTAAATTCTTCACTCTTGTAATGCATGCATAAGCAGAAGTTCTATACATAATTTCCCTTGGCAGTGTGCTGAAAAAAAAGATGCCCTTATTCCCTGCAAACTCACACTTATGTCACTTGTGCTGAAAAAAACTCCGGGGATCCAGACACCCAAACATTCCGTTAAGGTTATTTACTCTCATACTGTGAATTATAAGCCTCCTCCTGTTTCATTCCAGGTCTCTGAAATGGTACAGATTACAAATAGCTTTCTTTTGCCTGACTCCATTATGTCAGTTAATAACCTAGTCTTCCCCACTAAGGGCAAAAAAGCATCCTTCCTACACTGTAACCCTCCTAAAATGCTATGAGTTTGTTAAGTAGTGGCAGACAACTTTACACATGGGATTCTCTTTGGCCTGGTGAAAAGCTCGACGACCTTCTTTTTGCAACACTCACAGGTATAAACCCAGTGTAATTAAATATTAAAAGAATGTTAGTAATAGAAATACCATAGAGCTTATAGCTCTGATCGGATGAAACTTCTAATCCTATTCTCATGAAAAAAGCTAGCAATTATTCAGAAGCTTACAATCTGTTCGTGGGTTCCCAGGTCTTCAGTTCTTTCCCTTACAGAAATTCTGCTGTGTACAAGTGTACATATTGTATAAAACTTTGTATATGCCAGCCACTTTGGTGTGTACTTGATATATATGATCTTATTTAATCCTCACATCAACTGTAAGATGAATGTTACTATTCCCATTTTACTTATGAGAAAACTGATATGCAGAGAGGTTAAATCACTTATCCAAGTCTGCATATGTAGTAAGTGGCCAACCTAGGGTTGTAACTCAGGTCTATCTGACCTCAAAGCATGCTATTTCCACCATGGCACTACATTTCAAAATCTGAGTTATTTGTGATGTGTCTTTATTTATTATCAAAGATTAAAAAAGGAGAGAACCAAGTCTGTTTCCTTATCCAAAGCCCTGATGAAATGTTTGATGTTTAGGTAAGACAACTTATATGATAGTAATATCTAGATTTGGGTTATCTGTGGTGCTAATCTGTCTATTTTATTTTAGTATTTTCCTAGGGGAAACACTACTACTTTGGCATGGTAACAGATGTTAAAGGGAAGAAAAATTATCTGGTAAATAAATTTATAAAACCCTATATAAGCAAAATTAGAAAGTTGGCTTTAGTGTAGGAATTCTCAGGGGTTTTACTACACTATTGAGTTTTGTGGCTCACCAAAAGGAGGTTGTAGTGGTCCCTTAAATTTTATTTAACTGTTGGATCCTTTCTTTTTTGTGCCTATCATGGAACCTAGTATTTCGTGCAATACTTATCAGGACCATTAATATGCTAAGGAACTTTGAAATGCATTTTTTATATACTTCCCTAGATAAGCAAAATTGCCTTCAAGCAATGCCTTATGCCTTTTACAGGGCACTCTGTCCAAATATATTAATAAAGTGATTCATTTTGTGGAAATCACAAACTCATATATACATATATATATATTTTTTTTTTGAGATGGAGTCTCACTCTGTTGCCCAGGTTGGAGTGCAGTGGAGTGATCTCGGCTCACTGCAACCTCCACCTCCCAGGTTCAAGTGATTCTTCTGCCTCAGAACCCAAGTAGCTGGGATTACAGGTGTGTGCCACCACGCCCGGCTGCTTTTTGTATTTTTGGTAGAGATGGGGTTTCTCCCTGTTGGCCAGGCTGGTGTCTAACTCCTGACCTCAAGTGATCTGCCCACCTCGGCCTCCCAAAGTGTTGGGATTAGCCACCGTGCCGGGCCTCATATTCTGATAATAATAGAAAAGTACTTGGGAACACAGGAGGGAAGAGTGGGAGAAACCTTTTAAAACTTATTAAGATATGAAGAATTGTTTAAACTGTATGTAGATAATTACTACAGTGATATTTGTAAAAAGCTCCAAACTGAAAACAACCTGAATGTCTATCAGTAGAAGAATGCATTAATACATTATATATGTCCAAGTAATTAGATATTTAATATATATTTCCCTTCATTTTCTTTTGAAGTTTTTTAAATAAAAAAGGATGAAAGAAAACATGAATCCCTTGTGTTTAAAATGTAGAATCAATGCTAATTTTTTCATTTTGCCTCTAAATTTTGTATATAAAAAATTATTGCCATAATTTTTACCCCAAAAATGTACTTATTCTAGATTATATTTTCTTCAAAATGAAAAGACAAACTTGAAAAATATTTGCAAACTATACAACACACAAAATTTAATATGCTTAATTTACAAAGCTCTTGCAAATCAGTAAACAAAAGAAAAACACAACAGTTAGAAAATGGGCAAAGCAACAAAAGAAAGCAATGAGGAAAGAACTCTCTATTCAATTAATGGTGCTGGGATAACTGGCTAGCCATATGCAGAAGACTGAAACTGGACCCTTACTTTTCTCCATATGCAAACATTAACTCAAGATGGATTAAAGACTTAAATGTAAGACTTCAAACTATAAAAATCCTAGAAGCAACCCTAGGAAATACCCTTCTCAACATTGGCCTTGGCAAAGAATTTTTGGCCAAGTCCCCAAAAGCAATTGCAACAGAAACAAAAATTGACAAGTGGGATCTAATTAAACTAAAGAGCTTCTGCACAGCAAAAGAAATTATCAGTAGCAAAAACAATCTACAGAATGGAAGAAAATATTTGCAAACAATGCATCTGACAAAAGTTTAATATCCAGAATCTATAGGGAACTTAACAAGCAAAAAAAAAAAAACAACCCCATTAAAAATGGGCAAAGGACATGATGAACAGACGTTTCTCAAATGAAGACATACAAGCAGCCAACAAACATATGAAAAAAAATGCTCATCATCACTAATCATCAGAGAAATGCAAATCCAAACCGCAATGAGGTACTATCTCACACCAGTCAGAATGGCTATTATTAAAAAGTCAAAAAATAACAGATGCTAGTGAAGCTCCAGAGAAAAGGGTATGCTTATACACTGTTGATGGGAATGTAAATTAGTCCATCCACCGTGGAAAGCAGTTTCAAGATTTCTCAAAAACACTTAGAACTGCCATGCCACCCAGCAACCCCATTACTGGGTATATATACCCAAGGAAAATAAATCCTTCTAACAAAAAGACTTATGTACATATATGTTCATCACAGCACTATTCACAGCAGCAAAGACATGCAATCAACCTAGGTGTCCATCAACAGAGGACTAGACAAAGAAAATGTGGTACATGTATATGATGGATACTACACAGCCATAAAAAATAATGAAATCTTATCCTTTTCTGCAACATGGATGCAGCTGGAGGCCATAATCCTAAGAAAATTAACACAGAAACAGGAAACCAAATAATGCATGTTCTCATTCATAAATGGGAGCTAAACATTGAGTACCCATGGAAACAAAGATGGCAACAATAGACACTGTGGACTACTAGTTGGGGAAGGACAGAAGGGGGTGGGTTGAAAAACTACCTATTGGGTACTATGCTCACTACCTAGGTGATGGGATCTATACCCCAAACCTCAGCATCACACAATATACCACCTAACGAACCTGCACATGTACCCCGAATCTAAAATAAAAGATGAAATTATTTTCAAATTTTGTAAAAAGTAAATGGGCAAAGGATGCAAACAATCAACAAAATAGAAATTAAAATGAAAAATAAACATTAAACTTGTTCAACTTCACTGTAAAGAAATGCAAATTAAAATAACCTAAAATACTAATTTTTATCTATTAAGTCAGCCAATTTTTACAAATTACAGTACCTATTGTAGGCAAGGACATGCTGAAACAGATGTTCTTATACAATGCTGATGTGAGTTTAAATTCATAGATCATTTTTTGAGTGCAACTTGGAAACACGTATAAAAACATTAAAATCTCATACTTTTTTAATTCAAAGAAACTAGCACTTTAATTTTATTCTGCATTTTTGTGCCTTTATACTACAAAAAAACTATATACTTTTATAATATACAATCTGGTGAGTTTTGAAATACGTTTACATCTGTGAAACCATCGCTGCAATCAAAATAATGAATATATCCATCTCTCCCAAAGGTTTTCTTCTGCACTTTTATAAATAACCCCTGCGCCATCACCAGGCAAACACTGATTTATTTCGTTACTATCAGTTTTCATTTTCTAGAATTTTAAACAAGTAGATCTGTACAAATGTATTTTTTTGTTTTGTCTGGCTTCTTCCACTCAACATAATTGAGATTCACCTTTGTTGCTGTGTGTAAGGATAATTGATTTCTTTTTATTGATGAGTAGTATTCCACTGGATATATACATATATTATATATATATACACACACACACACACACACACACACACACTAAAATTTACTTTTCCATCTATTAATGGATATCAGAAGTGTTTCTAGTTTTTTGCTCATACACATAAAGCTGCTATAAACATTTGTGACCAAGACTTTGTGTGAACCTGTGCTTGGGTAAGTACCAAGGAGTAGGATGGCTAAGTCATATGGTAGGCATAGAATTTTTTTTTTAATGAACCATTTTTCTATCCTGTCCCTGTGTGTGGTAGATGCTCACTCTCTCATTCTTTCTAGATAGCTTTATCAGATTAAGGAGGTTCCCTTTTTTTTAAATTATACTTTAACTTCTGGGACACATGTGCAGAACGTGCAGGTTTGATACATAGGTATACATGTGCCATGGTGGTTTGCTGCACCCATCAACCCGTGGTATATCTACATTAGGTATTTCTCCTAATGCTATCCCAAACCTAGCCCTCCAGCCCCCGACAGGCCCCGGTGTGTGATGTTCCCCTCCCTGTGTCCATGTGTTCTCATTGTTCAACTCCCACTTATGAGTGAGAACATGTGGTGTTTGGTTTTCTGTTCCTGTGTTAGTTTGCTGAGAATGATGGTTTCCAGCTTCATCTATGTCCACTTATCTGTGGAAGCTAAAAATTAAAACAATTGAACTCATGGAGTTAGAGAGTAGAATGATGATTACCAGAGGCTGGGAAGGGTAGTGGAGGGGTGAGTGCTGGAGGGGAATTGGGGATTGTTAATGGCTACAAAAAAAAAAAAAAAAAAAAAACAGAAAGAATGAATAAGACCTAGTATTTGCTAGGGCAACAGGGTAACTATAGTCAAAAATAATTTAATTGTACATTTTAAAATAACTATAAAAGTATAACTGGATTGTTGGTAACACAAAGGATAAATGCTTGAGGTGATGGATACCTCATTTACCAAAATGTGATGATTATGCATTGCATGCATGTATCAAAATATCTCATGTAATACATAAATATATATATACCTACTATGTACCCATAAAAATTAAAAATAAAAATAAATTTAATAAGATATGTTATCCAATTTTCCATCATCATAATGTTGTGAATAATATCACTAAACATAAATCTTTCTCCTCATTTATAATCATTTCCATAGGATAGAATCCTGGAAGCAAAATTACTGGTATGAATTTTTTAAAGGGTCAATGGATAAGGCCAAATCATTTTCCGGAAAGCTTAAACAAATAGCTACTTGAGGGCCTACTATATGCCAGATATTGTTTCAGGAAGATTATATTATACCAGTTTTACAGATGAGTAAACTAGGATCCATTGACATTATTTTTCTAGAGTTATGGAGATAAGAGGCAAAGCTAGAATTCAGCTTCATAATTGCCCAATTTCAAAGCTCTTGTTATTTCCATGTGGATTTCAAAAATAGTATTTTTGAAGTATCAAATTATATATTTACTAAAGAAAATGTGGAAAATGCAAGTAGAAGGTAGAGAAATGAAAACAAATTACCCATGAATCCACCACTTTCAATAGTTCAGTGTATTTCCTCAGTCTCTTATTCCAAATGTAATTTTGGGGGTCAAAAATATAGCATTGTATATATAATTTTATATCCTGCCTTTTTCACTTAACATTTTTCAGTGCTGATCTATACTCTTCATAAATGTAATTTTAATGGTTGCATATTATTGTCAAGTGGGTGTTACCACATGAATATTTACAGTTGTTCAGCTCATCTGTGAATTTCTTCTCTTCATTCCCAGGACTCACCATCTCTGCCTCCCATGAGGCTTACAGAGTTCAATGTTGGAAATCATTGTAATCTTCAAAATAAGTCACCGTGTTGGATTGAAAGCTTCAAAATTTGAAAGAATTCCATCAAATACTTGCTGTGTAAATGTTTCTGGACTTTATGTTATTTAATTTACTGACTGAAATCCAATTTGGAATTTGGTAGCAGTTAATTCAAGCCAATTTTTTTTGTTTCTTCATTTCCCCTCCCCCAATCCATGAAAGCCTAAATGTAAAATATATCTTTTCATTCATCTTATCAGGTAAAAGGAAATTCAGAAAATTTCCTTAGAGTCTTTAATTCCCCCACAAAGATTATTAATCACATATATAGGGCCTTTTTGGTGTTGAAGGGAATCAAACTACATTTGCTGCTTGTGTGCGTGTGCATTTGTGAACACGTACAGCATATCTATACAAAATTCTGCTATAGTGTGAAAATCAGGGCTAAAAACCTGAAGCCTTTGTTTAATTATGCTTTTCCTCTAAATAGCAACTTAAATATTTGCTAGACTTTGAATCATCGCTATATCAAGTATCTAAAATTTGGGAGGGTGAATCAGTACACTGTGACCAAGGTCCTCAAATTGGAATTTGAACAACAATGTAAAACCTGTTCTGTCACAAATGTTCCTGAAAGCACCACAGCTACTCAAGAAGATCAAATTCAGGACATAAACTTTATTGAACATAATAACCAGTGTTTTTTAAAGACTTTTTTGTCAGGGTGCAGTAAAATTCTCCAATTACTTTTATTCATTTATCTGCTTCCTAGTTTTATTTTAGCCTTTATGAGTTATTTTATGATGAAAGAAAATCTATAAGCCTAAGTTATGGCCCATAGGTTTTGTTAAGGGTTTTCAGAGTGATTTTCAGGTTTAATTTCACTGCCTTTCATAAGGGTAAAGTTTCACAGCTGACATTAGCCTGAGGATTAGCACTAAAGAGCTGTGTTTTCATAGCAGGGGCTATTGTACAGACAGTGATAACCAAATAGTAATATGCCAGTTCTTTCTTCTTTTTTTAGCTTCAGTAGTAGCTAAGCCATTAATACAGTTTGCATCAATTTCCCCATTTATTTATAATCAGCCTTTCTTTTAGTCCTAGTGCCTGAATCAATGAGTGAGAATACTAGTACTGATTCTTTACAATAATAATATCTTAAGAGTATTGATATCTTTCATTTTTTCATCCAGCAGTCTAGTGCCCAGCTGCTGACAATAAAAGCTCCAACTCTTTTAGAGATCAGTGGAATTTAGAAGCATCTTACAGGTATCAAGGAATTGAGCTTCTAGAGGGATGGTTTGGCTTACTAATTTATCTTCCCTGAAATATGTTTGAGTAAAAAAGAGTTGCCTGCCACAATTTAGTGTTGGGGTTCCAGTGGAGCTGAGAAAGTGAACAATCCAGCTACTTAAAGCAACAACAAAACCTGTTCATCTGGATCCCTAGGTAATTTTGACCAAGGTGAGACTTTTGGCATAAATTAAATGGATTGTGGTCAGCATTACATTTGAGAGAATACTAGACATGACTACACTTATTAGGGCTAGTGACTTTCTCAAACTCAGAAGCTAAAAAGCAGCCTAGATGACTATGCACACACTGGGTTTCAAGATGAAATCTTCTTATATATTCAGATGGAAAAAAATTTCCCCTTACACTCTTTCTCAAAATACTCTCATTTCGGTTTTTCCTGAAACCTTATTTGGCCATTCCCATGGTTTTATGACAGACAAGCCTTGTCTTCTATTCATATAGATATGCACCTTTTTCTACATGTATGGCCTTTACTTACTACACAGCAAGTAGGCCTCAAAGTAATCTTCCTCTTTCCCATCAATCATCTTCTGCCAAGCATTCAGGCAGAGCAGCTGTTAACTGTGATTCAAAGTCAGAAAAACATCAAGAACTTCTTTGATGCATAGGGTGTATCAGCACTCAGCTCCCACAGAAGTCAAGTCACAAAATATAGTGTCAGTTAACTATAAGGAAGTTCCGGAGAGGTAAAGCTCAGGAAAGATGTAATGCAAAGCTGATTGTTTAATGTCTTACAGATTTACACTGTCTTTAAAAGGCCAAATAAGGCTGGGCGCAGTGGCTCACACCTGTAATCCCAACATTTTGGGAGCCCAAGGCGGCCGGACCACCTGAGGTCGGGAGTTCAAGACCAGCCTGACCAACATGGAGAAACCCTGTCTCTACTAAAAATACAAAAATTAGCCAGGAGTGTTGGTGCATGACTGTAATCCCAGCTACTCAGGAGGCTGAGGCAGGAGAATCGCTTGAACCTGGGAGGTAGAGGTTGTGGTGAGCTGAGATCGTGCCATTGCACTCCGGCCTGGGCAATAAGAGTGAAACTCTGTCTCAAAAAAAAAAAAAAAAAAAAAAAAAGCCAAATAAATCAGGGTTTTACCAGGGGCTCAGAGATAAAAAGAAAACCTATTCCTATCTTAGCATTTTGGTCTCATTGGTTTATAGACTCTGATAATATCCCTATCCATGGATCATTTGAGTATTGACTAATGTACATAGGTACCCAACTGGTTGATTATTAATCAAGAATACAGAACTTTATTTAATAATTAGCACACCCTGATCTGGCTTCTTTGCTTGCTTTTCTTTGGATCCCTGTCCAATAACCTCTGTGGAATCTCATTCCCTAATTGTTGATACTCATTTTCTCCGTTTGCAAAATGAAGATACTCATTGTTAGGATCCTACTGCTGAAGGGTGCTATGTCACTTTCTAGTGCTCTTATATGTCTTTAATTATAGGACTGGAATGAAAAGCTTAACCATACAGTATTTCTAAGCAAAATAATGTACTCCATTCTTTTGTCCATGCTCTCATTGCTGATTTGTTCTTGCAGGACTTAGAGCACTTTGTTAATGTTCTTCCATTCACTCCAACAGCGTCCTCAGAAAGAGACAGAATAAAAAAATTGTTCCCCATGGTACAGCTGGAAAAATTAAGGGGAAAAGAGATTAAGTGGTCCCCAATGGAACACAGCTGTCTTATGCAGGGCTCACAGTTACCATGTTCAGTACATTGTTAAAGTAACTTGGCTTCCCAGGACTGGAATTATCATGGAGCAGTTAGAATTTTGAGAGTAATTACAACAGGATCACATTCTGAAAGAGTCACATTTTGTCAAAAATCTGAAAAGTATGCAATTTGTACAACTCTTACTTTCTATGTGATAAGAATGCAATATGTGCCTCTTTCCCCTACTAGCCCCATGTGACACATATTTTTCACACTATGTGGCATCAACCAGTGCCATTACCTCCTGTGGCACCATAGAGCCCAATCTCAGGGCAGACATTGCCAAGGTAAAGAATGCACTCCATGTTTATACCAAATTGCACAAAGTATAGACATTGAGGTTAATGGAGATTTAAGCACAATCCTAGCAAGTAAGTTTTAAGAATACTGAATATTATACATTATTGTAACATGAACCTAAAATTAATTTAACAGGGCCCAAATTCATAGGAATGTAACAGTCATTGAAAGCCTATTCTTTTCACCTCTCATCACACATATCTACATACATGTATGCACATGTACACACACACACACACACACACACACACACATACACATTTTCTCCAAAGCAGGCTGCCTCTTCAGCAGGAGCAAATACTTTAATTTAAAAGAATGATTATCTGTTTTCTCCTTTTAGAAAAAGAGTCTAAGAAACACAGCATGTGAAGAACATTAGATTTATACATTCCAGAATCTCTGCTCTCAGAGTAGCTAAGAGATTCGGTACAGAAGACGTTCTATGGAGAAGCACAGGGGGCATCTAATGAGATTGTCAGGCCCTTGGACAAGATCCATATTCTTAGAAAATTAATGAGTTCCATCTCGTTAGGAATTGGTTGATGAGGTATGGTACATCTGCATTTCTTTAACCATAGCTGTAATGTACCATATTAAATTGTAGCCTTTTGCATGCGGGTATTATATAATAATGAATGGGTGGCTCCTAGTAGCATGCAACCCATGACTGTTTACTTCCCTAAAAGGGTTAGGTCTGTGTCCTGCACAGTGTTCAAAACCATTAAATGTGTTCTTTGTAGCAGGATGGTACACAGCCATCAGCAGAATGAGTTAAAACCAACAATGAATTCAATATACCAGGAAATAGATTGTTAGTAGGGAATGGCATTAAAGGAAAAAAAAATTAGATAAGATGCATTCAAGGAATAATTACTTTCACTCTGCTGGCTTAATCAGTGAAGGAACATAAAAGGAAAGCTGGCAGTGGGTCTTGGTAATATATGAACTATATTAGAGTGCCAGAAAAGGAGACCTCAGAAGTTAAGCATAGGTTGCCAATCTGCTACAATTATTTTTCCCACCAATCTGCTCAAAATGATTGTATATAGTATTCTTAAAACCATGTGTCTTGGTGCAGAAATATTGACAAATGCTGGCCAGCTTTATCTTCCTATATCCTTCATTAAAAGTATATGCATATAATTGTTGGTTTTTTTTCCTAAATTGTGGCTTTGTTAAACAATGTTGACAAACCCTAAAGTTTCAGACTACTCTAAGGAAGTTTCTATACATCTAATTTCATAGGGGTATAGTGATGTTTGTTCACTCAGGTTGATTGGTATGCGTGGTATGTAGACTTCTCTGTAACATCTCACCTTCTGAACAGCCCCTTCCATGTGTTCGGTATTTCTGTCTTATGTTCCTACATGAATATGAATTGGGAAATTAGCTGCAATGGCTTTTAGATAGAAAGCTGACCAGTCTAGTGACACTTAATCACATTCAGTCTCTACTCAGCCTCACACATCTTTTGCCTTTCACTCTGCCATTGTGATGAAAGGAAAAAGAAAGAACTTTTCTTATGTGCCTAAGGGTGAAGTGAACTCTGGTTTGCTTTTTCTTACACTGAAGGCTATGTGTACTATTCTCCAGATGCATGTCACCTGAAAAAAGATACATAGAGGGGAACAACAGACACTGGGACCTATCAGAGGGTGAAGGGTGGGAGGAGGGAGAGAACCAGAAAAAATAACTAATGGGTACTAGGCTTAATACCTGGGTGATGAAATAATCTGTACAACGAACTCCCATGACACAAGTTTACCTATATAACAAACCTACACATGTACCTCTGAATTTAAAAGTTAAAATAAGTATAAACAAAACACACTAAAAAAGAAACACAGTAGCCCACTTACTCCTAACTCATACATTACCCTCAGAGAAATATTTGAGGAGACCCTCATTAAGGTAAGCCCCAGATAAGGTTTCCCTCAATTGATGCACCATTTGCAGGAAAAGTCCTTTTTCAGACAGAATGGAGAAAGCCCCCAATTAGCCAACCAGGAAGGCAGAAGTCATTCAAAATGCAGAGCATTGAAAACTGAAGTTTGGAACAGTCATTGCTGACTTTCTGACCAATTAATAATGGAGAACTTGAATCACTTAAAAGAAGCCCAACCCATAGATGTCAGGCTTAACACAAAACCAGAAAAAAATCTTTTATTCCAGCCAAGCTTATTTTTTTTAAAAAAAGTACTTACTTTGTCCTAGGTAAAGACCTCAAATATCTCTGTAGAAAATCCCATGTCATTTATTCTAGTGAATCAGTTACAAAGAGCTCATATTACAAACAAAGTGTTACTGGAAAGGGGTCTGGACCCAGACCCCAAAAGAGGGTTTTGGATCTCATGCAAGAAAGAATTTGAGGTGAATCCATAAAATGAAAGCAAGTTTATTAGAGAAGTAAAGAAACAAAAGAATGACTCCTCCATATGCAGAGGAGCCCAGAGGGCTGCTGGCTGGCCACTTTTATGGTCATTTCCTGATTATATGCTAAACGAGGGGTGGATTATCCATGCGTTCTCCAAAAAGGGGTGGGCAATTCCAGGAACTGAGGATTCCTCCCATTTTTAGGCCATATAGTGCAACTTCCTGACATTGCCATGGCATTTGTAAACTGTAATGGTGCTGGTGAGAGTGTCTTTTAGAGTGCTAAGGCATTATAACTAGCATATAGTGAGCAGTGAGGAAAATCAGGTCATTTCCATTACCATCTTGGTTTCGGTGGGATTTGCCTGGCTTCCTTACCACATGCTATTTTATCAGCAAGGTCTTTGTGACCTATATCTTGTGCTGACCTCCTACTCATCCTGTGACTTAGAATTCCTAACCACCTGGGAATGCAGCACAGTAGGTCTCAGACTCATTTTACCCAGCCCATATTCAAGATGGAGTCACTCTGATTCCAATGCCTCTGACATATCTTTCCCCTCCTTTTTATAAGAGAACATTTAATCCTAAGGTTTGTAGAGGGTTGAAGATCCATCTTCTGTAACTTTTTCAGGCTGAATAAGGGTGATGACATTCCTGCCTAATTATTAGGGTCTCCTGTAGTTGGAGTAGAGAGGAGCTCAGTCAGAAAGTGTCAGTATGGTGAGGGCCATTTATAACTCTGACACAAGGTGATATCTGGAATATTAAAAAGTGTTCCATTTAAAGAAAACAGTAAGCTTATCCTGTATTCCTACAAAAGGGTACAACAGCAATATATTCCACAACAATAAAGCAAAATAAGTAATACTATCCCAACTAAACTAAATAAGAAGGTTTTCCATGGACTGGGCAACTGTTGGAACCAAGCTGATATGGGGTTGCCAACTGATTCCAATGTGCCCAGAATTAGAATATAGATCCAGATTTTTGACTACCCATCCCTCTTGTTTCTTCTGTGCAGCAGTCAGAGATTACAGATTGGTTCACAGGAATAAGTAGGGTTAGTCTAAATTGCAGGAAAAAAACTCAAAAACAACCAATGAGACTAGAATCTAATAACAGGTATACCATAGTTCTTGAAACATAATTGTTCTCTCTCCAGTTTCCCATTTTTACTAAAGACAAGTTATAATAGGACCAATTCATTTGCAAAAATAAGCCTTAGTCTTATAATTGGCTTGAATATTTGTATAAAGTGCAGCAAGAATAATTTTTTCATGTAGTAGGCATTTTAAATTGGCTTTGATGAAACTGTTTCATAAGGAATCTCAGATATGAATTTTTTTAAGCTGAGCCCAGCCGTGGGTTGGTACCCTCAAATACCAATGAGTTGAGTAAATTTCTCTCCTCTTGAAGTCCCAAGATAACTTGAACCTGCTGAGCCTATCAGAAAGTGACATTCTTTACTTACCACAGGTTAGAAACCCTCAACAAGGACTTTGCAGAAAAGGCATGAGGCCAGTTTTCCCAAGGGGCTTTTATTGGATCTACAAGTTAAGTTTGATTCCTTAAAAAGAAGCATGCCATTCTAGTCAAAGCCTTGGTAAAACAAGATTCTCCAATTGTGTCCTGCTGCAAAAGAAAACATTCCTATTGCACTTATGCAAATAACTATATTTCCATAAATTAAGAATACTCACAAATAGTTACCAAATTCTAGAGAAATTAGGTAGAGAGAAACAAATATGTTCCAAATTTTGTTCACAGTATATTTTATTCAATTGTTAAAAGCTGTAAAGGGCTCAAAAAAACTTTCCTTGACTCTGAAAAACAAAACAAATGATCAGAAACATTTTAAGCAAAAAGTTTAAAAAGATTACTTCAGACTTTTAGTTTAGTCCATGCAGTTGACTCCTGTTCTGCCTGATATTTATGAACATTTCAGCTCTCCATGAGAGTCTTGAAAGTTTTTTCAAGGTTACCATAACTTATGATAACCTGGGATTCCATTTTGTTATTTAGCAAAATTGATAACTTAAAAATTTTAAAAAGGCAAAAACCTTTACTCATGAAGAGGGAAGACTTAGCTTTCCAAACAACCTGTCTCATTTCTTTCCCTTCTTTTTCCTGCAGTTTATTCAAAGGGCAAACAAAAATTTTTATTATCCTTTAATATTATATAAAAATCTTGTTCAAGAGAGAAATTCAAATTTCACCTTTTGCATTAGTGTACTATTAATGTAAACCCCAATTTCTAATAAAACCTGATAGACAAATCTACCCAATTTTAATGTTTGACCATAAGGTTAAGATTTCCATTAACCTTTTACAACCCTTTACAAATTTTTGTTAAAAAAAAGATCAGTGCTCTAAGAAAAACATGTTGTGCTTTTATTCCAATCTTCACTTTATGGAAGACCTAAACAATTCCCCTTTAATTTTAGCCAATATGTTCACACACAATTTCTTTCACAAAATTAATTTTTCACAAACCTTCCACAACTTGCTCAAACCTTCAGCTTTATCCTACCTAACTTAAAATAATCCTTTAACCCTTTAAGCAGAAAAATCCACATTCCCATGCCTTTTTATAATCTTTTACCAAAAACATATTTCACTATCCTTACACACCTTGCATGTAAAATATTTTATTTCCCAACAATTACTAAAGTCATGTAAACTAAAGGCTTATGCCTTTTTATTTTTCTGATAAAATATTTAAGCTCTTTCTTAAAAAACCAATTAGTCAATGCTCTTTCACATTACACACACATCACATATAAATACACAGATACACAGAAGATTCAATAGTTGTAAGGGTTTTCATTTTCCCATTTCTTAATTAGATTACTACCTTCTGGGTGGAGCCCTTGGAGGAACAGGGCCAGGAAAGCATTACAGTTTCTACAGCCTAATAAGCAGGCACAGCTGGAAGGCAAAAACAAATCCCAAAAATTAAGGGTCCCATTTTTATACTGGATCCCCAAAAGAGAAATGCTGCAGAAAAAGACAATGCAATGATTTTATCATGTATTTTTTTGCAAATCAATCCAAAGCCAATTAGCCTATTCTTTGATTAGCCCATCCCCCATGGGAGGTTTAACTCTCGTGGGCAGGGGAACATCTCTATACCTTCTGGGTGGCCAAGAGCATACTACTTTGATCCAAACGTGCAAGGAGCTGAGTATCCCCCCATAACTTTCATTAGCTATCTCCAAAACTATATTTCCTACCTAGTTATTACACACCAAAGCTCTCTCATAATGTAAAGTAACTTCTGATACCCCCAAAAGTAAAAAATGTCAGATAATGCAACACAAAATACAACAGAGTCTTAGATTTTGAGAGGGATCTATTTGCTTTTAATTCCTGGGGTTGCATGATGAAAACAGAGGATTTTCCCAAAACGGGGACTGTGGCACCTCTTCTGTTTTCCCAAGGAGTCCCAGGCTATTAGAACTTGAATAAGCAGACTTTTATATATAGCACTTTAAAAAAAAGTTTTAAAATTTTCTTATTACCCAACTTTTGCCAGGCCAAACGGCCAATATTTCTGGCTTTTAAACTTACCAAAGGCAACCTCCCAGGTGCTCAGAGAAAGGAAAATTCAAAATGGTCCATGGAGGGGAAGATAATCAACAAATGATAAAGGTTACACAGATATCAAATGAGAAAGGACTCATTCCCTAAGCCAGTATTGAACCCTGAACCCAGGCCACCATTGTGAAAAGACAAAGCCTTAGTTACTAAGCTACAGCATTGGGCAGTTTCCATTGCCCTTCCCAGAAGGAGCCTAGAGCAGCCAATTTTGAGCTTGCAATGGTTGTTAACTGCTCAAGATAATTTTTATAGCTAGTTATGACAGGCACCCAAAAATTTCTGTCTGCTGGATGGCAGAGACCAAGAGAAAGTACCACCATGTGGCTACAAGGTCAAGCTCCCAAGGACATAAAACAAGAGTAAAAGGAAACTTCATCCAATTTTTCCCCAACAGGGACCCGCAGCAAAGTGGATAACTGATCAGTTTGCTGGACTGTCTTGAACAGCAGGTTTATGGAGGCCTAAGCCTGTGTTCTATCCTAAGGTATTCCTCTTTATGACAGAGTAATACAGAAAGACAAATTTATAGCACAAAGTACACAAGATTTGCTACAGCAGCCACTCTGCTTAGCACCCAATGTCGAACTGGCAAAGCTCAAACTTGCCCCCAGATTGGCCCTGTCATCTTTAATTCAACAAACAACCAGAAGTTAACATATAGTCTTTGGGCAAGATGGTCACCCTGAGTAACAGAAAATATAGGAAAGGGAAAGAAGAGAAAGAGACAGAGAAAAAAGTATTGCCTGTGGCAGAGTGGGGAAGGTGAAAAGAGCTCAGGGAGGTCAGAGAAACACCTACCCATTGCAGCGACATGGAATCAAAAGTTCAGGCGGCCACTTGTCAGTGGCAAAGGGATCTTTTCCAGCAGTCCCATCAGCTCTCAAGTTTCCCCTTTTGGGGAGATAAAAGCTTCCCATGTCCCAAGATCATGTACATAGCCAACCCTGTCACCCATAGCCATTAGCAAAGAGTGCAAGACAGAGTAATCCAAAGCGAATAGTGGTTAACATTCCATAATGCCAAATCCATTTTTATTTGAGAAGGACTTTCCTGAGCAGGATCTCTAACCCCCTAAATCTTAGGAAGGACTAATCTTCGTAAGTTTGGTCTCGAACACAAGTTGGTTTAAGCATGCTTGCCTTTTTCCTAAGAGGGTCCTTTAACCCACTCCATCTTAGGAGAGAGTCTAACTCCCCTAAATTGGGCCTCTAACCCAATCCCACCCTTTACCCAGGTAAAATGCACCCCACTTACCCAAAGTCACCAATTGGTGTTGCAGTATATTTCCTTTGGGTCGGGGGTCTCCTCAGTATCATCCTTTCATGGTTACCAAGAAGATGTTACTGAAAAGGGGCCCCAATCCAGACCACAAGAGAGGGGTCTTGGATCTCACACAAATAAAAATTGAAAGTGAATCCATAAAGTGAAAGCAAGTTTATTAGAGAAGTAAAGAAACAAAAGAATGGCTACTCCATAGGCAGAGCAGACCCAAGAGCTGCTGACTGGCCACTTTTATGGTCATTTCCTGATGACATGCTAAACAAGGGGTGAATTATTCATAAGCTTTCCAGGAAAGGAGTGGGCAATTCCCAGGACTGAGGATTCCTCCCCTTGTTAAGCCATACAAGGTAACTTCCTGGTGTTGCCATGGCATTTATAACCTGTCAAGGCACTGGTGGGAGTGTCTTTTAGCATGCTAATCATTATAATTAGCATATAACAAGAATGACCAGGTCACTTTCATTGCCATCTTAGTTTTGGTGGAATTTGGCCAGCTTCTTTACCACATGCTCTTTTGTAAGGTCTCTGTGACCTGTATCTTGTGCTGATGTCCTACTCATCCTGTGACTTAGAATGCCAACCACCTGGGAATGCAGTCCAGTAGGTCTCAGTCTCCTTCCACCCAGCCCCTATTCAAGATGGAGTCGCTCTGGTTCAAATGCCTCTGACAAAATGACAACTGATATCTTTCTAGATTTAAGAAAGGCATAAAAGAGGAAACTTCTGTACAAGAATCTCATTTAAGTAAAGGTTACTGAGGAAATTTAAGGCATAAATGTCTAAAAGGAAACTTTAATTTATAGATATAAATAAAAGTATATGTATAATGTCTTATATAGGAATGTGCAAATATATTGATGTGCATTTTCTTTACATTATAAGCAATATTTTTCAAATCTAATATTCTCACTATGTGCAATGATACTGAACAATTAGTTTCTCTTTTAATATTACAATATTCATTTTTGCACAGTAGCAAAATATGTCAGTGTTTAGACTTCCAAATCTAGAGGGGTAAAATAATTGTGACAACAAAAAGTACATTTTAAGCAAACATTTTTGAAAGAAAGAATCTGAATGTTTATGGTTTTGAAAAAAAATTT
Organism: Homo sapiens; assembly: GCF_000001405.40. Classification (NCBI taxonomy): domain Eukaryota; kingdom Metazoa; phylum Chordata; class Mammalia; order Primates; family Hominidae; genus Homo; species Homo sapiens. Next base: position 75,361,209 of record NC_000023.11, on the reverse strand, counting down.
TCTCATAAACTTTAACTGAAGTACTCATATCAATTTTGCACATTAGCATAGTCTCAGACCCAGATCCTGACAATGTTGGCAAACTCTAAAATAAATCTGGATATAGAATATAAGAAGGTCAATGAAAATAAAACACAATTCACTACACAGGCAAAGCAAAAGTTTTGTTATTGGAACATTAAAGAATGTAGTAATAATTAGTCAAAAATTATGATTAGGTTATACTTACCAATCCACTTTCATGCTATGCATAAATTACCCTGGGCAATTAGAAAACACTTATTAGAATAATGTGGTTCAGACGAACCCAATACAAATGCAAATCTGAAGCTACCTCTGAATCACAAAAAGTCTGTGTGTGTGTGGCAAGGCTACCACATTCTGAATATTGAAGGTCCTGTAAAATATAAAAGATCAAAGGGGAATACTGGGGAAATAAAGCAAGATGAGATAGGAAACAGTAACATTTTTTTTTTTTTTTTTTTTTTTTTTGAGACGGAGTCTCGCTCTGTCGCCCAGGCTGGAGTGCAGTGGCGCGATCTCGGCTCACTGCAAGCTCCGCCTCCCGGGTTCACGCCATTCTCCTGCCTCAGCCTCCCGAGTAGCTGGGACTACAGGCGCCCGCTACCACGCCCGGCTAATTTTTTGTATTTTTAGTAGAGACGGGGTTTCACCGTGTTAGCCAGGATGGTCTCGATCTCCTGACCTCGTGATCCGCCCGCCTCGGCCTCCCAAAGTGCTGGGATTACAGGCGTGAGCCACCGCGCCCGGCGGGAAACAGTAACATTTTTAACCCACTTTCCACTTGATTGTCATTTCCCCTAAACTTTGAGGCCTTCTATTTTCTACTTACGCATTTTCAATCTATAAAAATTATGGTTTTGTTGAGGGTAAAATTAATTTACCTCTTCTATGTCTACCTTATTAGCTGAATAATAACCAAGAAACAACTTCAGACATGCATTTCTACCATTGCTTCACTCTGACTATCTTAACAGAACCACCTGGTGCACCTATTACTGAACATTATTTTTAAATACTTTCATTTGTCATGAACTTATAAGGTTTCTACTCTTTATTCACCTGTAAGTTTTGGACAACCTCAGTTCAGCCAAAGTAATCAGAAACCAGTTTGCGTCTATGTGGCTATTTACAAGGGGTGTAGACACTACAGTCCCAGTTTCTAAATTGAAAACTGTATATAATATGGAGTCTCTCTCGTGTTGCACAATCTACATTTTAATTCTACTTCTTCATAATAATTGTCACTGCCATAGGCTATCATCTTTGTTAACACTGTTAACAAGAAAGATAGGGAAGATAGTAGAAAAGGAGAGAAAGGGAGAGTGCCTGAACTCATTTGAGGTTGCCTAAAACATTATTTTGGTAATGCACTGCTTTTGGAATCTGAAAAAAGCTATGGACACTCTCCACATAAAAATACAAGCATGTGCAGGCACACATACACAAACGCACATGTGCACACATAATTTTACAATTTCAGAGTGTTTTAAACGACTCTGAAATTACATAACTTACTTAACTTAGTTGATAATTTCTACCTTACATTGTGTCCCATCTTTATAGAATCATCAAATCAAATAAGTGCACTCGAATGTGACCCTGTGCTACATGATGAAACTGGGCTACAAGTTACCAATTAATGCAAATTCTATTACTGAGTTTATTATATTTTCATAATTTGTTATTTCCACAATCTTCCACTCCATTACCTGAGGCTTTGGAGCAGTTAGATGAGCAGCAGTATAGCCGTTGCTAAGGATATCAGAGAGATGGGCTATGTACACAACAGGTACTATATAAAGTCCTCTCTTCAAACAACAAGGGACCAAATGTATTTCATCACATTAAAGGAGCCTTAAGATGATAGATGTTGGCGTATTTAGCTCATGACAGTGTTATTTTTAGTAACATTGCCATTGGTTTTTAAATGTCAGAAATGGGTTTTCAAAGAAAATTTTATATTATAAGCATTATGTTCATTTTTACTCTGAAACCCTCTGTTATTTATTGGATCTTGGAAGGTGCATGCTGGAAGTTTTAATAGCTCTTTTAATTGTGTGTTAATTAATACTACATGGCAGTGGCTCTCAAAAGTAGGGTCCCTAAAGAACCACCCAAAAGCAGTATGGGAAACAACCTCTGTACCTCATACAGTGCCAGAAACAGTTCATTTTAACCTCCACCAGAGGGTAAAAACCTGGTAATACATGGACAAGGGGCTAGAAAATTCACAAGGGTTTTATGTAGTGAGTAGTAGGGAAATTTTATGCCTAAGCTAAAGAGCGTTCTAAACCTGCCCAGAAAAGCTTAGAAACAAATCTTATAAGGATCAAATTGTTCACAAGTAACTTCACTACATCTCAGAACAAAACTCAATGTTAATTATAACAAACATATCTAGCACCCAAAGTGATAAATTTCACACTATCTGGCATACAATAAAAAATTACCAGGCATTCAAAGGAGCAGTAAAATACAACCAATGAAGAAAAGAAAAGTAAATCAGTAAAATCAGACCCAGAAGTAATAGGGACAATGGAATTTGTAGAAAAGTAAAGAAAAAGTATTAAAACAGTTATTATATCAATATTCCATATTTCCATATGTTCAAAAAGGTAGAAGAAGATATAAGTGTGTTAAGGAGGAAGATGAAGGATTAAAAAAAGACAGAGGTGAAAAAACATGCCAGATGGTATTAACAGGTGATTAGACACTGCAGAAAAATAATTTAGTGCTTCATCACATAGCAAGTTTAAATAGTTTAGAAGCTACCTAAAATTAAACAGAAAAAAAGACAAACAGAACTGATAATCAGTGAGCTGTGGCACATCCTCAAGCTGTTTGATATAAGTGTAACTGTAGTCCTCAAGAAAAGGGGGCAGAAAAATATTTGGAAGAAATAATGGCCAAAGGAGATTAGTTCTAGAATGGTGGTGTAAGGAACTCCACAGGTACTCCCCCCAGCAAAAGCATCATAACTGGTAAAACAATATTTTTAAAGTAAACGTTTTAAGTCTCTGAAAATTGTCTTAAGAGCACATAGCAAATGAAACAATGATTCAAGAAAATCTATCAAATCTCACTATGAACAGTGAGACTCTAGCACTTGAAACACAGCCTGCTCCCTCCATTTTCCCTCCGCTCCACCAGCTCAGCCTGATCCAAGCTCTACTCCAAGTGGGTGCAGCCAAAAACACAGACTCCCTTCTCCCTACTTCTTACCAGTGAAGACTTCAGTATTTGCTCTGGAGTGGCAGGCCACCAACATTTTTTACCCCTCTCTAGTTCCACATGACAGAAGCTCTATCCTGGGCAGGAGCGACTTAGAACTTTGAGATTCTTCATTCACCAGCCCACAACCACAGGGGAGGGTTCTACCCAAGGCAAGACAGGCTAAGAATACCAGTGCCCCAACAACTTTCATGATAACACTCAAAACATTAGGAATGGAAGGAAACTTCCTAAACATAAAGTACATTTATGAAAAACTCACAACTAACCTCATACTTAATGAAAGACTGACAGTTTTTCCCGTAAGATTAGGCACAGGATTCCCTATTTCACCACTGCTATTCAACACTATACTGGAAATTCTAGCCATAGAAATTAGACAAAAAAGAAATAAAAGTCATCCAAATTACAAAGGAAGAAGCAATACTATCACAGATAGTGAAGTGAAACTATTCACAGATGATATGTTCCTATATGAAGAAAATCCGAAGGATTCCACAAGAAAGCAACTAGAGCCAGAAGTGTTGGCTCATGCCTGTAATCCCAGCACGTTGGGAGGCCAAGGCAGAAAGATCACTTGAGGCCAATTCAAGACCAGCTTGGGAAACATAGCAAGACCCCATCTCTACAAAAAAAGAATTTTTTTTTTTAATTAGCTGTGCATGGCGGTGTGTGGCTAAAGTCCCAGCTACTTCGGAGGCTTAGGCAGGAGCATCACATAAACACCCAGGAGTTCAAGGCTATGATCATACCACTGCACTCCAGCCTGGGTGACAGAGTGATTCTGTCTCAAAAAATAAAAATGAAAAAGAAGGAAATAATAGCTAATAAATAAATTTCACAAAGCTATAGGGTATAAGATAAATACACAGGAAGTTAAGAAAGCAATTTTATTTACAATAAAGAATACCTAGAAATAAATTTAACTAATGAAGTAAAAGATTTACACACTGAAAACTACAAAATCTTGTTGAAAGAAATTAAAGAAAACCTAAATAAACAGAGATATCCGGTGCTCATGGATGGAAATATTTAATATTGTTAGGATGTCAATATTACCCAAAGTGATTTACAGATTCAACACGATTTCAATATTCCAATAGCATTTTTGCATTTATGAAAAAAGCTGATCTTCAAATTCATATGAAACTGCAAGGGGCCCTAAATAGCCAAAATAATCTTGAAGAAGCAGAACAAATTAAGATTCACATTTCTCAGTATCAAACCCTTCAACTAAACTACAGTGATTAAAACACTGTGCTACTAGCATAAGGACAGACACATAGACAATGCAACAGAAATAAGAAGCCTGAAATAAACACATATATCTATGGCCAAATAATTTTTTACTAGGGTGCCATGTTCAACCAATGGGAAAAAAGTCTCTTCAATAGCTGGTGCTGGTACAACTGGATCTCCACATACAAAAGAATGAACTTGAACCCATACTTTACACCATATAATAGGGAATTTCAAATAATTCATGGAAAATGCATATTATAATAAAACTATCCACAACATTCAAAAATGTTTTACACCAAAATAAACCCATACTGTTATAACATGTCTGAACAGGATTTAGCTTGAGGCACTCAGAAAGATAAGTCCCTATCACAGCAACATGAAGTCTGCTAAATTTGAAACAAGAACAAATATCAATATTATAGTGAAGCTTGAGTGGAAGAATAGTGAAATCACTGATGCTTTATGAAAAGATTATGAGAACAATGGCACCAAAAAATAGATATTTGCAAATGAATAACTCATTTTAAGAAGAGACGATACAACATTGAAGATGAAGCCCATGGCAGCAGACCATTCACATCAATTTGTGAAGCAAAAATTCATCTTGTTCATGCTGTAGTTGGAGAGGAGCAGAAACAATAGCCAACATGACAGACATCTCAATTGTTTCAGCATACACATTTCTGACTAAAAATTAAAGTTTAGCAAACTTTACATTTGATGAGTGCCATAACCATTGCACCAAGATCAGCTGCAGACAAGAGCAGAGTTTTCAATGGAAATTTTAAAAAAGTGAGATCAACATCCTAAAGCATTGCTTCAAAGACTTGTAACAGGAGGCAAAATGAGGCTTTACCAGAACTATCCTGAAGACAAACACAATCAAAACAATGGCAACAAAGAGGTCGAAGTGGACTAGTCAAGAGCAAAGGTCATGGACACAGTTTTTTGGGTTGCTCAAGGCATTTTGCTTCTTGACTTTATGGAGGGCCAAAGCACAATAATATCTGTTTATTATTAGAGTATTTAGGGTTAGCCAAATATTTAGCAGAAAAATGCCCAGGAAATCATCACCAGAAAATCCTTCTTCACCACAACAATTCTCCCACTCATTCTTACCAAACAAGGGGAATTTTTTGAGAGTTTCAGTGGGAAATCATTAGGCATCCACCTTACAGTCCTGACTTGGTTCTTTCTGACTTCTTTTATTTCAGAATCTTAAAAAATCTGTAAGGGCACCAATTTTTCTTCAGTTAATAATGAAATAAAAGACTGCATTGACATGCTTAAACTCCCAGGACCCTCAGTTGTTTAGGAATGGACTAAATTATATCACAATTCCTGAGTCCTTTCAACTATCTGGAAAGCCTTCTGAAGAGGGACAGGTGCAAACAAAGCCAGACTGCAAAGACTAAAATAAATATCTAACTCTTCACTACCAAGACACAGGCAGACACCTACAAGTATCAAGACAATCGAGGAAAACATGACTACACTGAATTAACTAAATAACCAGGGAGCAATCCAGAAAAAATAGAGATATATGACCTTTCAGACAGAGAATTCAAAATACCTGTTTTGAGGGAACTCAAAGATATTCAGGAGAACACAAAGAAATCAGACTTCTATCAAATAAATTTAACAAAGAGATTGAAATAGTTAAAATGAATCAAGTAGAAATTATGGATGTGAAAAATGCAATTGGAATACTGAAGAATGCATCAAAGTCTTTCAATAGCAAAACTGATAAAGCAGTAGAAAGAATTAATGAGTTTGAAGACAGGCTATTTGAAAATACAGTCAGGGCCAGGCATGGTGGCTCACATCTGTAATCCCAGCACTTTGGGAGGCTGAAGTGAGAGGATCACTTGAAGTCAGAAGTTTAAGACCAGCCTGGCCAACACGGTGAAGCCCTGTCTCTACTAAAAATACAAAAAAAAAAAAAAAAAAAAAAAAAAAAAATTAGCCAGGCATGATGGCAGACACTTGTAATCCCAGCTACTCAGGAGGCTGAGGCAGGAGAATCACTTGAACCCAGGAGATGGAGGTTGCAGGGAGCCAAGATCACACCACTGCACTCCAGCCTGGGTGACAGAGTGAGACTCTATAAAAAAAAGAAAAGAAAGAGAGGGAAAAAAGAAAACACGGTCAGAAATGACCAAAAAAAAGGGTAAAAAATAATTAAGCACACCTACAGGATGTAGAAAATACTCTAAAAAGGCCAAATCTAAGTGTTATTAGCCTTAAAGAGGAAGTGGGTGGGGGGGTTGAAAGTTTATTCAAAGAAATAATAAAAGAGAACTTTCCTAACCTAGAGAAATATATCAATATTAAAGTATAAGAAGGTTATAGAAGACCAAACATATTTACCTCAAAGGAGACTACCTCAAGGCATTTAATAAACTCCCAAAGATCGGGGACAAAGAAAGGATACTAAAAGCAGCATGAGAAAAGAAACAAATAACATACAAAGGAGGAGCAGACCTTTCAGTGGAAACCTTACAGGCCAGAAGAGAGTGGCATAACATATTTAAAGTGCTGAAGCATAAAAAAGCTTTTATCCAAGGACAATATATCTGGTGAAAATATCCTTCAAACGTGACTGAGAAAAAAGTTTCCCAGACAAACAAAAGCTTAGGGATTTCTTTTTATATTTATTTTTATTTAATTATTCTATTTTATTTTTTCATAATTCTTAGTACATTCTGAAGCAAAGGGATTTCATTATCACCAGATGTGTCCTACAAAAAATGCTGAAGGGAGTACTTCAATAAGAAAATAGAACATTTATGTGCAATAAGTAATTACCTGAAGGTGCAAAACTCACTGGTAATAATAAGTACACAGAAAAACACAAAATATTATAACACTGTAACTGTCTTGTGTAAACTATTATCCTAAGTAGTAAGACTAAATTATGAACCAATCAAAAATAATACCTACAACAACTTTTCAAGACATATGCAGTAAAATAAAATACAAATAGAAACAACAAAAGCTTAAAAATTAGGAGGACAAAGTTAAGGCATAGAGATTTTATTAGACTCCTTTTTGCTTCTTTGTTTATTTATGCAAACAGTGTTAAATTGCTATCCACTTAAAATAATCCCGTGTAAGATGGTATTTGCAAGCCTCCTAATGACTTCAAAAAAACAAAAAAACACAACAGATACAATAAAAAGTTAAAAGCAAGAAAATAAATCATATCACCAGAGAAGACCACCTTCACTAAATAAAAGACAAGACAAGACAAGAAAACAACAAAACAACCAGAAAACAAATAACAAAATGGCAGGAGAAAATCCTTACTTATCAATAATAACACTGAATGTAAATGGACTGAACTCTCCAATCAAAAGGCAGAGATAGGGCTGGGCATGGTGGCTCACACCTGTAATCCTAACACTGGGAGGCTGAGGCAGGTGGATCACCTGATCTCAGGAGTTTGAGACCAGCCTAGCCAAAATGGTGAAACTCCGTCACCCCTAAAAATACAAAAATTAGCCAAATGTGGTGATGCATCTCTATAGTCCCAACTACTCAGGAGGCTGATGCAGGAGAATCACTAGAACCAGGGAGGCAGAGGTTGCAGTGAGCCAAGACTTCACCACTGCACTCCAGACTGAGGGACAGAGCAAGACTCAATCTCAAAAAACAAAAAAGACAGAGAGAGGCTGAATGGATTAAAAAGACAGACACATTGATCTGTGATCTGATGCCTGCAAGAAACATGCTTCACCTATAAAGACACACATAGACTGAAAATAAAGGGAGGGAAAAGGATATTTTATGCCTATGGTAACAAAAAAAGAAGAGCAGGAGTCACTATGTTTTTATCAAACCAACTAGATTTCAAGGCAAAAACTACAAGAAACAAAGAAGGTCAATATATAATGATAAAGGGGTCAATTCGGCAAAAGAATATAACAATTGTAAATATATATGCCGAACACTGGAGCACTCAGATATATAAAGCAAACATTATTACAGCTAAGGAGAGAGATAGACCCCAATAAAAAGAAAATAGCTGGACATTTCAACACATCCTTTCAGCATTGAACAAGTCTTCCAGAAAGAAAATCAACAAAGAAAGATCAGACTTCATCTACACTATAGACCAAATGGTTCTAATAGACATTTACAAAACATTTCATCCAATGGCTACAAAATACACATCTTTTCCTTAGCACATTAATCATTCTCAAGAATAGACGATATATTAAATCACAAAACAAGTCTTAAAATATTCAAAAGCATTGAAATAATATCAAGCATCTTCTCTGAAGACACTGGAAGAAAATTAGAAATCAATAACGAGGAATTTTGGAAACTACGCAAATAGATGGAAATTTAAAAATATGCTCTTGAATGACAAGTGGATCAATAAAAGCTACAGAAACGTGGTCAGACTGTTAAAAGAAAAACCAATTCAAAGGTTAGCAACGTCAAAGACTGAAGGTAGATAATCCCACAAAGATGAGAAGGAAAAAAACAGTGTAAGAACACTGAAAACAGAAACCCAGAGTACCCTCCTTCCTCCAAATTACCACATCACCTCTCCAGCAAGGGTTTGGAACGGGGCTGAGGCTGAGATGGCTTTAATGACAGAAGTAGATTTCAGACGATGGATAGGAATGAAGTCCACTGGCAAAAGGAGCATGTTGTAACCCAATGAAAGGAAACTAAAAATCATGATAAACATTGCAGGAGTTGACAGACAAAACAGCCAGTATAGAGAACAAAAAAAAACCGTCCTGTTATAGCTGAAAAACACTACAAGAATTTCATAATGTACTCACAAGTATTAATAGCACAACAGACCAATAGAAGGAAAGAAAATCAGAGCTTGAAGACTGCCTTTCTGAAACAAACACTCCCCAGCAAATACAAAAGAACAGAACTCATAACAGTCTGTCAGACCACAGTGCAATCAAATTAGAACTCAGGATTAAGAAATAAACTCAAAGCTGCACAACTACATGGAAACTGAACAAACTGCTCCAGAATGACTACTGGGTACATAACAAAATTAAGGCAGAAATAAATAAGTTATTTGAAACCAATGAGAACAAAGACACGACGTACCAGAATCTCTGGGACACAGCTAAAGCAGGGCTTAGAGGGAAACATATACCATTAAATGCCCACAGGAGAAAGCAAAAAAGATCTAAAATTGACACACGAACATCACAATGAAAAGAACTAGAGAGGGAAGAGAAAACAAATTCAAAAGATAGCAGAAGACAAGAAATAACTTAGATCAGAGCAGAACTGAAGGAGATAGAGACATGAAAAACCCTTCAAAAAATCAATTAGTCCAGGAGCCGATTTTTTGAAAAGGTTAACAAAATAGAACGCTAGACAGACTAATATAGAAGAAAAGATAGATGAATAAAATAGACAAAAAAAGGGTAAACAGGATATCACCACTGATCCCACAGAAATACAAACTACCATCAGAGAACACTATAAACATCTCTACACAAATAAACTAGAAAATCTAGGAAAAAATGGAAAAATTCCTGGACACATACACCCTCCCAAGACTAAACTAGGAAGAAGTTGAATCCCTGAATATACCAATAACAAGTTCTGAAATTGAGGCAGTAATTAAGAACCTACCAACCAAAAAAAGCCCAGGACCAGATGGATTCACAGACGAATTCTACCAAAGGTACAAAAAGGAGCTGGAACTATTCCTTCTGAAACTATTCCAAACAATAGAAAAAGATGGACTCCTCCCTAACTCATTCTATGAGGCCAGCATCATTCTGATACCAAAACCAGGCACAGACACAACAAAAAAAGAAAATTTCAGGCCAATATCCCTGATGAACATCGATGCAAAAATCCTCAATAAAATACTGGCAAACAGAATCCAGCAGCACATCAAAAAGCTTATCCACCACGATCAAGTTGGCATAATCCCTGGGATGCAAGGCTGGTTCAACATAAGCAAATCAATAAATGTATTCCATCACATAAACAGAACCAGTGACAAAAACCACATGATTATCTCAATAGATGCAGAAAAGGCCTTTGATAAAATTCAACACCCCTTCATGCTAAAAACTCTCAATAAAGTAGCTATTGATGAAACTTATCTCAAAATAATAAGAGCTACTTATGGTAAACCTACAGCCAATATCATAGTGAATGGGCAAAAGCTGGAAGCATTCACTTTGAAAAGCAGTACTAGCCAAGGATGCCCTCTCTCACCACTCCTATTCAACATAGTATTGGAAATCCTGGCCAGGGCAATCAGGCAAGAGAAAGAAATAAAGGGTATTCAAATAGGAAAAGAGAAAGTCAAATTTTCTCTCTTTGCAGATGACATGATTGTATATTTTAAAAGCCCCATCATCTCAACCCAAAATCTCCTTAAGCTGATAAGCAACTTCAGGAAAGTCTCAGAATACAAAATGAGTGTGCAAAAATCACAAGCATTTCTATACACCAATAACAGAGAGCCAAATCAGAGTGAACTCCCATTGACAATTGATACAAAGAGAATAAAATACCTAGAAATACAACTTACAAGGGATGTGAAGATCTCTTCAAAGAGAACTACAAACCATTACACAAGGAAATAAGAGACGACACAAACAAATGGAAAAACATTCCATGCTCATGGATAGGAAGAATCAATATCGTGAAAATGGTCATATTGCCCAAAGTAATTTACAGATTCAATGTTATCCCCATCATGCTACGATTGCCTTTCTTTACATAATTAGAAATAACTACTTTAAATTTCATATGCAACCAAAAAAAGAGCCCATATAGCCAAGACAATCCTAAGAAAAAGAACAAAGCTGGAGGCATCACACTACCTGACTTCAAACTATACTACAAGGCTATGGTAACCAAAACAGCATGGTACTGGTACCAAAACAGATATATAGACCAATGGAACAGAACAGGGACTTCAGAAATAACACCACACATCTACAACCATCAGATCTTTGACAAACCTAACAAAAACAAGCAATGGGGAAAGGATTCCCTATTTAACAAATGGTGTTGGGGATACTGGCTAGCCATATACAGAAAACTGAAACTGAACCCCTTCCTTACACCTTATACAAAAGTTAACTCAAGATGGATTAAAGACTTAACCATAAGACCTAAAACCATATAAACCCTAGAAGAAAACCTAGGCAATACCATTCAGGACATAGGCATGAGCAAAGATTTCATGACTAAAACACCAAAAGCAATTGCAACAGAAGCCAAAACTGACAAATGGGATCTAATTAAACTAAAGCACTTCTGCACAGCAAAAGAAACTATCATCAGAGTGAACAGGCAACCTACAGAATGGGAGAAAATTTTTGCAATCTATCCATCTGACAAAGGGCCAATATCCAGAATCTACAAAGAACTAAAACAAATTTACAAGAAGAAACAACCCCATCAAAAAGTGGGTGAAGGATATGAACAGACACTTCTCAAAAGAAGACATTTATGGAGCCACCAAACATATGGAAAGGAGTTCATCATCACTGGTCACTAGAGAAATGCAAATCAAAACCACAATGAGATAACATCTCATGCCAGTTAGAATGGCAATCATTAAAAAGTCAGGAAACAACAGATGCTGGAGACGATGTGGAGAAATAGGAATGCTTTTACACTGTGGTGGGAGTGTAAATTAGTTCAACCATTGTGGAAGACAGTGTGGTGATTCCTCTAGGATCTAGAACCAGAAATACCATTTGACCTAGCAATCCCATTACTGGGTATATACCCAAAGGATTATAAATCATTCTACTATAAAGACACATACACACATATGTTTATTGCAGCACTGTTCACAATAGCAAAGACTTGGAACCAACCCAAATACCCATCAATCATACACTGGATAAAGAAAATGTGGCATATATACACCATGGAATACTATGCAGCCATCAAAAAGGATGAGTTCATGTCCTTTGCAGGGACATAGATGAAGCTGGAAACCATAATTCTCAGCAAACTAACACAGGAACAAAAAACCAAACACCACATGTTCTCACTCATAATTGGGGGTTGAACAATGAGAACACATTGACACAGGGAGGGGAACATCACACACCAGGGTTTGTCAGGGGGTGGGAGGCTAGGAGAGGGATAGCATTAGGAGAAATACTTAATGTAGATGATGGGTTAATGGGTGCAGCAAACCACCATGGCACGTGTATACCTATGTAACAAACCTGCACGTTCTGCACATGTATCCCAGAACTTAAAGTATAATTTTAAAAAAGAGAGAGAGAGAGAATTATGGGAGCTACAAGATGAGATTTGGGTGGGGACACAGAGCCAAACCATATCATTCTGCCCCCGGCCCCTCCCAAATCTCATGTCTTCACATTCCAAAACCAATCTTGCCTTCCTGACAGTCTCTCAAAGTCCTAAGTCATTTCAGCATTAACACACATGTCCACAAAGTCTCATCTGAGAAAAGGTATGTCCCTTCTGCCCATGAGCCTGTAAAGTCAAAAGCAAGTTAGTTACTCCCTAGATACAATAGGGGTTCAGCCATTGGGTAAGTACAGCCACTCCAAATTGGAGAAATTGGCCAAAACAAAGGGGCTACAAGCCTCATGCAAGTCCAAAATCCAGTGGGGCAGTCAAATCTTAAAGCTCCAAAATGGTATCCTTTGACTCAGTGTCTCGCATCTGGGTTACACTGATGCAAAAGGTGGGTTCCCATTGTCTTAGGCAGCTCTGCCCCTGTGGCTTTCAGGGTATAGCTGCCCTCCTGGCTGCTTTCACAGGCCAGGATTGAGTGTCTGTGGCTTTTCCAGGTTCAAGGTGCAAACTATTGGTGGATCTGCCATTCTGGGGTCTGGAGGATGGTGCCCTCTTCTCACAGCTCCACTATGTTTGTGCCCCAGTAGGGACTCTGCATGGGGGCTCCAACCCCACATTTCCCTTCTGCACTGCCCTAGCAAAGATTCTCCATGAGGGCCCCACCCCTGCAGCAAACTTCTGTCTGGGCATCCAGGCATTTTCATACATCCTCTGAAATATAGGCGAAGGTTCCCAAACCTCAATTTTTGACTTCTATGTACCTGCAGGCTCAACACCACATGGAAGCTACCAAGGCTTTGGGCTCCCACCCTCTGAAGCAACAGCCCAAACTGTCCCTTGGCCCCTTGTAGTCACAGCTGGAGTGGCTGGGATTCAGGGCATCAAGTCCCTATATTGCACACAACAGAGGGACCCTGGGCCCGGCCCATGAAACCAATTTTTCCTCGTAAACCTGCAGGCCTGTGATGGGAGGGGCTACTGCAAAGATCTCTGACATGCCCTGGAGACATTTTCCCCATTGTCTTGGAGATTAACATTTGGCTCCTCGTTACTTATGCAAATTTCTGAAGCCAGCCTGAATTTCTCCTCAGAAACTGGGATTTTCTTTTCTATCACATTGTCAGGCTGCAAATTTTCTGAACTGTTATGCTGTTTCCTGTTTAAAAGTGAATGCCTATAACAGCACTAAGGTCACCTCTTGAATGCTTTGCTGCTTAGAAATTTCTCCACCAGCTACACTAAATCATCTCTTTCAAGTTCAAAGCTCCACAAATCTCTAGGGCAGGGGCAAAATGCTGCCAGTCTCTTTGCTAAAACATAACAAGAGTCACCTTTGCTCCAGTTCCCAACAAATTCTTCATCTCCATCTGAGACCACCTCAGCCTGGATTTCATTGTCCATATCATTATCAGCATTTTGTCAAAGCCATTCAACTAGTCTCTAGTGGGTTCAAAACTTTCCCACATTTTCCTGTCTTCTTCTGAGCCCTCCAAACTGTTCCAACCTCTGCATCTTACCCACTTCCAAAGTCACTTCCACATTTTTGGATATCTTCAGCAATGCCCCACTCTACTAGTACCAATTTGCTGTATCAGTCTGTTTTCATGCTGCTGATAAAGACATACCTGAGACTAGGAAGAAAAAGAGGTTTAATGGACTTACAGTTCCACATGGCTGGAGAGGCCTAACAATCATGGTGGAAGGCAAGGAGGAGCAAGTCATGTCTTACATGAATGATGGCAGGCAAAAAAAGAACTTGTGCAGGGAAACTTCTGTTTATAAAACCATCAGATCTCATGAGACTTATTCACTATCATGAGAACAGCATGAGAAAGACCCATATGGTTCAATTATCTCCCACTGGGTCCCTCCCACAACATGTGGGAATTATGGGAACTACAAGATAAGATTTCTGTGGGGACACAGTGCCAAACCATACCAAACTCCCACACAGTAATAGTGGGAGACTTTAACAACCCACTGAAAATATTAGACAGATCATTGAGAGAGAAAATTAACAAAGATATTCAGGACCTGAACTCAGCACTGCATCAAAAGGATCTGATGTATATACACACACACACACACACACACACACACACACACACACACACACACACATATATATTTGGCTGGAGCATTCTGTGTGTGTATATGTATATACACACACATACACACACACACGTACACAGAATGCTCCAGCCAAATCAACAGAATATACATTTGTGTCAATGCCACATGTCACTTACTCTAAAACTGATCACATTATCAGAAGCAAAACACTCCCCAGCAAATGCAAAAGATGTGAAATATGTGTGGTATCTCAAACCACAGAGCAATCAAATTTTATATCGAGACTAATAAATTCACTCAAAACCATGCAATTACATGGAAATTAAATAGCCTGCTCCTGAGTGACTTTTAGGTAAATAGTGAAATTAAGGCAAAAATTAAGAAGTTCTCTGAAACCAATAAGAACAAAGATACTACATACCTGAAACTTTGGGACACAGATAAAGGAGTGTTAAGAGGGAAATTTATAGCACTAAATGTCTACATCAAAAATCTAGAAAGATGTTAAATTAACAACCTAATTCACAACTGAACTAGAAAAGCAAAAACAAATCAACCCTGAAGCTAGCAGAAGATAAAAAATAACCAAAATCAGAGCTGAAATGAAGGAGATAGTGACATGGAAAACCACTCAAAAGATCAACAATGCCAGGAGTTGGTTTCCTGAAAAAAACAATAAAATAGATAGACATCGAGCCAGACTAATCAAAAAGAAAAGAGAATATTCAAATAAACACAATCAGAAATGAAAAAGGGAATATTACCACTGAACCCACAGAAATACAAACAACCATCAGAAAATATTATTAATACCTCTATGCACACAAACTAGCAAACCTAGAAGAGACAAATAAATTTCTGGACACGCACACCCTCTGAAGATTGAACCAACAAAAAATTAAATCCCTGATCAGACCAATATCAAATTCTAAAATTGAGGCAGTAGTAGCATACCAACCGAAAAAAAAGCCCAGAACCAGATACATTCACAGCTGAATTCTACCAGATGTACAAAGGAGCTGGTACCATTCCTACTGAAACTATACCAAAGAATTAAGGAGGACGGACTCGTCCCTAACTCATTCTATAAGGTCAGCATCATCCTGAAAACAAAACCTGGCAGACAAAAACAAAAAAACTTCAGGCCAACATACTAGAACATTGATGCAAAAATCCTCAATAAAATATTGGCAAACCCAATCCAGCAGCACATCAAAAAGCTTATCCACCACAATCAAATAGGCTTCATCCCTGGGATGCAAGTTTGGCTCAATATACACAAATCAATAAATGCAATTCATCTCATAAAGAGCACTAATGACAAAAACCACATTATTATCTTAATATATGCAGAAAAGGCTTTCAGTAAAATTCAACACCCCTTCACGTTAAAAACTCAATAAACTAGGTATTGATGAAACATACCTCAAAATAATAAGAGCCACATATGACAAACCCAGAGCCAATATCATACTAAATGGGTAAAAGCTGGAAGCCTTCCCCTTGAAAACGGGCAAAAGACAAAAATGCCCTTTCTCTGCTTTTACACCGTTGGTGGGAATGTAAATTAATTCAACCATTGTGGAAGACAGTGTGGAGATTCCTCAAAGATCTAGAACCAGAAATACCATTTGACCCAGCAATCCCATTACTGAGTATATACCCAATGGATTATAAATCATTCTACTACAAAGACACATGCACTTGTATGTTTACTGCAGCACTATTTACAATAGCAAAGACTTGGAACCAAAACAAATGCCCATCAATGATAGACTGGATAAAGAAAATGTGGAACATATACACCATGGAATACTATGAGCTCATGTCCTTTGCAGGGACATGGATGAAGCTGGAAGCCATCATTCTCAGCTAACTAACACAGGAACAAAAAACCAAACACCACATGTTCTCACTCATAAGTGGGAGTTGAACAATGAGAACACATGGACACAGGGAGGGAAACATCACACACTGGGGCCTGTCAGGGGTTGGGGGACAAGTGGAGGGAGGGCATTACCACAAATACCTAATGCATGTGGGGCTTAAAACCTAGATGACAGGTTGATAGGTACAGCAAACCACCATGTCACATGTATAACTATGTATCAAACCTGCACATTCTGCACATGTATCCTGGAACTTAAAGTAGAATTTTTACAAAATATCCTTTCTCATCACTCCTATTTAACATACTATTAGAACATAGAGGCAGAACATAGAAAGTTCTGGCCAGGAAAATCAAGCAAGAGAAAGAAATAAAAGACATGCAAATACAAATAGAGGAAGCCAAACTATCTCTGTTTGGAGATGACATGATCCTATATCTAGAAAACCCCATGGTCTCAGCCCAAAAGCTTCTCAAGCTGATAAACAACTTCAGCAAAGTCTCAGGATACAAAATCAATGTACAAAAGTCACTAGCATTCTTATACACCAACAACAGTAAAGCCAAGAGCCAAATCAGGAGCAAACTCTCATTCACAATTGCCACAAAAAGAATAAAATACCTAGGAATACAGCTTATGAGGGAGGTAAAATATCTCTACAAGGAGAACTACCGACCACTGCTCAAAGAAATCAGAGATAACACAAACAAATGGAAAATCATTTCATGTTCATGGACAGGAAGAATCAATACCATTAAAATGGCCATGCTGCCCAAAGCAATTTACAGACTCAATGTTATTCTTATTAAACTACCTATTAAACTACCATTGACATTCTAAACAGAACTAGAGAAAACTATTTTAAAATTCATATCAAACCAACAAGGAGCCAGAATAGCAAAGGCAATCCAAAGCAAAAAGAACAAAGCTGGAGGCATCATGCTACTCAAACCTAAACTCTACTACAGGGCTGCAGTAACCAAAATAGCATGGTATTGGTACAAAAACAGACACATAGACCAAAGGAACAGAATACAGAAGCTAGAAATAAGACTGCACACCTGCAACTATCTGATCTTTGAGAAACCTGAGAAAAACAAGCAATGGGGAAAGCATTCCTTATTCAATAAATGGTGCTGGGATAACAGGCTACACATATGCAGAAGATTGAAACTGGACCCCTTCCTTACACCACATACAAAAATTAGCTCAAGATGGATTAAAGACTTAAATGTAAAACCCAAAACTATAAAATCCCAGAAAACAACCTAGGCAATACCATTCAGGACATATGCCCAGGCAAAGATTTCATGATGAAAATGCCAAAAGCAATTGCAACAAAATCAAAGATAGAAAAATGAAATCTAATTAAACTAAAGAGCTTCTGTGCAGCAAAAGAAACTATCAACAGACTAAACAGACAACCGAATGGGAGAAAATTTTTTGAAACTATGCATTTGACAAAAGCCTAATATCCAGCGTCTATAAGAACTTAAACAAATTTACAAGGAAAAAACCAAACAACCCCATTAAAAAGTGGGCAAAGGACATGAACAGACACTTTTCAAAAGAAGACATACGTCCAACCAAAAATCATATGAAAAAAAGCGGCCGGGCACGGTGGCTCATGCCTGTAATCCCAGCACTTTGGGAGGCCAAGGCGGGCGGATCGCGAGGTCAGGAGATCAAGACCATCCTGGCTAACACGGTGAAACCCCGTCTCCACTAAAAATACAAAAAATTAGCTGGGTGAGGTGGCGGGCGCCTGTAGTCCCAGCTACTCAGGAGGCTGAGGCAGGAGAATGGCGTGAACCCGGGGCGCGGAGCCTGCAGTGAGCAGAGATCACACCACTGCACTCCAGCCTGGGCGACAGCAAGACTCTGTCTCAAAAAAAAAAAGAAAAAGAAAAAAAGCTCAACATCATTGATCATTAGAGAAATGCAAAGCAAGACTACAATGAGATACCATCTTACACCAGTCAGAATGGTTGTTATTAAAATATCAGAATATAACAGATGCTGGCAAGGTTGTGGCATAAAAGGAATGCTTACACACCGTTGGTGGGAATGTAAATTATTTCAGCAATTGTGGAAGACAGTGTGGTGATTCCTCAAAGACCTAAAGACAAAAATACCATTCAACATAGCAATCCCATTACTGGGTATATACCCAAAGGAATATAAATCATTCTATTATAAAGACACATGCACGTGTATGTTCATTGCAGCATTATTCACAATAGCAAAGACATGGAATCAACCTAACTGCCCATCAATAATAGAATTAAGAAAATGTGGTACATATGCACCATGGAATACTATGTAGCCATAAGAAATAATGAGATAATATCCTTTGCAGAGATGTGGATGGAACTAAAGGCCATTATCGTTAGCAAACTAACACAGGAATAGAAAACCAAATAACACATGTTCTCACTTTTAAGTGGGAGCTAAATGATGAGAACACGTGGACATGTAGAGGGGAACAACAAACACTGGGGCCTTTCAGAAGGTGGAGGGTGGGAAGAAGGAGAGGATTAGGATAAATAACTAATGGGTACTAGGCTTAATACCTGGGTGATGAAATAATCTGTACAACAAATTCCTATGACATAAGTTTACCTATGTAACAAACCTACCCTTGTATACCCCTGAACTTAAAATAAAAGTTAAGAAAAGTACATATACAAAATGAACTGCTATTAAGCCATGAAAATGAATGAGATCTAGTCATTTGCAACAACATGGATGGAACTGGGGGTCATTATGTTAAGTTAAATGAGCCAGGCACAGAAAGACAAACTTTGTATGTTCTCACTTATTTGTGGGATCTAAAATCAATAGAGTTGTACCGTGGAGATAGGGAGTAAAAGGTTAGTTAGCAGAGGCTGGGAAAGGCAGTGGGGCTGGTGAGGGGATTTGATGATGTTTAATGGGTTTAAAATTATAGTCGGAAAGAATGAATAAGGCCTACTATTTGATAGCACGACAGGGTGACTATAGTCAATAATTAGTGTACATTTTTAAATATCTAAAAGAGTATAATTGGATTGTTTGTAACACAAAAGATAAATGGTTAAGGGGGTGGATACCCCATTCTCCATGATGTGATTATTATGCATCACACCTATATCAAAACATCTCATGTACCCCATAAATGTATATACCTACTATGTACCCACAAAAATTACAAATTAAAATTTTGTATAAAAAATATGATATAGCTGGTTGGTCATAAACACAGGTAAAACCACTTGGGTATGCCACTGGCATGTGAAGTAAGAGGCAGTCTTGTGAGACTGAGCACTTAACCTGTGAGATCTGACATTATCTCCAGATTGATAGTGTTAGAATTGAATTGAATTGATGTGTGTGCTGGTGTATGCTGGACAACTGATTGCTTGGTGTGTGGACAGAAATTCCTACACATCTGGTATCATAAATGTGTGTTAAGTGTGTGAGAGTAGAAAAAACACTGGGTTTTCCTATCTCTAATAGACCACTTAGCAGATTCTGGTAAGTTGAGATGTATAGGGAGAGTCTAAAGTAACGAATAAGAAACTAACAAAAAATGTAGTAAAAAATAGAATAAATTCTAACATTATAAAATATTCACTTAATGAAAAAGAAAGTAGACAAAAGGGAACAGAGGAACAAGAAAGGCACAACATATGCAGAAAAGAAAAAGTAAAATTGCAGACACAAATCCAACTATATTAATAATAATATTAAATGTGAATGGATTAAGCAATCCAATAAAATGTCAGAGATTGCAAGAATGGATGAAATAATATCCAACTGTATCTTATCTAAGGAGAGATACTTTAGGTTCAAAGATAAAAGTGGATAGAAAGTAAAACGATGGAAAAATGTATATCATATAAAGATAAACCATAAGAAAACTGGAGAGACTATACTATTATCAGCCAAAGTAGGCTTTAAACAAAACATGTTAATAGAGATGAAGAGGTACATTTTATAATGATACTCAATGGTGAGAGTCTGAATTGTTTTCTCTAAGACCTGTAACAGTACAAGGCTGTTTGCTTTCACAAATTTTATTAAACATTGTAATGGAAGTTCTAGCTACAGCAATTAGAAAAGAAATAGAAAGCATCCAAATTGGAAAGGAAGAAGTAAAACTATCTCTATATGCTAATGACATGAACTTATATGTGGAAAATCCTAAAGAATACACACACCTAAAAAAAATAGGTAAAGCTAATAAATGAATTCAGCAAAGTTCCAGGATACAAAATCAACACACAAAACCACGCTACATCTACACTAGCAATAACAAAACTAAATGAAGAAAACAATTCCATTTACAATAGCATCAAAAAGAAGAAAATATTTAGGAATAAATTTAACAAAGGAGGTGCAAGGCTTGTACACTGAAAACTACAAAACATTATTGAAATAAATTAAAGACCTAAATAAAAAGGCATTCCATGTTTATAGACTGAAAGACTTACTATTAAGATGTCAATACTACCCAAAATGACTTACAGATTCAATGCAATCCCTATCAAAATTCAAATGACCCATTTTGTAGAAATTGAAACGTTAATCCTAAAATTAATAATGAATTTCAAGGCCCAAATAGCCAAAACAATCCTGATAAAGAAAAACTAAGCAGGAGGACTCACAGCCCCTGATTTAAAAACTTACTACAAAACTACAGCAATCAAAACTGGCATAACAATAGATACATAGAGCAATAAAATAGAATTGAGAATCCAGCAATAAACCCTTACATTTGTGGACAACTGATTCTTGACAAGGGTGCCAAGACAATTTAATGGAGAATGAAAGGTCTTTTCAACAACTGGTTCTGGGACAACTAAATAACCACAGGCAAAAGAGTAAAGTCACCTTCTTTCCTTATATCATACATGAAAATTAACTGAAATAGATCAAATATTACCTGATTCCATTTATACCAAATGTTCAGAATAGCCAAATTCATAAAGATAGCAAATTAGTAGGTTAAGAGTAATTTACATTGGTATACTCTGCCTGCCCTCACTCCAAGAATGGTTTAAAATAAGTTGTATCCTGTAATGCAGTTCACAGAAATAGGAACCATTGTGAATTACACTCAGACTTACCATGAGAAAGAGATAGTACATAACAGTATACAATGGAACATTTCAGTAAAATCATGACAATATGACTAGTTTTGTCTTCATATATTAATGGGCTGAATTGTGTCCCTGCCTAAAATTCCTGTTGAAGCCCTAACTCCTAGTACCTCAGAATGTGACTATATTTGGAAATAGGGCCTTTAAAGAGGCAATTTAGTTAAAATGAAGCCTTTTAGGATGGGCCCTAATCCAATCTGACTGGTGTCCTTATATGAAGAGAAAATTTGGATATACAAAGAAAAACCAGAGTCACATACACAGAGGAAAGATCCTGTAAGGACAACCAAGAAGGTGGGTACCTGCAAGCCAAAGAGAGATCTCAGAAGACACTAAGCCTGTCAACACCTTAATATTGGACTTCTAGCCTCCAGAACTATGAGAAAATAAATTTCTGCTGTTAAAGCCACCCAGTCTGTGTTAAAGCCATCAGTTGCCATCTTACTTGGAACCTGGAAATAAAGGCATCCTGGTCCCTTGTGATGACATCTGTCCCTAAGAACATCTGCTAAGTGGTCAAGAGCCAATTATGTTGGGTAAGGTATAATAACTCTTACTGACTTGTGGAATGAAACAGAACTGTACTACTGCCATTGCACGATATGGTATAACATTAGCATTGCTGGTAGGGTTCTATTACCTTATGTTAATAAGTCATATAATACAAATAATGGTAATTATATGTATTGTGAAATTTAATTAAAGCCTCCTCAGGATCTGATATCAGTGAAAAATTATTGGCTTGAGGAACTAGATCTAGTTAACCACCAGCTAATTAATATGCTAAATAACTATAGGTAAGTTTATCATAAAGCACAAGTATCATTAGACCAAGGGAAGAAGCAATCAAATTACTACAAAAATATGAAGAAAATATGAAGATGTATACAATGGCTTTATCGGTGAATTAATTGTTTCTTCAAGTCTATATCTTGCACCAGCTCCTCCAAATGTTGGACATTCTCATGCTAATATTATTAATATATCTATTATAAAATACAGTAGTTTTCCTTTAAGAGAGCCTGAGCCTAGGGCCAGGAAGGTAGACTGTACAGGAAACAGTTGACTCAGTAGGTCTGAGTTGCTCAAACTTGTACATTTTCAGAAGGGTCTATTGTCATGAATGGTCCTTGTCCAGCTACTGGAAATTGAGGTCTTGGAATGTTCTAACTAATAAGATTGTTTTGCATACTTGGAACTTTTACCCACAGTGTACCAATTTGTCTACATAGTCTGTGAGGGCCACTTCTTGCCCAGCATGTGGAAGACAGAGCACAGACCAGTCTGATGTAGCCCACACCTGCTTTTGCTCCTCCACCAGCTTAACACAAAACGCAGAAACTTTTGGGAGCTCTATGGTCCCACCATTGCCTGAGACACCAAAGTACCTCCCCTGGGTAATGTAAAGCAAGCACAAATCTCACCACTACCACCACAGCTGGTGCTCTCTTGCAATCGCTATCTCTTGGCTGGAGGCCAACCAATACAGTCCACTACAGCATCTCCAGGTAGAATAACAGTGTCTAGAAAGGAAAAAACTTGTGTGTGACCTCAGCTGTGACCACTGCCTGCAGCATCCTGGCTAACCAGGAGGTCCTGAGTCTGTCCACATGACCAGATAATTACTACTGCAACTGGCATTACAGAAAGCTGTCATACTAAGGCTATTTATAACCAAGGAAATTCAAAGAGTCGACATCACTCCCCTGTCACCCCCATCAGTGCTGGTGTTGGTACCCACTGCTGGGAGACTTGAAGACAGGCCATATCACTGGATCCCCAGCAGACACTCCCCAGCAACAGCCTGGAATGTGCCAGCTCCACTGGGCAACTAGACCCAGAGAAGCGGCAGCATTCAGAGTAGTCTGGCTCTCAGGGACTCCTACTCCTAGGGGAAGTGGCAGCGTACCACATCAAAGTAGCACCCTTGTAGGACAAAAAAAAAAAAAATCCAGATGGAAGGCCTTGCATTCCAGAAATTTCTACTTGTGGGAAGTTTCCTTCAGCAGAGGTACAGGTAAGGTGCTGGGCTCAGCAGGGAAAGTCTGCGGTTCTACCTTAACAGTCAGGCAGCCCTGGTGCTTGTGAAGGGTCTTGGAGAAGGGGACTTCTTTTCCCACTCATCCACCATTGAAGACAAAGCATGGGCTTCCACCATGGGAGCTCAGCATGGGTGCATCTGTAGACAGCTTTTCTGGAACACTTCAAGGTGACTGTATCCCCACAGAAGTAGTGCCCTCCAGGTTCAGGCTTACATGAGGAGTAGAGTCACAATACTTCTCTACTTGGACTATCAATATTCTTTCAGATAAAAAGAGGTATCTGTCTGATCTGAATAGCTGAAACACTGAGTCAGGAATGTGACTGGCAATGGGATTGCTTTCCGGCTAGCCTGGCAGGGGAGCTGACATGGCTCCCACCCTTCCCCCTGATAAGACCTTAGTGCATTACACTGAGAGCTCCTCCAGCCACTGTTTTCAAGGCTGGGACCTCTTCCCACCATGGGGTATTCTATTTATCCACCTGTTTTAGACACAGCCAGTTTCTATCTGGGGACACCCCCTCTACTGACTTGAAGCGTAAACTATTCAACCCAATAAATAAAATACAGAAGAAAAATAAATACATAAAAAAGTGCAGACTACAGGGGAAAGAGACAAGTTTCAAAAGATACCTCTGCCACTCCAACCCCACAGGAAACAGTGAACTTAATCATATACCAAGCACACTGCTACTAAAACAAGCATCTGGGGAAGTTAACATACAAAGACTCTCTATAACCAAGGAACTCATACAGAGTCTTCAGCCTTGAAAGCACCGAGAACTGAATAGGCTACAATAAACTGTAAACATTAAACTCAAATCCTTAAAGGGGGAAAGAAATTTTTAAAACACAGTTTAATAAAAAATCAATTCAAGAATAATTAGAAAAAATAGTCCTCCCTCTCCCTCTCGTCTCCCTCTTTCTACGGTCTCCCTCTCCCTCTCGTCTCCCTCTTTCTATGGTCACCCTCTCTTGCAGAGCCTGGACTGTGCCGCCATGATCTCAGCTCGCTGCAACCTCCCTGCCTCGGGCTCCAGTGATTCTCCTGCCTCGGCCTGCCGAGTGCCTGGGATTCCAGGCACGCACCGCCACTCCTGACTGGTTTTTGTATTTTTGGTGGAGACGGGGTTTCGCTGTGTTGACCGGGCTGGTCTCCAGCTCCTGGCCTCAGGTGATCTGCCCGCCTCGGCCTCCCGAGGTGCTGGGATTGCAGACGGAGTCTCGCTCACTCAATGCTCAATGTTGCCCAGGCTGGAGTGCAGTGGCGTGATCTCGGCTCGCTACAACCTCCACCTCCCAGCCGCCTGCCTTGGCCTCCCAAGGTGCTAGGATTACAGCCTCTGCCTGTCGGACACCCCGTCTAGGAAGTGAGGAGCGTCTCTGCCTGGCCACCCATCGTCTGGGACGTGAGAAGCCCCTCTGCCCGGCCGTCCCATCTGAGAGGTGAGGAGCGCTTCTGCCAGGCTGCCACCCTGTCTAGGAAGTGAGGAGCGTCTCTGCCTGGCTGCCCATCATCTGGGATGTGAGGAGTGCCTCTGCCCAGCCGCCCCGTCTGGGAAGTGAGGAGTGCCTCTGCCCGGCTGCCCCGTCTGGGAGGAAGTGAGGAGCACCTCTGCCCGGCTGCCCCGAATGGGAAGTGAGGAGCGCCTCTGCCTGGCCGCCCCGTCTGGGAGGAAGTGAGGAGCGCCTCTGCCTGGCTGCCTCGTCTGGGAGGAAGTGAGGAGCGCCTCTGCCTGGCTGCCCCGAATGGGAAGTGAGGAGCGCCTCTGCCTGGCCACCCCCTCTGGGAAGTGAGGAGTGTCTCTACCCGGCCGCCCTGCCTGGGAAGTGAGGGGCGCATCTGCCCGGCCGCCCTTCATCTGGCAGGTGGGGAGCGCCTCTGCCCGGCCGCCCCATCTGGGAAGTGGGTGCCTCTGCCCGGCCTCCCCGTCCGGGAGGTGAGGGGCGTCTCTGCCCGGCCGCCCTGTCTGGGAGGTGAGGGGCGCCTCTGCCCGGCCACCCTGCCTGGGAGGTGAGGGGCGCCTCTGCCTGGCTGCCCTTCATCTGGGAGGTGGGGAGTGCCTCTGCCCAGCCACCCCATCTGGGAGGTGGGGAGCACCTCTGCCCAGCCGCCCCGTCTGGGAAGTGGGTGCCTCTGCCCAGCCGCCCTTCATCTGGGAGGTGGGGAGCACCTCTGCCCGGCCACCGCGTCGGGGAAGTGGGTGCCTCTGCCTGGCTGCCCCGTCTGGGAGGTGAGGGGCATCTCTGCCCAGCCGCCCCATCTGGGATGTGAGGAGCGCCTCTGACCAGTAGCCCCGTCTGGGATGTGAGGAGCGCCTCTGCCCGGCCGCCCCATCTGGGAAGTGGGGGGCACCTCTGCCCGGCCGCTCTTCATCTGGGAAGTGGGGAGCGCCTCTGCCCGGCCGTCCCGTCTGGGAGGTGAGGAGCGCCTCTGCCCGGCTGCCCCATCTGGGATGTGAGGAGCACCTCTGCCTGGCCGCCCCGTCTGGGAAGTGGGGGGCGCCTCTGCCGGGCTGCCCCGTCTGGGAGGTGGGGAGCACCTCTGCCTGGCCACCCATCATCTGGGATGTGGGGAGCGCCTTTGCCCAGCTGCCACCCCATCTGGGAGGTGAGGAGCACCTCTGCCTGGCCGCCACCCCATCTGGGAAGTGAGGTGCACCTCTGCCCGGCTGCCCCGTCTGGGAAGTGAGGAGCGCCTCTGCCCGGCCGCCCCGTCTGGGAAGTGAGGAGCTCCTCTGCCCGGCCGCTCCGTCTGGGAAGTGAGGAGCGCCTCTGCCAGGCCGCCCCATCTGGGAAGTGTGCCCATCAGCTCCGAAGAGATAGTGACCATCGAGAACGGGCCATGATGATGATGGCGGTTTTGTTGAAAAGAAAAGGGGGAAATGTGGGGAAAAGAAAGAGAGATCAGATTGTTACTGTGTCTGTGTAGAAAGAAGTGGACGTAGGAGACTCCATTTTGTTCTGTACTAAGAAAAATTCTTCTGCCTTGGGATGCTGTTAAACTATAACCTTACCCCCAACCCCCTGCTCTCTGAAACATGTGCTGTGTCAACTCAGGGTTAAATGGATTAAGGGCGGTGAAAGATGTGCTTTGTTAAACAGATGCTTGAAGACAGCATGCTCATTAAGAGTCATCACCACTCCCTAATCTCAAGTACCCAGGGACACAAACAGGGCCGAAGGCCGCAGGGACCTCTGCCTAGGAAAACCAGAGACCTTTGTTCTCGTGTTTATCTGCTGACCTTCTCTCCACTATTATCCTATGACCCTGCCACATCCCCCTCTCTGAGAAACACCCAAGAATGATCAATAAATACTTAAAAAAAAAAAGAAAAAGAAAAAGAAAAAATAGTCTAGCCAAATGAGAAGGAACCAAAAAAGTAATTTTGGCAATGTGGCAAAATAGGGTTCTATAACACCCTCAAAAATTCACACTAACTCTCCAAGAATGGATCCAAACCAAGAGAAATCATTGAAAAACCAGATAAAAAATTCAAAAGGTTGATTGTTAAGCTACTAAAGGAGATACGAAAGAAATGTAAAAACCAACCTGAAGAAATGTTAAAAAAAATCAGAATATGAATGAAAAATTTTCTAAAAGATGGATATTTTAAAGAAAAAACAATCAGAACTTTTGCAAATGAATTACACATTTAGGGAATTACAAAATGTAGTGGAAAGTTTTAAGAATACACTAGACCTGGTAGAAGAATGAATTTCACAGTTCAAAGACAAGGCTTTTGAATTAACTCAGACAATTTTTTTAAATATCAAAATAAATGAACAAAGTCTCCAAAAAACATGGGATTGTGTAAAAGGGCTAAATCTAAAAAGGAATGGTGTTCCTGAGGGAGAAGAGAAAGCAAAAAGTTTGGAAAACTTATTTTAGGGAATAATCGAGGAAAAGCTCCCGGACCTTGATAGAGATTTAGATACCCAAATACAAGAAGCCTGAGAGAAATCCTGAGAGACTCATTGCAAAAAGGGTATCACCAAGGCAAACAGTCATTAGGCTTTCTAAACTCAAAGAGAAGTGAGATAAAAGCATCAGGTAACCTAAGAAGGAAAACCTATCAGACTAACAGCAGGCTTCTAAGCAGAAACTTTACAAGCCAGAAGGGAATGGGGCCCTATCTTTAGCCTCCTTAAACAGAATGACTGTCAGTCAAGAATTTGGTATCCAGCAAAACTAAGTTTCATACACGGAAGATAAATAGTCTTTTTCTGACAAATGCTGAGAGAATTTATCACTACCAGACCAGCTCTACAAGAAATGCTAAAATTAGTTCTAAATCTTGAAACAAAAGATCAATATCCAACAGAATAGAACCTCTTGAAAGCATAAAACTCAGAGGGCCTATGAAACAATAACACAATGAAGAAAACAAAGTATAGGTATCAACTAATATGATGAATAGAACAGCACCTCACACTCCAACATTAACCTTGAATATAAATGGCCTAAATGCTCCACTTAAAAGATAACAGATTGGCAGAATAGAGTTTAAAAATCACAAACCAAATGTATGCTATCTTCAAGAGACTCGCCTAATATGTAAGGACTCATATAGACTCAAGGTACAAGGGATAGAATATATACTAAATGCAAATGGAAACCAAAAGAGAGCAGGAGTATCTATTCTTGTATCAGATAAAACAAACTTTAAAGCAACAACAATAAAAAAATACAAAGAAAGTCATGATGAAATGATAAAAGGATCAATCCCACAAAAAAAAATTACAATCCTAAATATACATGCACCTAACTCTGGAGATCCTAGATTCATAAAACAATTACTACTAGTCCTAAGAAAAAACATAGACAGCAACACAATAATAGTGGGGAACTTCAGCACTCCACTGACAGCACTGGACAGATCCTCAAGGCAGAAAGTCAACAAAGAAACACTGAATTTAAGCTGCACTCCAGAACAAATGGACCTAACAGATATTTACAGAACTTCTACCCAAGAACAACAGAATATACTTTCTTTTCATCAGCACATAAAACATTGTCCAAAATAGAGCATATAATAGGCCACAAGTCTCAAAACATTTTAATAAATTGAAATCATACCCAGTAACTTTTCAGAACACAGTGGAATAAAACTAGCAATCCACTCTGAAAGGAACCCTCAAAACTATACAAATACATGAAAATTAAACAATCTGCTCCTGACTGACTTTTGGGTTAACAATGGAATCAAGATGGAAATTTAAACATTATTTAAAATGATTAATAATAATGACACAGGTTATCAAAATCCCTGAGTTACAGCAAAAGCAGTGCTAAAAGGAAAGTCTATAGTACTAAATGCCTACATCAAAAAATCTGAAACATCACAAATTGACAACCTAAGGTCACACCTCAAGGAACTAGAAAAACAATAATGAACCAAACTAAAAGCCAGCAGAAGAAAAGAAATAACAAAGATCAGAACACAACTAATGACACTGAAACAAAAATAAAATGAAATCAAAAAGATCAACAAAACGAAAACTTGATTATTTGGAAAGATTAAAAAAGTTGATAGAGCATTAGGTAGATTAACCAAGAAAAGAAGAGAGAAGATTCAAATAAGCTCAATTAGAAATGAAAATGGAGACATTAAAACTGACACCAAAGAAATACAAAAGATCATTTGAAACTACTGTGAACACCTCTATGCACACAAACTAGAAAATCTAGAGGAAATGAATAAATTCCTTGAAACATATGGCCTTCCTAGATTAAATCAGGAAGAAATATATACCCTGAACGACCATTAACAAGCAGCGAGACTGAATCAGTAAGTTAAAAATTGCCAAAAATAAAGCCCAGTTCCAGATGATTCACAGCTGAATTATACCAGACATTCAAAGAAGAATTGGTACCAATCCTACTGAAACTATTACAAAAGATTAACAGGGAAACTTCCCTAACTCATTTGATGAAACCAGTATCACCCTGATACAAAAACCAGTAAAGAACATAAAAACAACAAAAAAAATGACAGACCAATATCCCTGATGGACACAGATGCAAACAACCTCACAAAAATACTAGCAAACTGAATCCAACAGCACCTCAAAAAAGATAATACGCTATGGTAAAGTGGGTTTCATCCTAGGGATGCAGGAATGGTTTAACACAAGTCAGTCAATAAATGTGATACATCACATAAACAGAATTAAAACAAAAACCATATGATCATCTTAATAGATTCAGAGAAAGCATTCAATAAATTCCAGCATAACTTTAATATAAAAATCCTTAACAAACTAAGTATAGAAGGGACATACCTCAAAATTATAAAAGCCATATATGACAAACCCACAGACTTTATCATAGTAAATCAGGAAAAGTTGAAAGCATTCCCGCTGAGAACTGGAACAAGTCAATGATGGCCACTTTCACTACTTCTATTTAACATAGTACTGGAAGTCATAGCCAGAGCAATCAGGCAAGAGAAAGAAATAAAGGTTATTCAAATTGGAAAAGAAGGAGTGAAAATATTCCTGTTTGCCAATGATAGGATTTTATATGTAGAAATCCCTAAAGACTCCTCCAAAAGACAACTATATTTGATAAATGAATTCAGTAGTCTCAAGTTACAAAATCAGTATACACAAATCAGTAGCCCTGCTATAACCAATGACCAAGCTGAGAAGGAAATCAGGGACTCAATCCCTGTTACAATAGCTACAAAAAAAAAAAAAAAAAAAAAAAAAAAAAAAAAACACCTAGGAATATACTTAACCAATGGGGTAAAAGAGCTCTACAATGACAACTACAAAAGTACTAAAAGAAATCGTAGAGGACACAAATGAAAACACATCCCATGCTCATGGATTGAAAGAATCAATATAGCGGAAATGAGAATACAGCTCAAAGCAATCTACAGATTCGATGTAATTCTTATCAAAATACCAACATTATTTTTTAGAGATTTAAAAAGTTAATCCTAAAATTCATAGGGAACCACAAGAGTACAAACAGCCAAAGCAGTCCTAAGCAAAAATAGCCAATCTGGAGCCATAACATTACCTGACTTCAAATTATACTACAAGACTACAGTTACCAAGACATCACAGTACTGGCATAAAAGTAGATACACAAATGGAATAGAATAGAGAACCCAGAAATAAAGCCTAACACCTACAACCTACTGATCTCCAACAAAGCATACAAAAATATAAATTGAGAAAAAGACACTCTATTTAATAAATCATGCTGGGTAAACTGGATATCCACATGTAGAAGAATGACACTGGATCCCTATATCTCACCTTTTATAAAAATCAACTCAAGATGGATCAAATACTTAAATTTAAGACATGAAAACATTAAAATTCTAGTAGAAAAACTATGAAAAATTCTTCTGGACATTGGCCCAGGCAAATAATTTATGAATATGTGCCGAGACCAGCTCGGTCGGGGAGACCCTAACCCAGCGGCGCTACAGGAATTAAAGACACACACACAGAAATACAGATTGTGGAGTGGGAAATCAGGGGTCTCACAGCCTTCAGAGCTGAGAGCCTTGAACAGAGATTTACCCACATATTTATTGACAGCAAGCCAGTGATAAGCATTGTTTCTATAGATTAACTATAAGTATTCCTTATGGGAAATAAAGGGATGGGCCGAGGTAAAGGGATGGGCTCTGGCTAGTTATCTGCAGCATGAACATGTCCTTAAGGCACAGATAGCTCATGCTATTGTTTGTGGTTTAAGAATGCCTTAAGTGGTTTTCCGCCCTGGGTGGGCCAGCTGTTCCTTGCCCTCATTCCGGTAAACCGACAGCCTTCCAGCGTGGGCGTCAGGCTATCACAAGCATGTGACAGTGCTGCAGAGATTTTGTTTATGACCAGTTTAGGGGCCAGTTTATGGCCAGATTTTGGGGCCTGTTCCCAACTTGTCCCCCTTCTTTGTTTTGCAAAGCGATAAAAGCAAAGGCAGCTTTGTCACGGTGAGCTACTTCTCACAGGAGTCAAGATCAGCATCTGCAGACTATATAAAGACAAACAACACAGATTAAAAGCACAATCATCATTGAAATCACAGAGCTTCTAAGTGTTTTTATCCATTTTAATGGGTTACTAGCTGCTAATCTGTCTGCAGCTCCTTCGAGCACTCCAGTTCTGGCATTAAGGTCAGGTGTGCCTGGGATGCTTTAAATATATATATATATTTTGCAATATCCAAAGACAAGTTTGCAGAGTGTCCTTCTAGATGCTTTTTTATTCTTTCCCAAATTTTGATCTTATTAAGAGCTATTAACAGTTGCCACAAATCCTTATGTTTAGCTCCTACAATGGGCCATATCATTTGAGGTTGAGGTGCCCCTATACTGCCATGGTTCCAGATAATAGGAACTCTTGCCATACGTCTTACCATTTGTACCATCTGACCATTCTGTTCAGACCAGTTGAACACAGTGTGGCTGTGACATGCAGACTAAGAGGTGCAATTCAAGCTAAACATCCCCTTAGGGGACCAATCAATAATGATTCCATAGGATTCGTTGTGCAGCACCTCTGCCTGTTCTGCAATGCAACCTTCCTAAAAAAGTACATTCATTTTTTCTGGCCAGGTTCAATTTTGTTTACAAATAGATTTTTGAGGGTGGTATGCCTCAATTATAGAAGCAGACTTATTATGGTAAATATTGAGACCAGAAAGCATGTGTAACTGTGTCATAAAGTGATTATATCCAGGCATTATTGCCAGCCAAAATTGACAAATATGCCCAATAAGTATAACTGATCTCTGTGTCAGCCCTTGTTGAAGGAATACTCACGGCAATGGTGATCACTGCTATCATAGCTACCATTAAATTACTCATTGTGACTGGTTGTCCCGCTTTCCTCAGGTTTTCTCCCACCATCTGTGACAGCTTCTTGATCTGTTCCCAGGTGGATGGCTGTGTTCGATGGGTGTTGCTCATGACAGTTGGGATCCTCCTGAGCATCAGTCTTGACATGACTGCAACTGGGGGGTACTCGGGATCCTCCCAGAATCTCTTCCTCAGCATCTGGTTCATGATAAGGTTTCAGGTGTCCTGAGGGTATCCAAATCAGTGTTGATTTTGGCCTGGAGAAACACAAGCATAACCTCTACCCCAAGTTATTATTTTACCGATTTCTCAACTTTTTGGTATTGGATATTTCCACCAAACCAGTTGTTCTGCTTCTGTCTTTGCAGCTGGTTTCTGTAGATGCTGTTCAGCTGCTGATAACATCTGGCTTTTAGGAAGGCTCAAAAAATTTAAAGCTGGGCCCCGAGCCCTTGGGGCTGTGCAGATGGTAGGGATGCCAACCCTACTGAGGAGCAGATGGCAGAAACAGAGAGAAACGACGAGGAGCAGTTCGAGTGCCAGGAACTGCTCGAGTGCTGGGTGCAGGTGGGAGCCCCCGAGGAGGAGGAGGAGGACCCGGGCCTGGTGGCTGAGGCCGAGGCTGTGGCTGCTGGCTGGATGCTCGATTTCCTCTGCCTCTCTCTTTGCTGAGCTTTCCGCGACGGCCGCCCTGAGGACTTCTGCCGGACCCGCAACAGCGCAGAGGCTATTATTCATGGACTATCCAGTCTAACAGCTTACCAGTTGAGAACAATATGCATATGTCAGTTTTTGACAAGCATTGCAGCAGGAAAAACCCTTGATGTACAGTTTGAAAATGATGAACGAATTACACCCTTGGAATCAGCCCTGATGATTTGGGGTTCAATTGAAAAGGAACATGACAAACTTCATGAAGAAATATAGAATTTAATTAAAATTCAGGCTATAGCTGTTTGTATGGAAAATGACAACTTTACAGAAGCAGAAGAAGTCTTTGAAAGAATATTTGGTGATCCAAATTCTTATATGCCTCTCAAAAGCAAATTGCTTATGATAATCTCTCAGAAAGATACATTTCATTCCTTTTTTCAACACTTCAGCTACAATCACATGATGGAGAAAATTAAGAGTTATGTGAATTATGTGCTAAGTGAAAAATCATCAACCTTTCTAATGAAGGCAGCAGCAAAAGTAGTAGAAAGTAAAAGAACAAGAACAATAATTTCTCAAGATAAACCTAATGGTAATGATGTTGAAATGGAAACTGAAGCTAATTTGGATACAAGAAAAAGGTCTCACAAGAATCTTTTCTTATCTAAGTTGCAACATGGAACCCAGCAACAAGACCTTAATAAGAAAGAAAGGAGAGTAGGAACTCTTCAAAGTACAAAAAAGAAAAAAGAAAGCAGAAGAGCCACTGAAAGCAGAATACCTATTTCAAAGAGTCAACTGGTAACTCCTGAAAAACATCAAGCTAAAAAAAAACAAGCATGGCTTTGGGAAGAAGACAAGAATTTGAGATCTGGCGTGAGGAAACATGGAGAGGGAAACTGGTCTAAAATACTATTGCATTATAAATTCAACAACCGGACAAGTGTCATATTAAAAGACAGATGGAGGACCATGAAGAAACTAAAACTGATTTGCTCAGACAGTGAAGACTGATTGTGTTTGTAAAAGCTTGATGAAAGGACAGTTAAGTATTTTGATCACTGCATTTTGTTTGAAACTTGTGTCATTGATGTATTTTAAAACTTTTGTTTAAACCATTACAGTATTTTTCTGTGACCATCAATTAATATGTGGGTTTGTGCTATAAGAGTTAAAGCATATGCTATCATTGTATTCTTTAAGAACTTTATTTTGATAAAATGTAAATTTGTTGAACCCTGCCACATTTAGTATCCCCACCACCAAATCCTGTTTCAATGAAAAAATTAAAACCTGATACAAAAAAAAAAATTTTCAGTTAACCTATTTTGTGTCTGTAGGCTGACCTCAACCCTGTAACATAACCCATTAAAATGAATTTTTTTTTTAAGACAGAGTTTCTCTCTGTCGCCCAGGCTGGAGTGCAATGGCGCAATTTCAGCTCACTGCAACCTCTGCCTCCCGGGTTCAAGTGATTCTCCTGCCTCAGCCTCCTGAGTAGCTGGGATTACAGGCACACACCACCACGCCCAGCTAATTTTTGTATTTTTAGTAGAGGCGGGGTTTCACCATGCTGGTCAGGATGGTCTCGAACTCCTGACTTCATGATCCACCCACCTCAGCCTCCCAAAGTGCTGAGATTACAGACGTGAGCCACTGAGTCCTGCCTAAAATGAATTTTCTAGATGATTGAATAACAGTAGTCCTTTGATAGGAGATAATGATTTGGTTTATGGCCTTAATATACTACATAATTATTTAAGATGTTTATTAATAGAATGATAAATGTACAGAGTG
The DNA here is from genome assembly GCF_000001405.40 of Homo sapiens. Taxonomy (NCBI): domain Eukaryota; kingdom Metazoa; phylum Chordata; class Mammalia; order Primates; family Hominidae; genus Homo; species Homo sapiens. Next base: position 75,325,988 of record NC_000023.11, on the reverse strand, counting down.
ACCTATAAGCATGACATACTTTTGCTTTCAGTAGTTTCATGTAAAGAAAAAAATTTGAAAATAGTAATACCTGAGGACCCATGGGAATAATAGACACTGGGGAGGTAGGTTGGGGAGCGGGAGCAAGAGCTGAAAAACTACCTACTGGGGACTCTGCTCACTACCTGGGTGACAGGATCATCCATACCCCAAACCTCAACATCACACAGTATACCCAGCTAACAGACCTGCCCATGTGTTCCCTGAATCTAAAATAAAAATCAAAAATTTTTTTAAAAAAGAAAAAGACAATAGTATTACCCATGGGACAAAATTTGTATTATTAGCAAGAATCATTTTGTGTCTCATTTAGAAACAATTTGACTTTTGCTCCAGTGTTTAAACTTTGACAAAAATGGTTTTGAATAGATCTTTATAACCTGATGCCATAAATACAAGATTCTCTGATACCTTCATTTAACATATCAATATTGGGCCTAAAACAGTATTCTGTAAAGCTTAAATTGGTATTAACTATGATCATCTTCATGTCTGTGATAGATAATAAACAAGGTCATACATACCTTACTAAACAATTTTGGTTTTTCACCAACATTTTATTCTTTAAAAGATTTAGACTAACAGAATTATTTAGGATTTCGAGTCATGTGCTTTATTTAGCAAGTGAGTAAAAATATTGGAAGATTGAAGTATTTGCATAAAAAATCAAATGGTAGTGTTTTGTAATCTCTATTGTATTTCCTATTAAGGTTTCATATATTACTTTCCCATTGTTCCTGAATTTGTTATCCTGTATATAAACAGAAACATGGATGAGTTAAAAAAAAAAAAAAAAAAAAAAAAAGTTTAAAGATAATAATGTTAGATTCAATTACATATGGGCTGTCCTGTAATCCCTGTTTCTCCCTCTTTTTTGTTTTTGTCATCAGTTGTTCAACTGTATGAAATCATAACTGAGCATTGCAATAAATCACTTCCCTATAAATTTATAGGTATAGAAGTTATAATTGGTTGAATAGTCCCAGGTTGTTCATCAGGCCCTTCACAAGGCAAAATATAACTACTTGGATATACTTCAGGGGCTTTACCAACTCCAACTATGTTAAATTGAGTGGGTTGAACTGGCCAAGTGGATGGCCAGTGCTGTAGAGAAATAATTGAAATGTCCGCTCCTGTATCTACAAAACCTTTAAATTTCTTTCCCTGAATAGTTATTTCACAGGTAGGATGTTTATCAGTAATTTGATTCACCCAGTAAGCTGCTTTGCCTTGTTTAGTTGTGCTTCCAAATCCTCCTGTTAGTTTAATTTCACTTTTCCCCGTTTCCATATACGGCACAATCAGGAGCTGTGCTATACGCTCTCCTGGCTCTGCTTTACAGGGAACAGAAGTAGATATAACAATTTGAATTTCCCCATTGTAATCTGAATCAATGACTCCTGTTTGTATTTGTACCCCTTTTAAATTTAAACTAGACCTTCCTAAAAGTAATCTTATCGTCCCCGCTAGCAAGGGTCCACAGACCCCTGTTGGAACTTTTTGTGGGAGTTCCCCAGGCAGAAGGCTCACAGTTTTTGTGCAGCAAAAATCTACTGCAGCACTACTGGCTGTGGTGGGGGACAGACATTGTACAGACGTGAGGGAATGGCCTGAGCCAGAAATGCCTCGGTTTGGAACGGGGCCAGGGACGGGCCCCTCATGGGTTTCCCAAATTTAAAAGGAAGAGGCTCAAATGTAGCTATAATATTTCTCTGTTGATCTGGGGGGTGTATTCTAACAGGGAACTGCCAAGCCTCTAAATCACCCTCTCATCTAGCTCGCTGAATTCCTGCCTGAATAGAACTGAGAGCGGTCGCTTGAGGCTCTGCTCGAACAGTCACTGGGGCAACTACTTTTCACCCAGTATCCTCTGGAAAAGAAAGATCTGGAGGGCCAGGCCACTCTTTTTCTTCAAAATAAGGAGGGGGTACAGAAGGGTAGGGATGAACCTCTCCCTCCTTTGCCGCTATAGCTTTAGCTGGCAAACAAACCTGCTCTGTCACATCTTCTGTTACTCATTACACTTTCCTTCTTCCTCATCATTAGTGTGAAAAGGTTCCAAGGTGGAAAGAACCAGAGCTCACACTTGTCCCATTGTTACCTTGATGCTTCCAAGCTCACTTTCTTACTCACCGCGGGGATTGCTTTAAGAGTACTCATGTGTCCTCCAGCTTAGTTCCACATTCTCCAACTGTCGCTCTGGCAACCCTTCGACCTGGGTTCAAGCCCCATGTATGGGCACCACTTGCCAAGACCAGCTCGGTCAGGGAGACCCTAACCCAGCGGCACTAAAGGAATTAAAGACACACATACAGAAATATAGATTGTGGAGTGGGAAATCAGGGGTCTCACAGCCTTCAGAGCTCAGAGCCTTGAACAGAGATTTACCAACATATTTATTGACAGCAAGCCAGTGATAAGCATTGTTTCTATAGATTATAAGTTAACTAAAAGTATTCCTTATGGGAAATAAAGGGATGGGCCGAGGTAAAGGGATGGGCTCTGGCTAGTTATCTGCAGCATGAACATGTCCTTAAGGCACAGATAGCTCATGCTATTGTTTGTGGTTTAAGAATGCCTTAAGTGGTTTTCTGCCCTGGGTGGGCCAGGTGTTCCTTGCCCTCATTCCGGTAAACCAACAACCTTCTAGCGTGGGTGTCAAGGTCACCATGAGCATGTCACAGTGCTACAGAGATTTTGTTTATGGCCAGTTTTGGCGCCAGTTCATAGCCAGATTTTGGGGCCTGTTCCCAACAAATATGACCTCAAAAGCAAATGCAACAAAAACAAAAATAAATAAATGGGACCTAATTAAACTAAAAAGTTTCTGCACAGCAAAAGTAATAATCACAGTAAACAGATAATGAATAAAATGAAAGAAAATATTTGCAAACTATGCATCCAACAAAGGTCCAATATCTAGAATATACAAGGAACTCAAACAAATCAGCAAAAAAAAAAAGTCCCATCAATAAGTGGGCAAATGACATGAACAGACATTTCTCAAAAGAAGATATACAAAATACAAATGGCCAAAAAACATGAAAAAATACTCAACATCACTAATCATCAGGAAAATGCAAATTAAAACCACAATCTGATACCACCTTACCCCTACAAGAAAGGCCATTATTAAAAAGTTAAAAAATAAGAGATGTTGATGTGGATGTGGTGAAGAGGGAATGCTTAAACACTGTTGGTGACAATGTAAATTAGTACAACCTGTATGGAAAATAGTATGGATAATTCTTAAAGAACTAAAAGTAGTAGATCTACCATTCAATGAAGTGATCCCACTACTGCATATCTACCCAAAGAAAAAGAAGTAATTATATCAAAAATACACTTGTATGTATATGTTTATTGTAGCAAAATTCACAATTGCAAAACTATGGAACCAACCTAAATGTCCATCCACTAATGAGTAGATCAAGAAAATGTAGTAGGCTAGGTGCAGTGGCTCATGTCTGTAATCCCAGCACTTTTGAAGGCCAAGGTGGGAGGATCACTTGAGTCCAGGAGTTCAAGACTAGCCTAGGCAACATAGCAAGACCTCATCTCTACTAAAATTCCAAAAAAAATAAAAAAAAAAATTAGCCAGGTGTGAGGTGCATGCTACTCCAGGGGCTGAGATGATCACTTTATGGGGGATAGCGGCTGCAGTGAGGCCTGATCATGCCACTGCATTCCAGCCTGCACAACAGAGTGAGACCCTGTCTCAAAAAAAAATGTGGTACATATACAACACCATGGAATACTACTCAGCCATAAAAAAGAATGAAATAATGTCTGTTGCAGCAACTTGAATGGAGCCAGAGGCCATTATTCTAAGTGAAATAACTCAGGAATAGAAAACCAAAACTGTATGTTCTCAGTTATAAGTGGGAGCTAAGCTATGGGTATGCAAAGGCATACACACTGGAATAATGGACTTTGGAGACTGAGAAGGGGTAGGGTGGAAGGGGAGTAAGGGATTAAAAAAACTACGTATTCAGTACAATGTACACTACTCGAATGATGGGTTTACTAAAATCTCAGACTTCAACACTATACAATTTATCTATGTAATCAACAATGACTTGTACACCAAAATATATTTAAATAAAAAAATTAAAAAAAAAAACATAGTCTGTGAAATAATGTGACTTATGGGGAACACCTGCTTTCTTTCTAGTGGTCTGTTTTGGTAACTGCAATCAACCATGCAGGCACTGTGTGCCTATGTGACCAAACCCCACTAAAAAAACTTGAATCTTAGGCTCAAATGAGCTCTCAGGTAGACCACACTTCACATGTGTTCCTATAAATTGTAGATAGAGGAATTAAGTGAATCCTGTACAATTCCACTGGAAAAGGACTCTTGGAAGCTTGCACCTGCCTGGTTTCCTCCAGACTGTGCCACATGTGCCTATTCCCTGTGCTGATACTGCCTTGCATCTTTTTGCTGTAATAAGCTATAACCATGAATATAATGACTTCTGGGTACTATGAGTCCTAGAGTTGGTCTTGGGGATCACCAAAACAGGTACAACAGAAAATAATCTAAGTAACATAAAAGAAGGCAGTAATAGAAATACAAGATATATAGAAAACAGCAAAATGGCAGATGTAAATCCTACCTAGGCAGTAATTATATTAAATATAAATGGAAGAATAACAGCAGATTTATCATCAAAGAAATCCAACAAAGACAGTGAAGAAACATTTTTAAAGTACTAAAAGAAAAATGCTGCCAACCTAGGATTCTATAACAGTGAAATGTCTTTCAAAAGTATAGGTGAACTTTTGCAACTTTTCAGACACACAAAAGCTGAAATAATTCATTACTGGGAGATGTGCACTACAAGAAATAGGAAGTCCTTCAGGTATAAGAAAAATAATACCTAATGGAAATCTAAATCTACACAAACAGAAAACACCAAAAGTGGTAAATATGTAGGTAAATAAGAAAGACATTTTGAGATCTAGCAAGATGGCTGAATAGGAACAGCTCTGGTCTGCAGCTCCCAGCCAGTCCAACACAGGTGGGTGATTTCTGCATTTCCAACTGAGGTATCCACTTCATCTCATTGGGACTGTTCAGACAGTGGGTGCAGCCCATGGGGGGCAAGCAGAAACAGTGTGGAGTGTTGCCTCACCCATGAAGTGCAAGGGGTCAGGAACCTTCCCTCAAGGGAAGCTGTGAGGTATTGTGCTATCTGGCCCAAATACTACACTTTTCCCACGGTTTCTGCAACCCACAAACAAGGAGATTCCCTCGTGTGCCCACACCACCAGGGCCCTGGGTTTCAAGCACAAAGCTGGACAGCTGTTTGGGCAGACACCGAGCTAGCTGCAGGAGTTTTCTTGTATACCCCAGTGGCACCTGGAACCCCAGCGAGACAGAACCATTCACTCCCCTGGAAAGGGGGCTGAAGCCAGGGAGGCAAGTGGTCTTGCTTAGTGGGTCCCACCCCCATGGAGCCCAGCAAGCTAAAACCCACAGACTTGAAATTGTCACTGCCAGCACAGCAATCTGAACTCAACCTGGAACGCTTGAGCTTGGTGAGGGGAGGGGCGTTTATCATTACTGAGGCTTGAATAGGCTGTTTTCCCTCACAGTGTAAACGAAGCTGCCAGGAAGTTCGGAATTGGTGGAAGCCACCACAGCACGGCAAAACCACTGCGGCCAGACTGCCTCTCTAGATTCCTCCTAACTGGGCAGAGCATGCCTAAAAGAAAGGCAGCAGCCCCAGTCAGGGGCTTATAGATAAAATTCCCATCTCCCTGGGACAGAACACCTGAGGGAAGGAGCAGCTGTTGGCACACCTTCGGCAGACAAAATGTTCCTGCTTGCCAGCTCTGAAGAGAACAGCAGATCTCCCAGCACAGTGCTTGAGCTCTGCTAAGGGATAGACTGCCCCTCAAGTGGGCCCCTGACCCCCATGCCTCCTGACTGGGAGATAACTCCCAAAAGGGGTCTACAGACACCTCACACAGGAGCACTCTGACTGGCATCTGGCAGATGCCCCAGTGGGACAAAGCTTCCAGAAAAAAAAAGGAGGCAACAATCTTTGCTGTTCTGCAGGCTCTGCTGGTGACACACAGGAAAACAGGGTCTGGAGTGGATGTCCAGCAAACTGCAGCAGACCTACAGAAGAGGGACCTGACTGTTAGAAGGAAAACTAACAAACAGAAAGGGATAGCATCAACATAAACAAAAAGGACAACCATGCAAAAACCTCATCCGAAGGTCATCAGTATCAAAGATCAAAGGTAAATAAATGGAACAAGATGAGAAAAAAACAGCATGGGGGGTGGAGCCAAGATGGCAAAATAGGAACAGCTCCAGTCTAGAGCTCCCAGAGTGAGCGACATAGAAGATGGGTGATTTCTGCATTTCCAACTGAGGTACTGGGCTCATCTCACAGGGGAGTGTTGGAAAGTGGGTGCAGGACAGTGGGTGCAGCGCACCGTGTGTGAGCCGAAGCAGGGCGAGGCATCGCTTCAACCGGGAAACGCAAAGGGTCAGGGAAATCCCTTTCCTAGTCAAAGAAAGGGGTGACAGATGGCACCTGGAAAATCGGGTCACTCCCACCCAATACTGCACTTTTCCAATGGTCTTAGCAAACAGCACACCAGGAGATTATATCCCTCGCATGGCTCAGACGGTCTTATGCGCACAAAGCCTTGCTCACTGCTAGCACAGCAGTCTGAGATCAAACTGCAAGGTGGCAGCGAGGGAGGGGTGCGCGCCATTGCGGAGGCTTCAGTGGGTAAACAAAGCAGCTGGGAAGCTCGAACTGGGTGGAGCCCACCACAGCTCAAGGAGGCCTGCCTGCCTCTGTAGACTCCACCTCTAGGAGAAGGGAATAGTGAAACAAAAGGCAGCAGAATCCTCTGCAGACTTAAATGTCCCTGTCTGACAGCTTTGAAGAGAGTAGTGGTTCTCCCAGCATGCAGCTGGAGATCTGAGAACGGACAGACTGCCTCCTCAAGAGGGTCCCTGACCCCCAAGTAGCCTAACTAGGAGGCACCCTCCAGTAGGGGCAGACTGACATCTCACAGGGCCGGGTATTCCTCTGAGACAAAACTTCCAGAGGAACGATCAGGCAGCAACATTTCCTGCCCACCAGTATCTGCTGTTCTGCAGCCTCCACTCCTGATACCCAGGCAAACAGGGTCTGGAGGGGACCTCCAGCAAACTCCAACAGACCTGCAGCTGAGGGTCCTGACTGTTAGAAGGAAAACTAACAAACAGAGAGGACATCCACACCAAAACCCCATCTGTACATCACCATCATCAAAGACCAAAGGTAGATAAAACCACAAATATGGGGGAAAAACAGAGCACAAAAACTGGAAACTCTAAAAATCAGAGTGCTTCTCCTCCTCCAAAGCAACACAGCTCCTCACCAGCAACGGAACAAAGCTGGATGGAGAATGACTTTGACGAGTTGAGAGACGAAGGCTTCACACGATCAAACTACTCTGAGCTAAAGGAGGAAGTTTGAACCCATGGCAAAGAAGTTAAAAAAAATTGAAAAAAAATTAGACGAATGGCTAACTAGAATAACCAATGCAGAGAAGTCCTTAAAGAACCAGATGGAGATGAAAACCAAGGCAAGAGAACTACGTGAAGAATGCACAAGCCGCAAGAGCCGACTCGATCAACTGGAAGAAAGGGTATCAGTGATGGAAGATCAAATTAATGAAATGAAGTGAGAAGAGAAGTTTACAGAAAAAAGAATAAAAAGAAACGAACAAAGCCTCCAAGAAATATAGGACTATGTGAAAAGACCAAATCTATGTCTCATTGGTGCACCTGAAAGTGACAGGGAGAATACAACCCAGTTGGAAAACACTGCAGGATATTCTCCGGGAGAACTTCCCCAATCTAGCAAGGCAGGCCAACATTCAAATTCACGAAATAAAGAGAACGCCAAAAAGATACTCCTCGAGAAGAGCAACTCCAAGACACATAATTGTCACATTCACCAAAGTTGAAATGAAGGAAAAAATGTTAAGGGCAGCCAGAGAGAAAGGTCGGGTTACCCTCAAAGGGAAGCCCATCAGCCTGCCAGCTGATCTCTAGGCAGAAAATCTACAAGCCAGAAGAGAGTGGGGGCCAATATTCAACATTCTTAAAGAAAAGAATTTTCAACCCAGAATTTCATATCAGCCAAACTAAGCCTCATAAGTGAAGGAGAAATAAAATACTTTACAGACAAGCAAATGCTGAGAGATTTTATCACCACCAGGCCTGCCCTAAAAGAGCTCCTGATGGAAGCACTAAACATGGAAAGGAACGACCGGTATCAGCAACTGAAAAAACATGCCAAATTGTAAAGACCGTCAAAGCTAGGAAGAAACTGCATCAACTAACGAGCAAAATAAGCAGCTAACATCATAATGACAGGATCAAATTCACACATAACAATATTAACCTTAAATGTAAATGGGCTAAATGCTCCAATTAAAAGACACAGACTGGCAAATTGCATAAAGAGTCAAGACCCATCAGTGTGCTGTATTCAGAAAACCCATCTCACGTGCAGAGACACATATAGGCTCAAAATAAAGGGATGGAGGAAGATCTACCAAGCAAATGGAAAACAAAAAATGGCAGGGGTTGCAATCCTACTCTCTGACAAAACAGACTTTAAACCAACAAAGATCAAAAGAGACAAAGAAGGCCATTACATAATGGTAAAGGGATCAATTCAACAAGAAGAGCTGACAATCCTAAATATATATGCACCCAATACAGGAGCACCCAGATTCATAAAGCAAGTCCTTAGAGACCTAGAAAGAGACTTAGACTCCCACACAATAATAATGGGAGATTTTAACACCACACTGTCAACATTAGACAGATCAATAAGACAGAAAGTTAACAAGGATATCCAGGAATTGAACTCAGCTCAGCACCAAGCAGACCTAACAGACATCTACAGAACTCTCCACCCCAAATCAACAGAATATACATTCTTTTCAGCACCACACCACACCTATTCCAAAATTGACCACATACTTGGAAGTAAAGCACTCCTCAGCAAATGTAAAAGAACAGAATTTATAACAAACTGTCTCTCAGACCACAGTGCAATCAAACTAGAAGTCAGGATTAAGAAACTCACTCAAAACCACTCAACTACACGGAAACTGAACAACCTGCTCCTGAATGACTACTGGGCACATAACGAAATGAAGGCAGAAATAAAGATGTCCTTTGAAACCAAGGAGAACAAAGACACAACATACCAGAATCTCTGGGACGCATTCAAAGCAGTGTGTAGAGGGAAATTTATAGCACTAAATGCCCACAAGAGAAAGCAGGAAAGATCTAAAATTGACACCCTAACATCACAATTAAAAGAACTAGAAAAGGCAGAGCAAACACTTTCAAAAGCTAGCAGAAGGCAAGAAATAACTAAAATCAGAGCAGAACTGAAGGAAATAGAGACAAAAACAACCCTTCAAAAAATTAATGAATCCAGGAGCTGGTTTTTTGAAAAGATCAACAAAATTGATAGACCACTAGCAAGACTAATAAAGAAGAAAAGAGAGAAGAATCAATTAGATGCAATAAAAAGTAATAAAGGGGATATCACCACCGATCCCACAGAAATACAAACTACCATGAAAGAATACTATAAACACCTCTATGCAAATAAACTAGAAAATCTAGAAGAAATGGATGAATTCCTTGACACATACACCCTCCAAAGACTAAACCAGGAAGAAGTTCAATCCCTGAATAGACCAATAACAGGCTCTGAAATTGAGGCAATAATTAATAGCTTACCAACCAAAAAAAGTCCAGGACCAGATGGATTCACAGCCGAATTCTACCAGAGGTACAAGGAGGAACTGGTACCATTCCTTCTGAAACTATTCCAATCAATAGAAAAAGAGGGAATCCTCCCTAACTCATTTTATGAGGCCAGCATCATCCTGATACCAAAGCCTGGCAGAGACACAACAAAAAAAGAGAAATTTAGACCAATATCCCTGATGAACATCGATGCAAAAGTCCTCAGCAAAATACTGGCAAACCGAATCCAGCAGCACATCAAAAAGCTTATCCACCATGATCAAGTGGGCTTCATCCCTGGGATGCAAGGCTGATTCAACATACACAAATCAATAAACGTAATCCAGCATATAAACAGAACCAAAGACAAAAAACACATGATTATCTCAATAGATGCAGAAAAGGCCTTTGACAAAATTCAACAACACTTCATGCTAAAAATTCTCAATAAATTAGGTATTGATGGGACGTATCTCAAAATAATAAGAGCTATCTATGACAAACCCACAGCCAATATCATACTGAATGGGCAAAAACTGGAAGTATTCCCTTTGAAAACTGGAACAAGACACGGATGCCCTCTCTCACCACTCCTATTCAACATAGTGTTGGAAGTTCTGGCCAGGGCAATGAGGCAGGAGAAGGAAATAAAGGGTATTCAATTAGGAAAAGAGGAAGTCAAATTGTCCCTGTTTGCAGATGACATGATTGTATATCTAGAAAACCCCTTCGTCTCAGCCCAAAATCTCCTTAAGCTGATGGGCAACTTCAGCAAAATCTCAGGATACAAACTCAATGCTCAAAAATCACAAGCATTCTTATACACCAATAACAAACAAACAGAGCCAAATCACGAGTGAACTCCCATTCATAATTGCTTCAAAGAGAATAAAATACCTAGGAATCCAACTTACAAGGGATGTGAAGGACCTCTTCAATGAGAACTACAAACCACTGCTCGATGAAATAAAAGAGGATACAAACAAATGGAAGAACATTCCATGCTCATGGGTAGGAAGAATCAATATCATGAAAATGGCCATACTGTCCAAGGTAATTTATAGATTCAATGCCATCCCCATCAAGCTACCAATGACTTTCTTCACAGAATTGGAGAAAACTACTTTAAAGTTCATATGGAACCAAAAAAGAGCCCACAGTGCCAAGTCAGTCCTAAGCCAAAAGAACAAAGCTGGAGGCATCATGCTACCTGACTTCAAACTATACTACAAGGCTACCGCAAGTAAAACAGCATGGTACTGGTACCAAAACAGAGATATAGACCAATGGAACAGAACAGAACCCTCAGAAATAATGCTGCATATCTACAACCATCTGATCTTTGACAAACCTGAAAAAAACAAGCAATGGGGAAAGGATTCCCTATTTAATAAATGGTGCTGGGAAAACTGGCTAGCCATATGTAGAAAGCTGAAACTGGATCCCTTCCTTACACCTTATACAAAAATTAATTCAATATGGATTAAAGACTTACATGGTAGACCTGAAACCATAAAAACCCTAGAAGAAAACCTAGGCAATACCATTCAGGACATAGGCATGGGCACAGACTTCATGTCTAAAACACCAAAAGCAATGGCAATGAAGCTAAAGTTGACCATTGGGATCTAATTAAACCAAAGAGCTTCTTCACAGCAAAAGAAACTACCATCAGAGTGAACAGGCAACCTACAGAATGGGAGAAAATTTTTCCAATCTACTTATCTGACGAAGGGCTAATATCCTGAATCTACAATGAACTCAAACAAATTTACAAGAAAAAACAATCCCATCAAAAAGTAGGCAAAGGATATGAACAGACACTTCTCAAAAGAAGACATTTATGCAGCCAAAAGACACATGAAAAAATGCTCATCATCACTGGCCATCAGAGAAATGCAAATCAAAACCACAATGAGATACCATCTCACACCAATTAGAATGGCGATCATTAAAAAGTTCGGAAGCAACAGGTGCTAGAGAGGATGTGGAGAAACAGGAACACTTTTACACTGTTGGTGGGACTGTAAACTAGTTCAACCATTGTGGAAGTCAGTGTGGCGATTCCTCAGGGATCTAGAACTAGAAATACCATTTGACCCAGCCATCTCATTACTGGGTATATACCCAAAGGATTATAAATCATGTTGCTATAAAGACACATGCACACGTATGTTTATTGCGGCACTATTCACAATAGCAAAGACTTGGAACCAACCCAAATGTCCAACAATGATAGACTGGATTAAGAAAATGTGGTATATATACACCATGGAATACTATGCAGCCATAAAAAAGGATGAGTTCATGTCCTTTGTAGGGACATGAATGAAGCTGGAAACCATCATTCTCAGCAAACTATCGCAAGGACTAAAAATCAAACACCGCATATTCTCACTCATAGGTGGGAATTGAACAATGAGAACACATGGACACAGGAAGGGGAACATCACACACCGGGGCCTGTTGTGGGGTAGGGGGAGGGGGGAGAGAAAGCATTAGGAGATATACCTAATGTTAAATGACGAGTTAATGGGTGCAGCACACCAACATGGCACATGTATTCATATGTATCTAACCTGCACGTTCTGCACATGTACCCTAAAACTTTAAGTATATAAAAAAAAAGAAAAAGAATAAAAAAAGATAAAACACTATTTCTCATAAAAAGACAGAATTAAGTAAAGTAAAAAATTATCATTATATTTTATAAGTGGTCGTGGAATTCAGAAACATGGTATATGTAAAATAAAAGAAAAACAGAACCACATGTTAGAGAAATTCTCTAATATAAACTGTGAAATAAGGAAGATTGTTTTTTAAAATCCTGGATTAAATTACATTTTGATAAAATAAAAAAATTTTTAAAAAAAGTGCAAAAATGCTGAAAATTCCAAAAGCCAGAATGCCTCTTCTCCTCCAAAGTATCACAACCTCATGCCAGCAAGGGCACAAAACTGGATGGAGAATGAGTTTGATGAATTGACAGAAGTAGGCTTGAGAAGGTTGGTAATAACAAATGATTCCAGCTAAAGTAGGATATTCTAACCCAATGCAAGGAAGCTAGGAACCTTGATAAAAAGTTATAGGAACTGCTAACTAGAATAACCAGTTTAGAGAAGAACATAAATGATCTGATGTAGCTGAAAAATACAGTACGAGAACTTCGTGAAGCATACACAAGTATCAATAGCCGAATCGATCAAGCGAAAGAAAGGATATCAAAGATTGAAGATCAACTTAATGAGATAAAGCGTGAAGACAAGATTAGAGAAAAAAGTAATGAAAAGGAACAAACAAAGCCTCAAAGAAATATGTGACTATGTGAAAAGACCAAACCTATGATTGATTGGTGTACCTGAAAGTGAGGGGGAGAATGGAAACAAGTTGGAAAACACACTTCATGATGACATCCAGGAGAACGTTCCAAACCTAGAAAGACAGGCCAATATTCAAATTCAGGAAATACAGAGAACATCACAGGTCAACATTCAAATTCAGGAAATACAGAGAACACCACTAAGATACTCCTTGAGAAGTGCAACCCCAAAATATAATCGTCAGATTCACCAAGGTTGAAATGAAGGAAAAAATGTTAAGGGCAGCCAGTTAGAAAGGTCAGGTTACCTACAAAGGGAAGCCCATCAGTCTTACAATGGATGCCTCTGCAGAAACCCTACAAGGCAGAAGAGGGTAGGGGCCAATATTCAACATTCTTAAAGAAAAGAATTTCAACCCAGAATTTCATATACAGCCAAACTAAGCTTCACAAGCAAAAGAGAAATAATATCCTTTCCAGACAAGCAAATGCTGAGGGATTTTGTCACCACCAGGCCTGCCTGACAAGAGATACCAAAGGAAGCACTAAATATAGAAAGGAAAAACTGGTACCAGCCACTGCAAAAACATACCAAAATATAAAGACAAATGACACTATGAAGAAACTGCATCAAGTAATGTGCAAAGTAACTAGCTAGCATCATGATGACAGGATCAAATTCACACATAACAATATTGACCTTAAATGTAAATGTGCTAAAAGCCCCAAATGAAAGACACAGATGGGCAAATTGGATAAAGAGTCAATACCCATTGGTGTGCTGTATTCAGGAGACCCATCTCACATGCAGAGACACACATAGGTTCAAAATAAAGGGATGGAGGGGTACTTATGAAGCAAATGGAAAGCAAAAAAAAAGCAGGGGTTGCAATCCTCGTCTCTGATAAAACAGACTTTAATCCAACAAAGATCAAAATAGACAAAGAGGGACATTACATAATGGTAAAGGGATCAATGCAACAAGAAGAGTTAACTATCCTAAATGTATATGCTCCCAATACAGAAGCACCCAGATTCATAAAGCAAGTTCTTAGAGACCTACAAAGAGACCTAGACTCCCACACAATAATAGTGGGAGACTTTAACACACCACTGTCAGTATTAGACAGATCATGAGACAGAAAATTAACAAGGATATTCAGGACTTGAACTCAGCTCTGCACCAAGCAGAACTAATAGACATGTACAGAACTCTCCACCCCAAATCAACAATATACATTCTTCTCAGCACCACATCGCACTTATTCTAAAATTGACCACATAATTGGAAGTAAAACACTCCTCAGCAAATGCAAAACAATAGAAATCATAAAAACCAGACTCTCCAGACCACAATGCAATCAAATTAGAACTCAGGATTAAGAAGATCACTCAACAGCACTTTGGGAGGCCAAGGCAGGCAGATCACAAGGTCAGGCGATCATGTCCATCCTGGCTAACACAGTGAAACCCCATCTCTACTAAAAATACAAAAAAAATAGCCAGGTGTGGTGGTGGGCGCCTGTAGTCCCAGCTACTCTACTAGGGAGGCTGAGGCAGGAGAATGGCATGAACCCAGGAGGCGGAGCTTGCAGTGAGCCAATATCGCGCCACTGCACTCCAGCCTGGGTGACAGAGCAAGACTCCATCGCAAAAAAAAAAAAAAAAAAAAAAAAAATCACTCAAAACCACATAACTACATGGAAATGGAACGACCTGCTCCTGAATGGGTACTGGGCAAATAACGAAAATAAGGCAGAAATAAATAAGTTATTTGAAACCAATGAGAACAAAGACACAACATACCAGAATCTCTGGGATACAGCTAAAGCAGTGTTTAGAGGGAAATTTATACAACTAAATGCCCACAGGAGAAAACAGAAAAGATCTAAAATCAACACCCTAACGTCACAATAAAAAGACCTAGAGAAGCAAGGGCAAACAAATTCAAAAGCTAGCAGAAGACAAGAAATAACTAAGATCAGGGCAGAACTGAAGGAGATAGAGACGGGAAAAACGGTTCAAAAAAAATGTATCCAGGAGCTGGTTTTTTGAAAAGATTAAAAAAATAGACTGCTAGCCAGACTAACAAAGAAGAAAAGAGAGAAGAATCAAATAGACACAATAAAAAAATGATAAAGGGGATATCACCACTGACACCACAGAAAAACACACTACCATCAGAGAACACTATAAACATCTCTACACAAATAAACTAGAAAATCTAGAAAAAAATGGAAAAATTCCTGGACACATACACCCTCCCAAGACTACACCAGGAAGAAGTCGAATCCCTGAATATACCAATAACAAGTTCTGAAATTGAGGCAGTAATTAATAGCCTACCAACCAAAAACAAAGCCCAGGACCAGATGGATTCACAGTCGAATTCTACCAGCGGTACAAAGAAGAGCTGCTACCATTCCTTCTGAAACTATTCCAAACAATAGAAAAAGAGGGACTCCTCCCTAACTCATTTTATGAGGCCAGCATCATCCTGATACCAAAGACTGGCAGAGACACAACAAAAAAAAGAAAATTTCAGGCAAATATCCCTGAAGAACATTGAAACAAAAATCCTCAATAAAATACTGACAAACCAAATCCAGTATCACATCAAAAAGCTTATCCACCATGATCAAGTGGGCATCATCCCTGGGATGCAAGGCTGGTTCAACATACACTAATCAATAAACGTAATCCGTCCCATAAACAAAACCAACAACAAAAACCACATGATTTTCTCAATAGATGCAGAAAAGGACTTCAATAAAATTCAACACATCTTCATGTTAAAAACACTCAATAAACTAGGTATTGATAGAACATATCTCAAAATAATAGGAGCTATTTATGACAAACCCACAGCCAATATCATACTGAATGGGCAAAAGCTGGAAGCATTCTCTTCGAAAACTGGCACAAGTCAAGGATGCCCTATCTCACCACTCCTATTCAACATAGTATTGGAAGTTCCGGCCAGGGCAATCAGGCAAAAGAAAGAAACAAAGGGTATTCAAATATGAACAGAGGAAGTCAAATTCTTTCTGTTTGCAGATGACATGACTGTATATTCAGAAAACCCCATTGTCTCAGCCCAAAATCTCCTTAAGCTGATAAGCAACTTCAGCAAAGTCTCAGGACACAAAATCAATGTGCAAAAATCACAAGCATTCCTATACACCAATAATAGACAAACAGAGAGCCAAATCATGAGTGAACTCCCATTCGCAGTTGCTACAAAGAGAATAAAATACCTAGGAATACAACTTAAAGGGACGTAGAGGACTTCCTCAAGGAGAACTACAAACCACTGCTCATGGAAATAAGAGAGGACACAAACAAATGGAAGAACATTCCATGCTCATGGATCGGAGGAATCAATATTGTGAAAATGGCCATACTACCCAAAGTAATTTATAGATTCAATGCTATCCCCTTCAAGCTACCATTGACTTTCTTCACAGAATTAGAAAAAACTAAATTTCATATGGAACCAAAAAAGAGCCTGTATAGCCAAGACAATCCTAACCAAAAAGAACAAAGCTGGAAGCATCACCCTACCTGACTTCAAACTATACTACAAGGCTACAGTAACCAAAACAGCATGGTACTGGTACCAAAACAGATATATAGACCAATGGAACAGAACAGAGACTTCAGAAATAATACCACACAACTACAACCATCAGATCTTTGACAAACCTGAGAAAAACAAGCAATGGGGAATGGATTCCCTATTTAATAAATGGTGTTAGGAAAACTGGCTAACCATATGCAGAAAACTGAAACTGGACCCGTTCCTTACACCTCATATAAAAATTAACTCAAGATGGATCAAAGACTAAAATGTAAGACCTAAAACCATAGAAACCCTAGAAGAAAACCTAGGTAATACCATTCAGGACATACGCGTGGGCAAAGACTTAATGACTAAAATGCCAAAAGCAATGGCAACAAAAGCCAAAATTGACAAATGGGATCTAATTAAACTAAAGAGCTTCTGCACAGAAAAAAAAAAACAAAAAACTATCATTAGAGTGAACAGGCTACCTTTTGAATGGGCAAAAATTTTTGCAATCTATCTATCTGACAAATGTCTAATATCCAGAATCTACAAGGAACTTAAACAAATTTACAAGAAAAAAACAGCCCCATCAAAAAGTGGGTGAAGGATATGAACAGACACTTCTCAAAAGAAGACATTTATGCAACCAGCAAACATTGGAAAAAAAGCTCATCATCACTGGTCATTACAGAAATGCAAATCAAAACCACAATGAGATACCATCTCACACCAATTAGAATGGCAATCATTAAAAACTCAGGAAACAACAGATGCTGGAGAGGATGTGCAGAAATAGGAATGCTTTTACACTGTTGGTGGGAGTGTAAAGTAGTTCAACCATTGTGGAAGACAGTGTGGCGATTCCTCAAGGATCTAGAACCAGAAATACCATTTGACCCACAATCCCATTACTGGGTATATCCCAAAGATTATAAATCATGCTACTATAAAGACACATGCACACGTATGTTTATTGCAGCACTATTTACAATAGCAAAGACTTGGAACCAACCCAAATGCCCATCAATGATAGACTGGATAAAGAAAATGTGGCACATATACACCATGGAATACTATGCAGCCATAAAAAAGAATGAATTCATGTCCTTTGCAGGGACACGGATGAAGCCATCATTCTCAGCAAACTAACACAGGAACAGAAAACCAGACACCACATGTTCTCACTCACAAGTGGGAGTTAAACAATGAGAATACATGGACAAAGGGAGGGTAACATCACACACTGGGCCAGTTGGGGCATGGGGAGCAAGGGGAAGGATAGTATTAGGACAAATATCTAATGCATGTGGGGTTCAAAACCTAGATGACAGGTTGATGGGTGCAGCAATCCACCATGGCACATGTATACCTATGTAACAAACCTGCACGTTCTGCACATGTATCCCAGAACTTAAAGTATATTTAAAAAAATGAAAATACCTTTTTTCTTATTTCTTTTTATATCACTTTAAAAGTATCAAAAACAAACAAAAACCCACAATGTATTATAAGGTTTAACATGTGTAGAAGTAAAACATGACAATAATAGGGAACAGACTCGAGTGGGGGAATAGAAGTACATGAAGTTCTTATCTTACGCTTGAAGTGGGCTGTGATAAATTAAAGTTATATACTATAAACCCTAAAGGAACCACTAAAAGAAGAAAGTATTGCATCTAATATAATCCAAATGGATAAAATGGAATAATAAATAATAATGCAAAAGAAGGTAGAAAAAGAGGAAAAAGTGAATAATGAACAAATAGAAGGCAAATAGCAAGATGGTAGATTTTAAACCAATCATATCAATAATCACATTAAATAAAAATGGTCTAAACATCCTGATTAGAAGGCAGAGACTGTCAAATTGGAAAAATAAAGCAAGGCCCAACTCTAGGTTACCTATAAGAAACCCAGATTAAATATAAAAACAATTCAGGTGTGGTGGCACATGCTTGTCATCCCAGCTACTCAGGAAATAGGAGTTGAAGTCCAACATGGGCAATATTGCAAGACTCTGTCTCTAGAAATAAAATTTTGAAATGTTTAATTTAAAAAATCTATAAAAACACAAATAGGGCTGGGTGTGATGGCTCAAACATGTGATCTCATGGCTTTGGGAGGCTAAAGTGGGAGGATCCCTTGATGCCAAGAGTTCAAGATCAGCCTGGGCAACATAGCAAGACCCCATCTCTACAGAAAAATTAAAAATTAGCCAGGTGTAGTGACGCATGCCTGTAGTCCTGGCTACTTGGGAGGCTGGGGCAGGAGGATCACTTTAACCTAGGAGTTCAAGGTTACAGTGAGCTATGATCATGCCATTGCATTCCGGCCGGGGTGATGGACTGAGACCCTGTCTCAAAAAAACCCCACACATAAGTTAAAAGTAAAAGGATGAGGCCAGGCATGGTGGCTCACACCTGTAATGCCAGCACTTTGAAAAGTTGAGGCGGGCAGATCACTTGATGTCAGGAGTTCGAGTCCAGCCTGGCCAATGTGGTGAAACCCCGTCTCCACTAAGAATATACAAATTATCCAGGCATAGCAGTATACGTCTGTAGTCCCAGCTACTTGGGAGGCTGAGACAGGAGCATCACTTGAACCCAGGAGGCAGAGGTTGCAGTGAGCCAAGATCACGCCATTGCACTCCAGCATGGGTGACAGAGTGAATGAGACTCCATCTCAAAAAAAAAAAAAGTAAAAGGATGAACAAAGATATGCCATGTTAGTATTATTCAAAAGAAAGCCAGAATATTTACATTAACATCAGGCAAAGTAGATTTCAGAAGAATAACAGGGATAAAAGGGAATATTTCATGATAATGAGTCAGCTTATCAAGAGAACATAACAATCCTAAAAGTTTACACTCCTAACAACAAAGCTTCAAAATACATAAAGCAAAAACTGATAAAACTGAAAGGAGAAACAAACAAATATAAATTTTAGTCAGAGATTTCATCGATCTCTCCCAACAACTGATAGAATAAGTAGACAGAAAGTCAATAAAGTTGCCTCAGAAGGAGCAGATGAAAAAAGAGAAAATCAGTAAAGTAGACTTGAACAACACTATCAACCAACTTAACCTAATTGACATAGAACACTCTATCCAAAAATGGCAGGATAAAACATAGTTTTCAAGCACCCATGGAAGATTTACCAGAAGAGACTATATTCTGGGCCATAAAACAAGTCTCCATAAATTTAAAAGGATTCAAATAATAAGAAGTATATTCTCTCACCACAGTGGGATTAAATTAGAAAGCAATAACAGAAAGAAATCTGGAAAATCCCATATTTGGAAATTAAATGACATGTTTCTAAATAACCCTGGGTCAAAGAAGAAATGAAAAATGAGCAATTATTTTAATATAAATGAAAATGAAACATTCTATATCAAAATTTGTGAGGTACAGCTAAATCAATATTTATAGGAAAACTTATAACATTAAATGCTTCTATTATAAAAGAAATGTCTTAAATCAAAATATGGTCTCCAAAACAATGTTAGCATCTCGTGGGAACTTGTTAGGCCACAGCAATCTGTGGCCCTCTAGGTGATTCTGATGCACATTCAAGTTTTGAGAACCACTGCATATACGATTGGACTGTTCTTTTTATTGTGCTAGGGTGTGTTCTTCAGCAAGGAATATACAAAGTTTATACTACTCTGAAGTTCATATTACTTAAAAACAATGTTGTTTTCAATAGTCTGTTAATCTTGTGTTAAATTTAGAATACTTAAAAAATGTCCCACGCTCAGAGTCCTGCAAGTGATTAACCCTACAAATAATGCCTCATTTGCTAAAAAGACCCAAACTTCAAAACCCATAGGTATAATTTTCTTGAAATCTAGAGAGGGATAGAAGACAAATATCAGGGGCGACTATGACCTCATTGAATACTTCCTACTGCTCATTCTAGGCCCTTCATGTGGGAACCAAATGTAGTCAACTAAATATCAATCGAGGAACAAAGACATGTTAAATCTAAATGGCTGGTAATACAAAAATAATTTGCTTAAAATATGGTTTTATATCTACACTTGAATATAAATTTGTCTGCTGTTTTGGAAAGTCACCTCAAATGAAATACTGAAGCCCTAACATAAGCAATAATTTAGAAGCATTAACTCCTATAGTGGTAGGCATCATCTTTTCAACTAGTTTGATGCACCAATCTCAAGCATATCTGTTCTCCATCTAAATTTGCTGGTTCACATCTGTGCTGGGAGAGGGAGATAGAAATTCTAGCTTTAACGGGCTTTAGTTATAACTTCTGCTAGTCAGGAGTAAACAAAATCCACACTGTATCAAGACAGTTAACTGACAAGTATAGATGAGAATTTCAGTAACAACTTGAAAGCAACATTTGCCATGGAAGAACTGTAATATGAGTAATTTATTAATCTCAATTTATTATATGACAGTATTCAAAAATAAAGGGAAAAATATACTGAAGTTCTTCTAGTATTCTAGTCCCCAAAGGAAAAATATAATCCAATCTACACCAGGCTTCCTTCCTTTCCCCCAATCTTTGCTGATTTCATCAGCTTTGATTCTTTCTAAGACATTTCCTTCTGCTCTTTTCTGTGCTTTTGAACAGAGGCCCACAACAGCTTCCTATGGGGCCATGGGAGTATAATTAATCAAGTAATCAGCTAGCCAACACTGTTAAAATGTTTTAATATCAATGTAAAATGAGATGAGAGTTTTACAAGCAGATTTCAGAACACCAACACTGATTTCCAATATGATTTCTCTCCCTTTCAGAAGCCTAAAGATGAACATATACAAATCTTAGGGGTTTTTACAAAAAGCATGGTTTTTTTCTATTTTCATACATATACAGTTGACAAACATGCAAAATAACTAATTTCCAAATCAAAGGTCTCTAGCAGAAACATCCAAATTAAAAATGAAGCATTTAAATTTACTTACTGGCCATGAAATCCAGCAAGAAACCACCCTTTCCCCCACACTTCAGAAAAACCACCAATTCCTTCCTAGAGGATTGATGGCATTAACAGTACTTGGCTCTCCCTTGTCAGCATCCAGACATCCCCGGTTCAATCTTGTAAATTAATGTTACAGTTCCAATTACTAAAAATGCCCCACCATCTTCTTCACTGCATTACAGCTTAGCAAGGCACCTACCAACAATGCAGTTTGGGAAATGAGCCATGAAAAACATAATGGCCTGAGAGTTAACCATACATCCTAGGTCTGCCAACTGAATGAGGACATTAATGGGAATGTAAAATTCCAGGAGACATTCTTTTATTCTCCTCTCCAAGTTACTAGCATGTCCAGTATCAGAAAGAAAACAGTAGAGGAATGTGGCAATAGCCACATATGTGAAACCTTAGTAGAGCTAAAACCAAACTAAACAAAATGCAAACTACAGTGGGACAAAGAACTGACTCTCATTTGAGTTTTATTTGTGGCTTCAAGCAACCTCCAAACTAAGAGGCTCATAAATTAGGAAATAATTTTAATGCACTGAGGGTTCAGTAATTTGCATTAGAATATTATTAAAATTTATGTTTTGTAAGAGTTGCATATACTTCATTGTTGAATTCGGTGCCAACAGTAAACAAATAACTAAATGAGATATAACCTCAAATATACCCACTTCCAAAACTAAAAAGCATTTTAACACATTTTTCTCTGCCACCCTCAAGTGAATCAGTAAAACAAATAGAAAATCAAAACATGATTGTAATATTACATAAGATAATTATTTTACTTAAATAACTTAGTCTGTTCCAAAGTATTTCTGTCCAAAATGTGTAGGTGCAACAGGATGAACTTCAGTAGTTAAAATTGTGATCTCTGGAAACTCCTGAATGATTGATTTGGCACCTTCAAAAAAACAAAAGTTATTATGGTAGGATGTTTTGGTAACACCAGTTGTAATTCAGGAATTTTGTAGTTATTGCCACTAGGTCTAAAATTGAGAGAAGACAGAGAGCAATGATCTTTGGATACCTAATCAGACTTGGTTAATCTCTTCCTTTGTATAAAGTCTGAAAAGCTTTGACAGTAGTCAGATTATGCCCCCTCCATCTCACTAATACATTCTTAGAATTATTATTTTATACTCAAGTTGAAAAATATAATTGTTCAGTTATAGAAACTTTCCCCCTAAAGAGTATTTTTTATTTTGTTTAATTTTAAAGGTGACTGTAATAGAGTGAATACAGTCCTTTTTAAAATGAGGATCACAGGCCAAGCACAGTGGCTCAAGCCTGTAATCTCAGAGCTTTAGAAGGCTGAGGCAGGAGGATCACTCAAGGCCAGGAATTTGAGACCAGCCTGGGCCACACGGCAACACCCCATCTCTATTAAAAAAAAATTAAAGAGGAACACACGTAAGATGATGGTTTCTCAACTGAAACACTGTGAAACAAGTGTAGTGTTTCACAGTGTACTTGCTTTTCACAGAAAAAGCTGGTGTGTCAGAGCACGCCAGCTTTTTAGAAGTTAGGACTCTAGCTTATGGGGAGGGGAATAGGTAGGGAAAAGTAACAAGGACTAGGATATTCATTGTAGAGTGATTTGGCATAAGAAAAAATGTGAAAGTATGTAAATAACTCACAATAAGGAAATGGTTAAATAAATAACATATATTCAAAGGATGTAATATATAACTGTTAAATCATATTTTTGGAAAATATTGAATGGCATCAAAAATGTACATGGTAAATGTAAAAATGTAAAAAATGTATAAATAACAGCACTAGAATCACATAAAATGTTATCACCAAGCTTAAGAGATGACCAATACAAATTATGACTATTTTAATTACCCTGTCAAACTAAAAATCCATAGCAAAGTTGCCACAGAATAAAATTTTTCAGCTATAAATTTCAAAGAATAGTACACCATTCTCATGTATACTATTAGAACTAAAAAGAGTGCTTTTCTATTCCCAAAGGTAAAAATTTTAATAATTATTGGATTCTCTCAATATTTTCAATGCCACCTGTGTTTTATATATATAAATGATAACTTAAGCAAATCGCCTTTTGTTACCACCAACATTTGAACTACAAGTAATATTTAGTTATGAAACAGCAAAGTAATCAAACAGGCCATAACTCCTGTCAATAACCTACTGAAACCAGCTTTCCCAACTAGATATACTGTAGCCTCTTCAGAACTGGCTAAGACTTAGAAATTTTGGAAATGAGAAAACACCTGACTAGAGAAGCCATATATTGCCCTTTTTAAAAATTATGAAGCAAATACAAATTCATTGTAGAACATTTGAAAAATACCAATTTAAAGCTTAAAAATAAAATGAAAAGCACTTAGAATCCCACCAGCCTAAAATAACCACTATTAATATTGTGTATGCATTTTGAAACCAAAATTGAAACAACACTGTGTGTCTGTCTAGCCTCTCATGCTAAGGAAAGATTTATTAGGTTCCATATTAAATCCAACTCTGATTTTTGTAATTAAAATAGTCATAATTTGTACTGGTCATCTCCAAGCTTGGTGGTAACACTTTACCCTATTCTAATGCTGTTATTTTTATACTGCTTTTTTACATTTACCATGTACATTTTTGGATGCCATTCAATATTTTCCAAAAACATGATTTAACAGTTACATAATAGTATATCCTTTGAATATATATTATTTATTTAACCATTTCCTTATTGTGAGTCATTTGTATACTTTCACATTTTTTCTTATACCAAATAACTCTACAATAAACATCCTAGAAGCTAAATTTCTACATGCACCTATACTTATTTTCTTAAAATATATTCCCAATTGTTCTGCAATGTATGGCGAAAAACACTAAGATCTTAAGTTAGGTACACCTCCTTCAGGAATGGAGAACACACAGTTCTCTCTGCCCTTTGAGCAGAAGTCTAACTTTAAAAACTTCTGCTCTTCACTTCACACTGCAAAGATTACTTCAGTAAGACTACAGGGCTAGCTAGAACCTTATGTTTCTTGCTGTTTGTGAGCAGTTCTCAGGCTCAAGTGGCGAGCCAAGGGAAATAGGAACCTTTGAGTCATTTGCAGGCCAAACCAGGAAAACAATTGCAATTCTTTTAAATGGGGTTAGTTCATACTTCTCCATTTGCATTTGAACATTAGAATGGTATAAAATGTTATCACTAAGCTTACAGATGACAAACACAAGTTATAATTACCCAAATTAGATTCAGATTTAATGTGAAAGCAGATAAACTTTTCCTCAGGATTAGAAGCTAGAAAATGCATACTTACCCACCTCAGGACTATATGGAGCCCTAGTTACTGCCTCATGCTGAACTCACCATGAGGAGTGGAGAACAGACTGAGTAGGATGATAACACTGGGTTGAACTCCATGTTCTATAAGAACCTTTACAGCTTCAATTACAGTATTTCCAGTGCCTGAAATCAAAAGATAACCAAATGAATTAGCAACCTTAACATTCATTTTTAAATGTCTTTTTTCTTTTTTTGGGGGAGGGGGGACAGGGAATCACTCTGTCACTCAGGCTGGAGTGCAGTGGCATGATCTCGGCCCACTGCAGCCTTGACCTCCCAGGCTCAAGCCATCCTCCCACCTCAGCCTCCCAAGTAGCTGGGACTATAGGCACGTGCCACCACACCCAGCTACTTTTTCTATTTATTGCAGAAATGGGTTCTCCATATGTTGCCCAGGCTGGTCATAAACTCCTGGGCTCAAGCGATCCTTCCACCTCGACCTCCCAAATTGCTGGGATTACAGGTGTGAGCCACAGCACGCGGCCACAAAATGTCTTTGAAGTAAGAGCAATATAGCAATCTAACATAAGAAACCACTTCATATGAAGGTACTTGTTCTTTATTAATGCTATCTTCAATAATGAACATGACACATACACTTTTCAGTTATCAAATACCAAGCCCTAAATTCATTTAGTATATGAGGTATCAAATTTAACATATTCCCTCTCACCTCCCTTAAAGACCATGCCAAGTGTGGTCTGAGTAAGCTTAAGAAACAGAACAGAATAGCAGGAAAAAATGTTACCTCCAGAGAGAATAAATTATTGAGGAAAATCACTGCTGTACTCATTAGGCTAAAGAGGAGATATGTTTCAATATATTTTCTGTATTCCATATATTTTGCCTCATTAAATCCTTTGTTTCAATGTGTTCAAGACGGAAGTTTGTTGGGGCTAATAAGGTCTGACTACTGTATATTCTCTTATTATGCAATAAAAACTCTCCAGTGAACTGCCTGGGGCAGTTTTCCCAACTGAGAAAAAAACATTTAGAAACTCTTTTTGCCTTTTATATAAGGGTACCTAGGAGGCAGGCACTAAGTTGAATTTAAACCCTAACCAAAGGTTACAAACAAATGGAAGCCACTCACTGAGAATTGGATACATCAGAAGGACTTTTCTCCGGTAAATGTCTGGGGGGAATTTGGCATAATATACTTTGGCTCTTTGTGTCTCCTCATCACTCTGAATCAGGATCTTTCCAATTCGTATGGATCGACAGCAGTCTCGTAAACCTTGTTCCATTGCCTCACCTTGAAGAAGAAAAAAGAAAGAAAAAAGATTAGGGGAAAGAGAGAGAAAGTCCAAGAACAGGCCAAAGTATAGTTTGTCACTGTTATTAATACAAAAAGGAAGGAAGATGAAAATAATTATTTTGAAGCTGACAGCTTTTATTTCTGATATGCTCATATTTCATACTTAGTGGAGGTTAATGAAACCAGGTTAAGGGCTGGTTAATGAAACTAGAATAAGCTAGTTTTATTGCTAGCTTACAAGTTTTAGAGCTGTCATGCTTCCGTGATTATAGGAAATAAAGCATTTTGTTGAGCAGCTCCCTGAGCTTTTTTAATATCAGGAATATTTTTATCTCTATTATTTTAAAGAAGCCTTTAAACCACCTAAATTTGTGACTTTTGTATGAGAAAATGCAAAAGATTTATGGAAGAATAAAGGATGTAGATCAGAAAGTCTCCTTTTAGGTCAAGGTAGCATCAGGGGACATCACTTAGCTCAACAATGACTTCTCAACAGCAAAGATTTTGCTGCAAGCAGTGAAAAAGTTGTATATTGTTCCCCCTCTCCCAGGTAATAATAACTAGCACTACCACCGTTGATTTCTGAACACAGAGCTATTTTTGAGTCTGAATTCCTTTAAAGAAGTGTTTGCCAAAAGGCAGTCATTCTCATGCCATCTTCAAGATTTTAGGCCATATCAGAATTCTACCAATACTGGCATTTACTTAACATTTTTCTTAAATTTATTGTTTTCACTTAAATTTATTTTAAGAGGAAACTATATCACTAGTGTAAACATAAAACAAGTTTCTTTCTAATATATATGAAAATCAACAAATGGCTATTAAGGTTATAAGCAATGCTGTACATCACCACAAGTCATCTAGTACATACTAAGGGTACAAGGACCATGCTTGTGCCTTTAGAGAAGAAGCTGAACTGAAACAGAAGAAACTGCACCTTAAAAGTCCATTGTCTTTACCAGTTTTTAAAAGTTGAACATCATTGTCCTGAAATGTCCTGAAATGCTATCAGTGCTTAAGAGCTTCCTCCTAGAAAAAAGGAGCTTAAAGTTCCTAGTTTACTTGAGGCATTTAATTGTTCACAAACATAACTTCATAACCAGAAGAGAAAAGTGAATGTTTATATGTTAAAAATTAAACTATATGTATTCAGTGCAAACAAGTGGAGCTTCTACCACTTATGCAAAAAAAACATAAATCTTACGTGAAACAATTAAGTTGGCTGAATGGAAAAAACCCCATGTAACAGGTAAAGGTTCTAATCACAGGCAAGTGATTTTGCTATACAAAGGTTGGTTTAGAAGGGTAATCAGTTGGACTCAAACACAAATACAACATTCATAAGACCAGCAGATGGAAATACCTAGAATTAATGACAGTCAAGCACTTTTGCCTATGTGGTCACGTACTCATCATATATAAAGTTTTAAAGTATTAGGTTGGGTATGGTGGCTCATGCCCATAATCCCAGCACTTTCGGAGGCTGAGGCAGGAGCATCACTGGAGGCCAGGAGTTTTAGACCAGCCTGGGCAACATAGCAAGACCTCATCTCTACCAAAAAAAAAAAAAAATTGTTTTTTAATTTGCTAGGTATAGTGGCATGTGCCTGTAGTACTAGCTGCTCAGGAGGCTGAGGTGGGAGGATTACTTGAACTCAGGAGTTTGAGGTTACAGCGAGCTATGATCACGCCACCATACTCCAGCCTGGACAATAGAGTGAGACCCTGTCTAAAAAAAAAAAAAAGTAAAAATATCAAACAAGTCATTTAGCCCAACAACAGAAATAAAAACAGAAGAAATATTTTCTCCAGTCAGGTATTCAAAGTTCTCCAAGCCCGAATTTATACCATATTCCCTCAGTCTTCAAACTGACCTGTTCTCCCCAAGATAGCATCACCACATCCTCCTATCCTCCCATCCTCCTCTGAATCTCTTTGAAAGCTGGCTTGCCCATGGGAGCACTCTATTAGGGAATACGCTCTGTAGTTAAAATTAGCCAAACCTAGCCTCACACAGGCCATGACTCCACAGCACCATGAGGCTAGATAACACAGGTAGTGAGATTTAACTAAAGGCAGGCTGCAATTATGACAGACAAGCCTGCCTCTCTTCTGGAAAACAGCAACCATTTCTATGCATACAAAGAGACAAAAATCACACACACGTGAACCTACCGCTTCTCATTATGCTGACCCCACAATTTCCCTTCTCAAATTTCACTCCTTCATACTTGTACCCTGTTAGGAAATAAAACCAAAGAATTTATCTTTCATCACTGGAGTAACCTACATATTTTATAAAGTGTCTACGGTTTAAAGTAGATGGGCACAAAGCAACCCTTGTTCAGACACACTGTATAATGCCTGAGATTCCCTGTGGAAATAATGAGATGAGTCATGATTTTTCAGTTATTTCTTAATTCTTCATAAGAAACCTGTGGGGATAATTGGGAGAGGCAGACTTCATTGAATGGGAATAGGACTTATTATAACACGATATTCACATACACATTCCTCAAACTGAATTCAAAGAGAATCACTGCACTCTGAGAATGCTATATACCCCATCAATTCAAACTGGGACCCCACTGTGAGCCACAGCAGAAAGCTTCCTCATTCCATTCTTCTTTATGAGCCTCTGTTCTTCTTTATGAGCCTCCATTCTGCCTTAAAAGCAGAAGAAAGTGGCTGAAATAGTTATTAAGACATGCTCAACTCTTGGTCTCATCCTGAATTTGTGTCAATTATGATGCTACAAACTCAGTCCCCAAGTTTCATAAAGTAAACCCTTTGAATAGAACAGTTTTACGTTATTTACTGAACCAAATCATAATTTCAAATCCCTGAAACAGGGATCTTTGGCTACTTTCTATTAAAGGATAGAACAAAGCACCTTCTCCAATTCTTATCATTTTTAGTTTTCTTTTTTACTTTCTATCCTTTTTTAACATGTAATTTCAGTGCCAAAACAGACTTGCCCATTTGTGCTCACCAGCAGCTTTCCCATAGAGATGAAGATAAGCTGCCAGCAATTCTTAACTATGGTCTCAATGGGCCATCATTAGAGGCAACACGTGCATGCTGAAGAGTATTTGTTAACCTTTAACTTGAATTGACAAGCAAGCCCTTAACAAAAAGTCATCTACACAGATTTCTTTCCTAAATGCCTGAGTTTTATTTTTAAGATTTTAAAAGAATAGCTCCACCTAGCCCTTCATTTTGCATATTTATTTTACTTAGACTGCTTTACTTACATCTTTCCCCATTCTAGCTCAGAATTTTTATGAGGAAAATTTGAGAATAACAGCCCTAGTTACCTGTTGGAGTGGTCACCATGCATTCTTTATATGGCAGCTGATTCAATCCCTCTTCCACAACAAGTCTGATCTAGAGAGTCAAAGGAAGAAGAAGTTGAGAACCTGCTGGGAATCTCCTGTTAGCTGTTAGCTTCAGGAGCTGAACAGTAGGCAGAGTCATGAACACACTAGGCAAAGGTTTCACTTGTGGAGGCAGTAAGGGGCCCCCTATCATGTGTTAGATACAGGGATAGATCCAAATGCCATACTACTTGCTGCTAGGTATCCAACCTCAGATAGGCCATGATTGTCACCAAAAGGCTCCAATATTCCTTCTGATTCTCATTCTGTCAGTCCAGACTATGAGGGACACAAAACTCCAGCAAGTGACAACAGTCATGGCAAGCACTCTTGGAAGTAATATACTTCTTATTATTCTGGAAATAGTGCTCACTGGGAATTTCTCTGCTTTATTCAGTACCTTGGAAATCATTAAGTCAGATTATTTTTAACAAAGGCCCACTATAATGTAAATAAAGCCTGAAACTTCTTTAGAGGAAATAAATGAGTGCATTGGCTGAACCAATTTACTGAGCTTGAAGGAGGATCCAGTAAAATGCACTGGGGCTTCTCAGCTAAAGAAAAGGCTCATATCAATCATAATGTGTGGTACAAAGGAAAGCATCACTCAGAACTACTACAAGAGCCTCCAAAAACAAGATATGGTAATTCCATGAACAACCAAAGCCAACTACAGTAAAAGTAATGCTGAGTCTGCAATGCACATTTTATCCAATCAACATTACATTACTGATTGAGAATCTGCAACAGCAGGGAGCAGCACCAGGCCCTATGCTCTGTTATCACAACATATAATAACACCCTGCTGCCATTAAAACAATCAATTCTAAATAAGCCAGGATTTTGTCAGCCTGCAGCATCAGACAGAGGGCCCAGGCACCTCATGAATACTGCACATGTGTGCATACTCACTTCCAGCCACCATCTTCTGTGGAGATTTTTTTTTATGAGCAAATTACAAGGGTAAAAGAGGATTATTTTCTTTGAAGAGCCTAGATCTTTTCCTCCTAGTAACAGTCCTCTAATGAGTCTTACCTCCTATCCCCATCCCCTCCAACACTGGGACAGAAATTAGTGTGCCCAACTCTTACAGGAGTGCATAAAATCAGAAGAGTGACTAAAATATAAAGAACCCAAGGATCTGAGGGCCAAGGAAGCCAACCCTGACAAATTCAGGATGAAATTAATATATATATGATAATATATATTAATGACATGTGCTGCAGGAGATAGTGTACTAGAAATCCTCAAGAAGTTAAACCTAAATAGCTCCAGTCTCTACCACAACCACAACAGACCCTTTCTCACCCCATATCAGGACCTTGAAAGCCACCTGCAGAGAACAGAGAGAGATCCAAATCATTATCCCCTCAGGTGAATTATGCCATAGGTCCTTACTATCTCACTGGGCTAAGATTATGCTTGCCCTTTCAGGGAAGCATCTTACAATAACCGTGAACTTAACTCCTACTTTCTATAGAAAAAGAGCATAAGAACAGCAAAAGAAAGAGGAACCGTTTTCTACCAGTAAACACCAAAACAGCAGCCATTAAGATACAAGTTCTTCAAGCCTGTTCTTTTGGTTTGATAAAAGCATAAAAGACAGAATGACGTAACTATTGCTCCAGGAATGTCAACCACATTTATCTTGTTACTATCTAAGGGTTATTACTGCCAATGAAAACTCAAATAATTTTAAATAAAATTGGTCTCTGAACCAAGAATACTTACGATGAAAAGCAGAACAGGAGTTGTCTATGCTCTTTTGGAATAAATCCTCAGGCAAAACCTAAATGAAAAGTTTCATGCCTTTTTTTCACATTCCTTTTAATCATCTACCTTAATCTGATTATAACTTTGGGGCTAAGAAGCCCTGTTCATTCCTTTCTTTCCCAAACTAAATTTGCACTTAGTTTGTAAATCTAGTATTTAGATCATAAACACCAAGAGATTAGAGACCATGCCTACATTCTTCACTATTGTATCTCATCTCTCTGGACACAGCCTAGCACAATACCTGATTCACGCAATTTTAGTGAAATACATTCATGAAATATACACTAAACTTCATGAATATACACTGAATATAAATATACATTAAACTATATATAAATATAAATATACACTAAACTTTCCTGAATGTAATGTATTTTCTGCTGTGGATTGAAACTAATAGCCACAGCAGAAAACATGTCAACCTCACTTCAAGCACTAAGCATGCTTAGATATTAACACAAGAAGAAAACACAGTGCTTACCCTGAAGACAAACCAATTTGGACTGAGATCCTCTCAGATCACACTAGCTAAACAGAATTGAGCTTGGTCAATTCTTAATAGGAAGTGCCTGAGGAAACCATAGACAGTCAAATGTACTATTTCACATGTGAAGGCTAGTACAGGAAAGAAGAGGCAAAATAAGCCTCCCCCTGCTGCCGCCGTAAACTACAAGAAATATATATTTTTGTACATTCGTTGGATACCACAAGTGTAACTATGAGGTCTCCTTACATTTTTGGTTTTCTTTTAATGTACTTCACTGCCCTAAGAGGAGGCACTTAAGAATTGCTGAAACTCAAGTTACCAAGATCCATTTGAGAGGTAGTGTTATCTCAGAAATACAGGGAATTAGTTCATGGGCAATGCTTTGTGGTGAAAAGTATTGAAGTAGATCTTTAATGCAACAGTGAAACAACACTTCATTAGCCTAGCAAGATGATGGTTACTTAGTACAATCTCTTTCAGCCCCAGAATGCTCTAGAACAAAAATATCCCTTGGTCTACCATGGTTATATCACTAGGCAAAACAATGAAATGAAAATGAAAAGCCCCCACCTACCAAACGATCCGCAGAAAACATGAAGTCACCTCTACTGGCTGTCCTAAAAAAAGATAATACAAGTTTTAGTCTAAATTAGAGCTTTAAGGCAAAATGTTATTTAATATGTACAGTAACACTGATATTAAGACCTATAACATACTAAAAGCTTAAATGCTTACATGTACAGACTATTACTGAGGCAAGATACTTTTTACTAGGATACAGGCAC
Organism: Homo sapiens; assembly: GCF_000001405.40. Taxonomy (NCBI): domain Eukaryota; kingdom Metazoa; phylum Chordata; class Mammalia; order Primates; family Hominidae; genus Homo; species Homo sapiens. The sequence goes on along the minus strand of NC_000023.11, from coordinate 75,293,303 downwards.
CTAAATGAGATAACTTGATCAATAATGAAAATGCTTGATACCAACATTAGAGACTGGAACTGAAAAGATCATGCAGTCCCCCACTGAGCTGCCCAAGTACATATTAGTCAACCGGGAGATGAACAAGTTACCCCTGGAGGGTGAGAGCAAGTCCAGAGCTAAAGTTGAGAGGAAACTTTGCAGTAAGAGAAGCAGTTTCTCCCCATTCTCCCCCTCAACTCACCTTGATCTAAAACCCATATTACCAAGATAAGTAACCCATCTACTTTGTAATCCTTTTTGGAACTAGAATGGTACCAATAAATAAATCCTCTGCTTTTGCTACTGCTTTCAAAAACATATAAACTAATTTCCAAGAACTCATTCTCAAATAATTGATAATTTGTTCCTTTTGACTGTTTTTTCAAATGAGTACTTCATTCCCTAGATCTTTCTGCCATTTTCCTGTCCATTTCCTCTGGTCAATATCCTGAGGTAACCAAGTAATAATAATCCAGGGCTACGTCTACCCACAAGCTGTTAACGAGCCAAAAAGGGAATGTTAAATAACTGATGTTATTTCTGCACATAAAAATGTAGTATTGTTCCTCATCTTTCTTCCATATAAGTTAAATGATCTGACTGAATGGATTGATTTACAGCTTATGTACTTAAAAACCCCCATCTGCCTATCTATGGACCACCTAAAGTATTCTCCAAAACAGCCTCAAAATGATATATGCAAACACATATTATCTCAGTATATCATTAATTTCCACTCTTTTGCCTCAAGTTGCATTTGATTTCCCTGAGATGGAAAAAGCAATGAAATAGCCCTGACACAAATGGCATTAGGTTTCTTAACCACAGTTCTATCATACTACAGATATTAGCTCTCTAAAATATAAACCACAATTTAGCAACAGCAAGAATATAGGTCTGTGTTGTTTATTTACAAAAATTCCTTAAACTCAGAAAACTCTATCCACACATACCTACACACACACAGAGCCCCTTTAAAACAGGCTCAATTTCACGTACTGTGGTTTTCAAATAAGACTATACAATTACACCAGCACCTTTCATTTATATAATTAATCTTCACTCAGTGAACTGCAAAAAATACTGAAACCTACTGCTCTGTTTGCTAGGTCTATACTAACTTACCTAGGCAGCTAGAACATAGTTTTTCAACAAGAAAGAAGTCTGGATTTGACTTAAAGACATATGCGGTGTTATATATTATAGGAGACACCTGAAATGTCAGTTTTAATTTCTGAACAGTTAGATATCACTTTATTACAGATAAACAGTATATTAGGTTAAGTAATCAGAGTCGCCCAAATCTGTTATTTTACTTTGGAATCAAACATTTTACCACCTTTCACACCCTCCCCCACAAAAAAATCAGCCTCAGCTGATAACTTTTGCACAATAAGCACCTGCTTTCTCTATATTCCAAAAAAGGTACACACTGTGAGAACCTAATATGAGCTGTTATCTCTTGACAGCTATTTGACCTCCAATAAAATCATTTACCACTCCAAGTAACTCTACTGCAAGCTGTAATTACTTACCTATTTCCTGCTGTATAGACGGACTTCAGATCCATACTATTCATTTTAAATCCATTTAGAAATTAAAGTATATCTAGAATACAATAAGTTGACCTCGTTTTTTTTTTTTAATTCCACAATGGCCTTCAATATCATATTTAAATCTTTAACATTGTTAAGACTAGAGCTTCATAAAGCAGGTATTTACTTGTATCAATGAAGCTGCATGTATTCTCTGAGGCTCTATTTTAGACACAACGCTAGGCTGAATTATTTGTTAACAGGGATGTTTTAATATGAACCAGACTCCAGATCTTCTTCATTCCACACACTTCATTTTAAATCATAACCGTAATCTCTCCTACTGGAAAAAAAGCTTTGAAAGACACATTAATTATCTTCTATCTGATAATAGTTCCAAATAAAGTCTAATGTAAAATTATCACAATGTAAAAAACACACATGCACACATCCCTGGAATATTTTTAAATACATCTAAAAAACCAAATATCAAATATTTAAACAGATAATGATATCCAGGCACTTGTAATCCAAAGTATAGATATCTAATTGTTAAGCTGAGCATATTTTAAATTGTACAAACCCCAAGCAGGTTTAGCGATGCAGATTTAACCATATCTGAGAACCCACTTTTCTTGACACCTCCTCACATAAACAAATGTGTCACACACCTGTAGCATAAGACAAACGCCAAAGGCAGTCATTTTAAAAAGTTATCTTCACACTGAAACAACAAAAGAATGGGATTCATACTGGAAGCCAAATCCTCATTTTTTAATTTACTTTTTTTCAACTTTTATTTTACATTCAGGGGGTACATGTGCAGGTTTTTTACCTGGGTCTATTGCATGATGCTGAGGTTTGGGGTACAAATGATCCTATCACCCAGGTACTTAGTATAGTACACAACAGTTAGTTTCCCAACTCTTGTCCCCCTCCATCCTTCCCCCATTTAGTAGTCCCCAGTGTCTACTGTTGCCATCTTCATGTCCATGAGTACCCAGTGTTTAGCTCCCATTTATAAGTGAGAACATGCAGTATTTGATTTTCTGTTCCTGCATTAATTCACTTAGGATAATGGCCTCCAGCTGCATCCATGTTACTGCAAAGGACATGATTTCATTCTTTTGTATGGCTACACAGGATTCCATCATATATATTTACCACACTTTCTTTATCCAATCCACTGTTGATGGGCACCTACATGGATTCCATGTCGTTGCTGTTGTAAATACTGTTGTGATGAACATACAAGTGCGTGTGGTTTTTTGGTAGAACAATTTGTTTTCATTTGAATATATACCCCGTAATGGGATTCTTGGGTCAAATGGTTTCTAATAATTTGAGAAATCTTGAAACAGCTTTCCACACTGACTGAACTAATTTACATTCTCACCAAAAGTGTATAAGCATCTCCTTTTCTACACAGCCTTGCCAAGATCTGTTGTTTTTTGACTTTTTAATAATCACCATTCTAACGGGTGTGAGATGGTATTTCATTGTGGTTTTGATTTGCATTTATCTGATGATTAGTGATGATAAGCATTTTTTCATATGTTTGTTGGCTGTTTGTATGTCTTCTTTTGAAAAGTGTCTGTTTATGTCTTTTGCACCTTTTTAAGGGGGTTCTTTGTTTTTTGCTCGTTCAATGTGTTTAAGTTCCTTACAGATTTCTGGATATTACACCTTTGTCAGATTCAGAGTTTGTGAATAGTTTCTCCCATTCTGTAGGTTGTCTGCTTACTCTGTTGATAGTTTCTTTTGCTGTGCAGAAGCTCTTTAGTTTAATTAGGTCTCACTTGTCAATTTTTGTTTTTGCTGCAATTGCTTTTGAGGACTTTGTCATAAATTCCCAAGGCCAATGGTAAGAAGGGTAATTACCAGGTTTTCTTCTATGATTCTTGTAGTTTGAGGTCTTACATGTAAATATTTAATCCATCTTAAGTTTTCTACATGGTGAAAAGTGGGGGTCCAGTTTCATTCTTCTGCATATGGATAGCCAGCTATCCCCAAACTATTTATTGAATAGGTAATCCTTTCCCTATTCCTTATTTTTGTTGGCATTGTTGAAGATTAAATAGCTGTAAGTCTGTGGCTTTATTTCTGGGTTCTCTACTCTGTTCTATCAGTCTGTGTGTCTGTTTTTTCACCAGAACCATGCTGTTTTGGTTACTGTGGCCTTGTAGTATAGTTTGAAGTCAGGTAATGTGATGCCTCCAGCTTTGTTCTTTTTGCTTAGGATTGCTTTGGCTATTCTGGCTCTTTTGGGGCACCATACGAATTTCAGAATAGTTTTTTTTTTTTCCAATTCTGAGCAAAATAATGTTGGTAGTTTGAGAGGAATAGCATTGGATCTATAGATTGCTTTGGGCAGTGTATCCATTTTACCAAAATTGATTCGTCCAATCCATGCACATGAAATGTTTTTCTACTGTGTCATTTATTATTTCTTTTAGCTGTGTTTTGCAGATCTCTTTGTAGAGATCTTTTGCCCCCTTGATTAGATGTATTCCTAGGTATTTTTTTGCAGCTATTGTAAATGGAACTTTTTTTCATTTATTTACTTTATAGATATGGGATCTCACTATATTGCCCAGGCTGGTCTTGAACTCCTCAGCTCAAGTGATCCTCCTGCTTTGGCGAGCCACCATGCCCAGCCCTGTAAATATGATTGTGTTCTTGATTTGGCTCTCAGCTTGAATATCATTGGTGTATATAAATACTACTGATTTTGGTACACTGATTTTGTATTCTGAAACACTACTGAAGTCATTTATCAGTTCCAGGAGCCTTTTGGTGGAATCTACAGGGTTTTCTATGTATAGAATCATATTTTCCATGAAGAGAGATAGTTTGACGACTTCTTTTCCTATCTGGTTGCCTTTTATTTATTTCTCTTGCCTGATAGCTCTTGCTAGCACTTCCAGTACTGTGTTGAATAGGAGTGGTGAGAGTGAGTATCCTTGTCTTGTTCCAGTTTTCAAGGGAAATGCTTCCAGTTTTTGCCCATTCAGTACAGTGTTGGCTGTGGGTTTGTTATAGATATATGGCTGTTATTATTTTCAGGTATTTTCCTTTGATAACTAAGAAATGATTTTTTGAGTGGTTTTATGATAAATGGATGGTATACTTTATCAAAAGCTTTTTCTGCAGCTGTTGAGATGATCATATATTTTAAAATTCTTTTTATGTGTTGAATCACATTTAGTGATTTGCATATGTTGAATTATCCTTGCATCCCAGTAATGGCACCTACTTGATCATGGCAAATTAACTTTTTGATGTGCTGTTGAATTTGTTTCGCTAGTATTTTGTTGAGGACTTTTGCATCTATGTTCATCATAAGTGGCTTGAAGTTTTCTTTTTTCATTGTGTCTTTGCCAGGTTTTGTTATCAGGGTGATGCTGGATTCATCGGATTCATAGAATGAGTTAGGTAGGAGTCCTTCCTCCTTGATTTTTTTGGAATAGTTTCAGTAGAATTGGTATAAGCTCTTCTTGTATGTCTGGTAGAATTCAATTGTGACTCTATCTGGTCCAGGTCTTCTTTAGGTTGGTAGGTTTTTCACTACTTATTCAATTTTGGAACTTAATGTTGGTCTGTTCAGGGTTTCAATTGCTTCCTAATTCAATTTTAGGAGAATGTTTGTTTCGAGGAATGTATCCATTTCCTCTAGATCTTCTAGTTTCTGCATCTAGAGTTGTTCATAATAGTCTCTGAGGATCTTTTGTATTTACATGGGATTATTTGTAATGTCACCTTTGCCTTTTCAGATTGCGCTTATTTGGATCTTCTCCCTTTTTTTCCTTTGTTAATCTAGCTAATGGTCTATCGATTTTGTTTATCCTTTCAAAGAAGTAACTTTTGACTTTGTTGATCCTCTGTATGAATTTTTGTGTATCAATTTCATTCACTTCCACTCCGACTTTAATTATGTATTTTCTTCTGCTAGCTTTGGGGTTAGTTTTTTCTTGTTTTTCTAGTTCCTCTAGGTGTGACATTAGATTGTTAATGAGATCTTTTTAACTTTTTGAGGTGTTTAGCACTATAAACTCCTCTTAATGCTGCTTTTGCTGCATCTCAGAGATTTTGGTATGTTGTGTCTCTGTTTTATTTCAAAGAATTTTTTGCAAATCCTCAATTTAATGTGGACTTGTTAAACCTGACTCTTTCCTAAATATTAAGTGAGACTGTCTATAAAGCACTTTAACATTTCCTGGGGCTGTAGCAATTGTATATATTTAAAAATATCTACATCTCATAGTAGACCCAAAACAACATGAAACCTTTTAAGAGTCTCACTGATCTTTCTTTCAATAAACTAATAGTTACCTATCCACAAGATATAGAAATATGAAAAAGAGGAAAATTTTTATAATATTAAAATGTTAACATGGGGAGCTTCTCCCATCTTCTTACTAAGCCTCACTACTACTAGTACTATTACTATTACTACAACTTCTAAATGGAGGGATTCTCCCCTGGGATAATTACAACTTCAATTCTCACAGCAGATATTGACATTTTATCACTCATTCTGTTTCTTCTCTCTATTCAGAATACACTTAACAACCCTCATCTTTTTTTTACAAAAATCAATTTAACAACTACATATACATACGTATGTGTGTGTGTGTGACATATATATATCCTAAATTACAAAGACTTAAGTATATAACTCTTCTTAAAAAAAGGTCCATAAATTACAGGAGGTACCTAATGTTATACACATATTACTACCTTCTTTTCCAGAGGCCACCATCTATTAAAAGCTTCCTTGGTGCCCAGTAGTAACCACTTTTGGTATATTATCTCATCTAATCTTCATACAATTTAAGAAGTAGATTTTATTATCACTACCACTTTAGCAATGAGAACAGTGAGGCTTCCAAAAGTAAAGTCAGGTTCCTCACAGCCTGGAGCTCTCCAATTCCAAGTCTCTGAGAAAAGCAATGACTTATATTTTGCCCTAATAAGGGAATGCTTACTACTAAAAGGTAGCCAATTTTTTAGATGTCCTGTTATGATACTTCTCTCCCTGTGACTCCGATTGATATGTATATACAATGGAAACACAAAACAATGAAAGAGTTTGGGAGGCAAATAAAACATCATTAAAATATTCCTTCTGAAGAGGGAAAAGTTTTTATAACGTGGCTTGTAAAATACGTACTAAGGTTACCACATACAAGAATATACCCTTTCCAACAATGACTAAAGCAAAATCTTGTGACTTATCACCTAAAAACAACTTAATTTAAATAAAATGCTAGTAGCACTGAATTAATTGTCATTTCAAAAATTTAAATATATCACTCTCTCTGGGAGGATTATATACAAAGTTTGTTTGTAGCATATGGGGCGAGGGGCAGGTTGGGTGTTGTAGTTGGGCATAGGTTTGCCAGATTAAGTAAATCAAAATCAGGACCCACCCCCCCCCCAAGTAAATTTGTATTTCAGAAATCCCATGAAATATTTAGGACATACTTAACATAAAAAATTATTCATTGTTTATTTGAATTCAGATTTAACTGAGCATCCTGTACTTTGCCAGGCAATCTAAGTTGAGGAGGAAGAATTAAATGGACTCAAACTCAGCTCTAATGTGCTTTTTTTGGTTTTGAGCAACAAGTTAAAGGAAAGTACAACAAAAAAAGCTTTTCCGGCAGGTTTTAACCAAAGGAATGTTTCATTTAATGTTTAGTGAAAACATGAGCTTTACATCCATAACTACTTTATTATTATGTGATCACTAAAATATAGTCCCAAAGTTTGTCGTAGTATACAGATGATTTATGAATGGTTTTCCTTCTCCTTCCTTTACCTTCACAAAAACAAACCCCCAGTGAAGAATTTGGAGCAAATTTAACCAAAAGCAAAAAGTTTAAAAAAAATAATATTATGTTACTATTTTTTTTTTTTGCCAGGTGCAAGGCATCAAGGCCACAGCACTTTAGCGCCTTCTTAATAAACTCACAGAGTGTCAATAACTATTTACCTGCACCTCAAAGCTGCATTCAATGTGAACATTCAAAATAGGACAGAGGAGAGGACCCACAGACCCTCTTAAGGAAGCAGATTGCTCCTGCAGGACCTGGGAGATACCCCAAATACTGTGAGTGCCCCAACTGTGGAAGTGAGAAAGGGAGACCCTCCCCTCCCAAACACACACCCCCACTGAAGAATCTGAAGGTCTGTTTGTGGGAGAAATGTATGACCTTACCTGGAGCTGAGTCAATTTAGAGAGCCGAGTGAAATACAGGGGTAGAGAAAGCAGCAGAAAGGCCCTGGAAGCTTGCTGGGTCCCCAAGCAGCCCATTCCTGCCTGACAAAACAGGGATCCATCAGGAGGGAGGCCAGAGGAGCAGGGGGTAAATCTCCACAGGGAGAAGGAAATCTCTAGCTGACCTTTTTAACAATTTCAATGGGGCAAGAAGCCTCCTGGCCAGAACTAGGGGGAGGGCACAAATCCAGTGTGCAGACTCCACAGGCAGGGAAAGAAGTTTTTCTTTCTCAACTTGGAGGCAGGTAGTCTGGGCAATTTTTCAAGCCAGTCGTGCCCACTGCCTGGAAACAGACTTGGGGCTGTTGGAGGGGGCATGGTGGGAGTGAGACCAGCACTTCGGTTTACATGGGAGCTGGGTGAGGCCTGTGACTCCTGGCTTTCCCCCACTTCCCTGACAACCTGCAGAACTCAGCAGAGGCAGCCATAATCCTCCTAGGTACACAACTCCAGTGACCTGGGCATCTCGACCCCATCCCCTACGGCAGCCACAGCAAGACCGGCCCAAGGACAGCCTGAGCTCAGACACACCTAGCCCTGCCCCCACCTAATGTTCCTTCCCTACTCACCCTGGTAGCAGAAGACAAAGGGCATATAATCTTAGGATTTCTAGGGCCCCACCCACCACCAGTCCCTCTCCATACTACTACAGGTGATGCTCTCTGGAAAGTGCCACCTCCTGGCAGGAGGCCAACCAGCAAAAAAATAGAACATTAAACCACCAAAGCTAAAAACCATAATGGAGTCCACTGCACCCCCCCCTGCCACCTCCACTGGAACAGGCACTGGTATCCATGGCTGACAGACCCATAGGCGGTTCACATCACAGAACTCCATGCAGACAACACCCAGTACCAGCCCAGAGCTGAACAGACTCTCTGGGTAGCTGGATCCAGAAGAGAGACAACAATCACAGCAGTTCAGCTCACAGGAAGCCACATCCATAGGAAACGGAGGAGAGTACTACATCAAGGAAACACCCCGTGGGACAAAAGAATCTGAACAACAGCCTTTGGCCCTAGATCTTCCCTCTGACAGAGCATACCCAAATGAGAATGAAACAGAAAACAAACCCTGGTAATATTACATAACAAGGCTCTTTAACAGCCCCCAAAAATCACACTAGTTCACCAGCAATGGATCCAAACCAAGAAGAAATCCCTGATTTACCTGAAGAGGAATTCAGGAGGTTAGTTATTAAGCTAATCAGGGAGGCACCAGAGAAAGGCAAAGCCCAATGCAAGGAAATCCAAAAACGATACAAGAACTGAATGGAGAAATATTCAAGGAAACAGATAGCTCAAAGAAAAAACAATCAAAAATTTAGGAAACTTTGGACATACTTTTAGATATGGGAAATGTTCTGGACAGTCTCAGCAACCGAATTGAACAAGTAGAAGACAGAAATTGACAGCTTGAAGACAAGGTATTTGAATTAACCCAATCCAACAAAGACAAAGAAAAAAGAATAAGAAAATATGAACAAAGCCTCCAAGAATTCTAGGATTATGTTAAACAACTAAACCTAGGAATAATCCGTGTTCCTGAGGAAGAAGAGAATTCTAAAAGCTTGGAAAACACATTTGGGGGAATAATTGAGGAAAATTTCCCCAGCCTTGATAGAGACATAGACATCCAAATATGAGAAGCACAAAGAATGCCTGGAAAATTCATCACAAAAAGGTCATAGCCTAGGCACATTTTCGTCGGGCTATCCAAAGTTAAGATGAAGGAAAGAATCTTAAGAGCTGTGAGACAAAAACACCAGATAACCTATGAAAACCTATCAGATTAACAGCAGATTTGTCAGCAGAAACCCTACAAGCTATGAGCTATCTATCTTCAGCCTCCTCAAACAAACAAACAAACAAACAAAAAATCAGCCAAGAATTTTGTGTGCAGCAAAACTAAGCATCATACATGAAGGAAAAATATAGCCTTTTTCAGACAAAGGCTAAGAGAATTCACCATTATCAAGCCACCACTACAAAAACCACTAAAAGGAGCTCTAATTCTTGAAACAAATCCTGGAAACACATCAAAACAGAAACTCTTTAAAGCATAAATCATGCAGGACCTATATAACAAAAATACAGGTAAAAGGCCAAAACTAAAAACAAAAAAAAACAGTACATAGACAACAAAGAGCACAATCAATGCAACAGAACCTCACATTTCAATACTAACATTGAATGTAAATGGCCTAAATGCTCCACTTAAAAGATACAAAACCGCAGAATGGATAAGAACTCACCAACCAATTATCTGCTGCCTTCAGGAGACTCACCTAACACATGAGGACTCACACAAACGTAAGGTAAAGAAGTGGAAAGAGACACTTCATGCAAATGGACACCAAAACCGAGCTGGAGTAGCTGTTGTTATATCAGAAGAAACAAACTTGAAAGCAACAGCAGTTAACAAAGACAAAGAGGGACATTATATAATGGTGAAAAGCCTTGTCCAATGGAAAACTATCACAATCTTAAACATATATGCACCTAACATAGGACCTCCCAAATTTATAAAACAATTACTAACAGACCTAAGAAATGAGTTAGACAACAACACAATAACAGTGGGGGACTTCAGTACTCCACTGACAGCACTAGACAGGTCATCAAGACAGAAGGTCAACAAAGAAACAATGGATTTAAACTATACCTCGGAACAAATTGACTTAACAGATACATACAGAACATTTCGTCCAACAACTGCAGAATACATATTCTATTCAACAGTGCATGGAACTTTCTCCAAGACATACCATATGATAGGCCATAAAACAAGCCTGAATAAATTTAAGAAAACTGAAATTATATCAAGCACTCTCTCAGACCGCAGTGGAATAAAACTGGAAATCAACTCCAAAAGTAACCTTCAAAATCATGCAAATACATGAAATTAAATAACCTGTTCCTGAATGATCACTGGGTCAAAAACAAAATCAAGATGGAAATTTAAAAATTCTTCAAACTGAATGACACATACCTCCCAAATAATGACACAACCTCCCAAAACCTCTGGCATACAGCAAAGGCAGTGCTAAGAGGGAAGTTCACAGCCCTAAACACCTACATCAAAAAGACTGAAAGAACACAAACTGACATTCTAAGGTCACACCTCAAGGAACTAGAGAAACAAGAACAAACCAAACCCAAATCCAGCAGAAGAAAGGAAATAACCAAGATCAGAGCAGAACTAAGTGAAATTGAAGCAAAAAAAAAAATATAAGATAAATGAAACAAAAAGCTGGTTCTTTGAAAAGATAAATTAAATTAATAGACTATTAGCAAGATTAACCAAGAAGAGAGAAAATCCAAATGACCTCACTAAGAAATGAAACAGGAGATATTACAACTGACACCAGAGAAATACAAAAGATCATTCAAGGCTACTATGAACACCCTTACACACATAAACTAGAAAACCCAGAAGAGATGGATAAATTCCTGAAAAAAATACAACCCTCCTTGCTTAAATCAGGAAAAATTTGATACCCTGAACAGACCAATAACAACCAGCAAGACTGAAATGGTAATTTAAAAATTACCAACAAAAAAAAAGTCCAGGATCAGATAGATTCACAGAAGACTTCTATGAGACATTCAAAGAAGAATTGAAAACATTCCTTTTGACACTATTCCACAAGACAGAGAAAGAGGGAATGCTCCCTAATTCATTCTATGAAGCCAGCATCACCCTGATAGCAAAACCAGGGAAGGATATGACCAAAAAAGAAAACTACAGACTGATATCCTTGATGAACATAGATGCTAAAATCCTTAACAAAATACTAGCTAACCAATTCCAACAGCACATCAAAAAGATAATCCACCATGATCAAGTGGGTTTCATATCAGGGATGCAGGGATGGTTTAATGTATGCAAGTCAATAAATGTGACACACCACATAAACAGAATTAAAAACAAACATCACAGGATCATCTCAATAGATGCAGAAAAAGCATTCAACAAAATGCAGCATACCTCCATGATTAAAACTCTCAGCAAAATCAGCATAGAAAGGACACAACTTAATGTAATAAAAGCCATCTATGACAAACCCACAGACAACATAATACTAAATGGGGAAAAGTTCAAAGCATTCACTCTAAGAACTGGAACAAGACAAGGATGCCACCCTCACCATTCCTCTTCAACATAGTACTGGAGGTCCTAGCCAGAGCAATCAGACAAGAGAAAGAAATAAGGGGCATCCAAATTGATAAAGTGGAAGTCAGACTGTCACTGTTTGCTGAGGATATGATCTTTTACCTTGAAAACCCTAAAGGCTCCTCCAGAAAGCTCCTAGAACTGATAAAAGAATTCAGCAGTTTCTGGATACAAGATTAATGTACACAAATCAGTAGCTCTTCTATACACAAACAGTACCCAAGCTGAGAATCAAATCAAGAACTCAACCCTCTACAATAGCTGCCAAAAAAAATAAAATCCTTAGGAATTTACCTAAGGAGTTGAAAGACCTCTACAAGTAAAACTTCAAAACACTGCTGAAAGAAATAATAGATGACACAAATGAATGGAAACACATCCCATGCTCATGGATGGGTAGAGTCAATATTGTGAAAATGATCATACTGCCAAAAGCAATCTACAAATTCAATGCAATTCCCATCAAAATACCACCATCATTCTTCACAGAATTAGAAAAAACAATTCTAAAATTCATATGGAACCACAAAAGACCCCACACAGCCAAAGCAAGACTAAGCAGAAAGAACAAACCTGGAAGTGTCACACTACCTGATTTCAAACTATACTATAAGGCCACAGTCATCAAAACAGCATGGCACTGGTACAAAAATAGGCACAAAGACCAATGGAACAGAACAGAGAACTCAGAAATAAACCCAAATACTTATAGCCAACTGATCTTCGACAAAGCAAACAAAAATATGAAGTGGGGAAAGGACACCCTTTTCAACTAATGTTGCTGGGATAATTGGCTAACCACATGTAGGAGAATGAAACTGGATCCTCATCTCTCACCTTATACAAAAATCAACTCAAGATGGATTAAGGGCTGAAATCTAAGACCTGAAACTATAAAAATTCTAGAAGATAACTTTGGCTTACATACATTGGCTTAGCCAAAGATTTCATGACCAGGAACACAAAAGCAAATGCAATAAAAACAAAGATAAATAGCTGGGACTTAATTAAACTAAAGAGCTTTTGCACAGCAAAAGAAACAGTCAGCAGAGTAAACAGACAACCCATATAGTGGGAGAAAATCTTCACAATCTATACATCTGACAAAGGACTAATATCCAGAATCTACGAGGAACTCAAACAAATCAGCAAGAAAAAAAAAAACAAACAATCCCATCAAAAAGTGGGCTAAGGACATGAATAGACAATTCTCAAAAGAAGATATACAAATGGCCAACAAATATATATATATGATGGAATACATATCAAATATATATATATGATGGAATACTAGTCAGCCATTAAAAAAATGAATTAACAGCATTTGCAGTGACCTGGATGAGATTAGAGATTACTATTCTAAGTGATGTAACTCATGAATGGAAAACTAAACATCATATGTTCTCACTAGTATGTGGCAGCTAAGCTATGAGGATGCAAAGATATAAGAATAATATAATGGACTTTAGCAACTTGGGAGGAAAGGGTGGGAGGGGGTCAAGGGATAAAAGACTACAAATATGATGCAGTGTATACTGCTTGGGTGATGGGTGCACCAAAATCTCATAAATCACCACTAAAGAACTTACTCATGTAATCAAATACCACCTGTACCCCAATAACTTATGGAAAAAAATAAATAAGTGAAACCTGAAAGCTTTAAAAAAATAAAACAAATGTTGAAATTATTGCAAAAAAATGGGACAGAAAAACAAGGGAAACTATCATTTTATCTGATTACAATTGCTACATTAATTATCCTTTGTGTCAGGGACTGTGCCAGGTCAGACCCCCTTTCTGCCTCCTTGGAGTCCAGTCTAGTTAGGTATACCAGGATATGCCCAGTAAATGTTATAACAGAGGTCCGTATAGCTTAGTGGTGACTTCCTCCTTCCTGCTCTAAAAGTCAGAGGACTCACACGGGAAACACACAAAAACCGAAAATATGTCCATGTTTTAAACAATTTGCACGTCACAGTTTTTTTCTGCGGTGGGCATTTTGGTTTTGTGCAAGCTGGAAGGAAATGTTGGGAGATTCCTCCAGTGTTGATGTAATGCTAGGTCAGGCTCTCTAGCCTAGTTCTGTTTAGTGTGTGGAATCCCTGGATCACCATATCTATAGCCCGAATCAGCAGGCTAGCAAATCAGCACACAAGGGAGACTGGCCATTCTCCCAGGGGCAATGGCCCAGTCTAAACACAGCACAATTACCTGTGGTCAGGTTTTACTCAAGACTATACAAACAACTGCTAAGGATGGGAGTCAGGAACTTGTATTTTAAAAAAAGAGAGAGAGACTCCACAGGCAATTCTGATGCACACAGCTTTGGTTAAGGACAATACATTACTTAGTCACATAACTCAAATCACATTAGATTGCACTCACATTAGGGTTACACAGGATGTTCATTCACCCTAAGGATAATTTTCTCCCCTCCAGGTGACTAAAGAGAGTCACAAGGCTGAATGTGCTCCTTTTTTTGTCCTATGTCACATACTGACATACTCTAACATTGCTAAACTTTTAAACAAGCAGCTTGCTGAGGCCATGCCAAAGCCCCACCTAGGACAAATACACAGGAAGCATTCAACAGCTCACACAACAGCTTTAATGTTTCAGGAAACAAAAAATAAAAAACAAAAAACTGGACAGGGAGGATGATCTTTTAAATACACTGCATTGCCTTTAAATATGAGGTCATGAACTATATTCACAGGAAAAGCACATTACTCAGATTTTGCTGAGTTTAGTATATAAAGGAGGCAGAAGAGAAGGATGTGTGGTTTAATCCATTGCAACAACAACAAAACGACATAAATGAAGAAATTTTTTCTTATCCCAAGTTCACCAGCAACCCACATACGTATGGCTGAGCAAATAATCTACTCAGTGTTTACTGCACTTTCAAAGAGAGAAATTTATTTCCTTGAAATTCAATAATACAACCAACATATTATGTTTCAAATATTGCACATTTCAAAATCTAAAAAGACATTTTAAATCAATACAGACAATGTTCTCAATCTTGCCTGTTTCACATATATACAACAACATGCAGTCCTGCTGGCTCAATCCCGATTTCCCCATACCAAAGTCAATTCACAAAGCAATCCCTTCACTATATAGATGCTAAGGACCAGAAACAATAAAAGAAAAAATATGTACTCCAGTGGCTTCTATTATCGGACAGTTCCACAGTGCACATTTATGCTGTCACATCAAAATAGAGAAGAGAATAAGCCCCAAAGAGAACAGGGTATGATAACTGATGGCACCTTCCATAACTAGACCTATGTAAATATAGCTCCTCTTACCATAGGCACCTTAAACCAGCCTCCTAGAGGGGCTAAAACAGGTCTTGTGAGAGAGGATGACAATTTTTTAAAGATAAAGGGAATATAAAGCCTCTAATTTGGTTAACAAAAACAAAACTAAAAACAATGTCCCCAGCCTAAATAAGCAGCAATACATTACTAAAAATTGTGGTGGGTCTTTCCATACTATATCAAAACAAGATAAAAATTATCTACAATATCCCAGTATTCATTTTCAAGATAAAAAAGTGAATTCCACATAGAGTTAAATTCATTTTACTGTCTTCTGACAAATCAAGAAGACAGCACTTATGAATGCAATTAGAAGCATGCACAAATCCAAACATGAGGCTTGAAATTCCTTAAATGTGAACAGCTCTTCACAGTTCATAATGAATATTCATGAACAGTATCTTGTTTTAGCCTCCCAGGGGCTCCATGTGATATTTACCAACATCTTCATTTTACAAATGATAAAGGTGAAGCACAGAGATGCTAAACATATTGCCTAAATCACTTCTCTGGATCCTGCTGTCTCCTTCCAAACTTAGAGGAAAAAAAAAAAAGGATTCCACTTACACCCAGGTTTACTACATAACCCAGGTTTTTCTGACTAATGACATATAATCAGGTATTATTTTGTCATATGTGAATGCTAAATGCCATTCCCTCTCCAAGCGCTATAGCAAGGGCACTTCACCTTTACATTATCATGACACTTTGTGAAATCTAAAAAACTAAGGAATCCTCACCCTCTAAAAAAAAAGGCACATATGTGAATGTTCATAGCAGCATTATTCATAATAGCCAAAGAGTGGTAAACCACCCAAATGTTCACCAACTGATGGATAAACAAATTGTGGTATATTCATATAATGGAGTATCATTTAATCATAAAAAGGAAAGATCCCACACGGATGAACCTTGAAAACATGCTAAATGAAATGAGTCACAAAATGACCACATATTGTATGATAATGAAATGTCCAGAATAGACATTTTTTATATGTAATGTGCAGAATGGGCAAACCATTAGAAATAGAAAGTAGATTAATGATTGTCTAGGGCTTTGGGTGGGTTGGGTGAAAATGGGGAGTGACTGTTTAATGGGCATGAGGTTTCTTGCTGGGGTGATGACAAATGTTCTAAAACTGTGGTGATGAATGCACAGCTGTGAACATACTTAAAACCACTGAATTATACACTTTAAATTCTTGAACTGTATGGTCTGTGAATTATATCTCAATAAAGATGTTATTTAAAAACAACTATTAAAAATCTTCATATGAGTAAAATTTCCCAGTTAATTTATGAGGGTTTGTTAAAGCCCTGAACCCATCTACTGGTACGAGGGAGTCGAAGACCCAAGCGTAGTAACTTCTGCTCTATAGAAACAAGAATCATCATCTATTTTTCTTTGTTGTATATGTAAGATTTATTTTGGCTGCCCCTACCCTACCACAACTACAGCAAACCTATGCCTCCTATTTTTTAGGATCACTATTTTGTCTATTAGATAACATAACCACAGTAGTTTTCAATATTGATTCATTAAAAAGAGTAAAATAGTATAGTTTCATAAATATAATTTTAAGAGCTACAAAAAAACTCTAGTAATTGAGCATCTATTATTTGCAAGGCATGGCCGGCATTCAAAAATGTAAAAGATTTCTGCCTTCAAGATGTCATAGGCAGGATAAGATCTATACAAAAATAACAATATACGAAAAAGAAGGTGAATCTTGCATTAAAAAGACCAGGGAAGATAAGCCAGGAATAATGATTAAAGGGAAGCTTCTTGGCAGAGGTGGACAATTATTTAATGCTGTGTTTCACCCTGAAGAATAAGTATCCTGAACGTACATAAAGGAGACACAGGGAATTCCAGATGAGAGCAGAAACAGATATGTTTCAGAATTGTTCCTAGGAACTATGAAGAAGGGCCTTCATCCCAAGCTAAGGGGGCCAGGCATGGTGGCTCACACCTGTAATCCCAACATTTTAGGAGGCCGAGGCACGAGGATTGCTTGAGGCCAGGAGTTCAAGACCATCGTGGACAATATAGCAAGACCTCCATCTCTACAAAAAAATAAAAAATTAGCCGGGGGGCAGTGCCATGTCCCTGTAGTCCCAGCTACTCAGGAGGCTAAGGCAGGAGGATTACTTGAGCCCAGAAGTATGAGGGTACAGTAAGCTGTGATCTCACCACTGCACTCCAGCCTGGGTGACAGAGAAAGATCCTGTCTCAAAAATATCAATCAAGCTAAGGATCCTGGACTTTATTTGGTAGGCTCTGAGAAGCCAAAGAAGGTTGCTGAGTAGGGCAATTACTGAATCAAAGATGTATGTTATGAAGATTGATTGTACAGTAATGTATGGGTGCATGTGGAAGAGAGGAAAAACTGCAAGCAGAGAAACAGTATTATTACAATAGTGTAAGACAAGGTTTCTAGAGTCTGGTTTAGGGAGTGGCATCTGTCATTCAGTAGCCATTTTTAAAAGATCAAGGCATGTCCCCCCAACCCCTGCCACTAAAAAAGGGGTGTTTTGATATGCTGCTCATTTAAAGTGCTGCCAATAAAGAAAATAGCTGTAGTTCATCATGGTACATATTTCCCTGGAGAAAACCCATTTACAACGTAGGTTTAGAAATTTCAAAATTACATTTTAACATGAAGTTCTGGCTACATTGGTTTGTGGGATTAGGAAGGGCCAAAGGCTCCTTTAGGCTCCCTTTGATCCATTAACTATGTTCTGTGAGTTTACAGTGAAAAATGATAAGAGTTGGACGATAAGCTTTCATGTGATCAAGTAAACCTGAACTCCAAGACTAAAAGACCTTGTTTGCAGTAGCAAATACTAAAGGGTCAGGGCCTGAATAGAATTTCCTTGAAATTGCTTTATTTCTATTTATGAACCTGAGGTGATTGGTGGTAGTGCATAACCTTGGATAGTAACCATTTCTGGGTTATAGGTTTACCATGTGGACAAGCACTGCCCACATAGTATAGGGGAGTTTACCTGCCTGGAATGGCCAAGGAGTTGTCTTTCCTGGGAGAGACAAAGAGCCCAGAGGCTACCTAAAGTCTTCCTCCCCACCCAAAGTGATGTTAGACACCGGAACTTGGAAAGAGAAGGTTGGCGTTCGAGTTACACGACACACACACACACACACACACACACACACACACACACACACCAAATAAAAGGTCTTACCCCAATCTCCAAAGTTTGCCAAGGCCAAGAACACTGTCTCTTAGCCCTTTTACTTCCAATCCCCGCCCACAGCCTGCAAGACCCTCCACTTCCCTTTCCCCTTCCGCTCTTGGCTTACTTGTCACGGATGATGGTCTGTAGCTCCCGTATCTGATCATTCATAGGCAGCAGCTTAAGCTGCGCCCCGATCTGCCGGGAGAGTTCGCAGTCCTCTAGGAAGGAGTTGCCAGCTGGTGCGTCATAGCTGCTACTGTCACCACTACCACTGTTGCCCTCTGAGTTGAGGCTGGAGCCGCCGCAGGCCCCAGAGTCCAGCTCGGCCGGCAGGCTAGAATGGGCGTACCCCGTGAGGAGAATCACCTTGGCCCTGGAGGCTCTGTTTCCCCCTGCGTGGTCCAGGATCAGATCGCCAGGTCGCAGCTGCTCGGGACTTGGGGTTGAGGCAGAGTTTACTTGCTGGTTGTGACAGGGCATGGAGTCCGGACACTGTAACTCCGTGGCCATACACCGGGCCCCGGGCTATCCCCGCTGCTACTGAACACTAAAGATAAAGAGGAACGGGTAGAAAGGACAGATGCTCACGTGCTCTCTCGGTTGCTCCCGCCTCCTCAGAACATCTAACCCTGGCTGTCCTTTCACCCCTAGGCCGCTGTTGGTTTCCTTTAGCACACTTTGGCTCACTCCCGCCCACACCAGACGTACTGCCTGCCTAGACACCCTATTGGCTGCACTCCCCGCCACTCTGCGGCGCCACTGCTTGTTAACCCTTTGAGTCACCCTTGCTACGTGGGTTCCCACAGGTAGCTAAGCCCCCGCAGCGAGGCCAAGGATGCCAGCTTGAAGGATCTTCCGGGGGCCCCTGGGGCTTCTGCATTCAGAACTTTGGGTGATTAGTAGAGCCAGGAAAAACTGGGGGTGGCAGGTGATGATACACAGTTACACACGTAAGGCCCATGTTTTCAGACTTTGTGACCTAGCAGAGAAATTATATCTCAGTAACCGCATCTTCAGTTAGCTTGTCTGCATAACAGAAGGAAGAAGTAAAAAAATGCCTAGCAGGCTGCTGAAGAGGCTGTCCTCTACTAGACTGTTCTAGAAACTGCAGCTTCCCAAGTATGCTTGACCGCCAAAGCTTTTCTTATCTTTATTGGTTGGGCCCCACAGTGTACACGTTGTCATGGGGACTCAGGCGGCATTTCAGATCCACTATCATTTTGAATCTTTAAAGTACTTGGAAAGACGCTTATTTTTAAGTGTATGGACTCACTATAACGGCCTGAGGTAAGAGTGTCTAGGGCAGTACTTTTCAAACATCAGTATGTACCACAATAATTGTAGAGCTTGTTAAAATGCAGGTTCTTACGGCTCATTTTTGAGATTGTGATTCTGTAGATCCGAGATGGGATACAAGAATCTTTTTTTTTTTTTAACTTTTAAGTTCAGGGATATATGTGCAGGTTTGTTACATAGGTTAACTTCTGTCATGGGGGCTTGTTGTAAAGATTATTTCATCGCCCAGGTATTAAGCCTAGTACCCACTAGTTGTCTTTCCTGATCCTCTCCCTTCTCACACCATGCACTCTGCAGTAGGCTCCAGTGTGTGTTGTTCCCCACTATGTGTCCATGTGTTCTCATCATTTAGCTCCCACTTATAAGTGAGAACATGCAGCATTTGGTTTTCTGTTCTTGTGTTAGTTTGCTAAGGATAATAGGCTCCAGCTCCATCCATGTCCCTGCAAAGGACATGATCTCATTATTTTTTATGGTTGCATAGTATTCCATGGTGTATATGTACCACATTTTCTTTATCCATTCTATCATTAATGGGTAGTTAGGTTGATTCCATGTCTTTGTTATTGTAAATAGTGCTGGAGTTAACATATGTGTGCATGTGTCTTTAATAAAACAATAATTTATGTTCCTTTGGGTATATACCCAGTAATGGGATTGCTGAGTTGAATGGTATTTCTGTCCTTCCTTTTTTTAACATGCCTATACAGATTTTTTTATAATTTTTTTTTTATTTCCATAGGTTATTGGGGAACAGGTGCTGTTTGGTTAGATGAGTAAGTTCTTTAGTGGTGATTTGAGAGATTTTGGTGCATCCATCACTCGAGCAGTATACACTGTACCCTATTTGTAGTCTTTTATCTCTCAAGCCCTTCCCACCCTTTTCCTCCAAGACCCCAAAGTTCATTGTATCATTCATATGCCTTTGTATCCATCATAGCTAAGCTCCCACTTATGAGTGAGAACATACAATGTTTGGTTTTCCATTCCTGAGTTACTTCACTTAGAATATTAGTCTCCAATCTCATCCAGGTCGCTGCAAAAGCCATTAATTCATTCCTTTTTATGGCTGAGTAGTATTCCATATATATATACATATATATATATACACATATATATATGTGTATATATATATATACATATATATGTATATATACACATATATATACACATATATATGTGTATATATATATATATCTCACAGCTTCTTTATCCACTCATTGATTGATGGACATTTGGGTTGGTTCCACGTTTTTGCAATTGCGAATTATGCTGCTATAAACATGCGTGTGCAACTATCTTTTCTGTATAATGACTTCTTTTCCTCTGGGTAGATACCCAGTAATGGGATTGCTGGATGAAATGGTAGTTCTACTTTTAGTTCTTTAAGGAATCTCCACACTGTTTCCATTAGTTGACATTCCTACCAGCAGTGTAGCAGTGTTCCCTGTTTGCCACATCCATGCCAACATCTACTATTTTTTAATTTCTTTGATTATGGCCATTCTTGCAAGAGTAAGGTGGTATTAAATTGTGGTTTTAATTTGCATCTCTCTGATAATTAGTGATGTTGAGCATTTTTTAATACATTTCTTGGCCATTTGTATATCTTCTTTTGAGAATTGTCTATTCATGTCCTTAGCCCACTTTTTGATGGGATTGTTTGTTTTTGTCTTTCTGATTTGAGTTCCTCGTACATCCTGGATATTAGTCCTTTGTCAGATGTATAGATTGTGAAGATTTTCTCCCACTGTATGGGTTGTCTGTTTACTCTGCTGACTGTTCCTTTTGCTGTGCAAAAGCTCTTTAGTTTAATTAAGTCCCAGCTATTTATCTTTGTTTTTATTGCATTTGCTTTTGTGTTCCTGGTCATGAAATCTTTGGCTAAGCCAATGTCTATAAGGGTTTTTCCAAAGTTATCTTCTAGAATTTTTATAGTTTCAGGTCTTAGATTTCAGTCCTTAATCCATCTTGAGTTGATTTTTGTATGAGGTGAGAGATGAGGATCCAGTTTCATTCTCCTACATGTGGTTAGCCAATTATTCCAGCACCATTAGTTGAAAAGGGTGTCCTCTCCCCACTTTATATTTTTGTTTGCTTTGTCGAAGATCAGTTGGCTGTATTTGGATTTATTTCTGATTTTGTGTTTTGTTCCATTGGTCTGTGGGTATATTTTAATACCAGTACCATGCTGTATTCGTAACTATTGCCTTATAGCATAGTTTGAAACCAGGTAATATGATGCCTCCAGATTTATTCTTTTTGGCTATATGGGCTATTTTGCTTCAATATGAATTTTAGAATTGTTTTTTCTAATTCTGTGAAGAATGATATTAGTATTTTGATGAGAATTGCATTGAATGTGTAGATTGCTTTTGGCATTATGATCCTGTTCACAATATTGATTCTACTCGTCCATGACATGGGTTATGTTTCCATTTGTTTGTGTCGTCTATGATTACTTTCAGAAGTGTTTTGAATTTTCCTTGTAGAGGTCTTTCACCTTCTTGTTTAGATATATTCCTAAGGATTTTTTTTTCACATAAAGTGTTTATTTTTTCCTTATTATACTTTAAGTTCTGGGGTATTTGTGCAAAACGTCCAGATTTGTTACATAGGTATACATGTGCCATGGAGGTTTTCTGCACCCATCAACCCATCGCCTACATTACGTAGTTTTCCTAATGCTATCCCTCCCCTAGCATCCCAACCCTGAAAGACCACAGCATGTGATGTTCCCCTCCGTGTATCTATGTGTTCTCATTGTTCAACTCACACTTATGAGTGAGAATATGAGGTGTTTGGTTTTCTGTTCTTGTGTTAGTTTGCTGAGAATGATGGTTCCCAGCTTCATCCATGTCCCTGCAAAAGACATGAACTCATCCTGTTTTTATAGCTGCATGGTAATCCATGGTATCTATGTGCCACATTTTCTTTATCCAGTCTAAAATTGATGGGCACTTGGGTTGGTTCCAAGTCTTTGCTATTGTGAATAGTGATACAATAAACACATGTGTGCCTGTGTCTTTATAGTAGAATGATTTATAATCCTTTGGGTATATACCCAGTAATGGAATTGCTGGGTCAAATGGTATTTCTGGTTCTAGATCCTTAAGGAATCCCCACACTATCTTCCACAATGGTTGAACTAATTTACACTCCGACCAACAGTGTAAAAGCGTTGCTATTTCTCCACATCCTCTCCAGCATCCGTTGTTTCCTGACTTTTTAATGATCACCATTCTAATTGGCGTGCGATGGTATGTTATTGTGGTTTCAATTTGAATTTCTCTAATGACCAGTGATGATGAGCTTTTTTTCATATGTTCGTTGGCTGCATAAATGTTTTCTTTGGAGAAGTGTCTGTTCATATCCTTCACCCACTTTTTGATGGGGCTGTTTGTTTTTTTCTTGTAAATTTATTTACGTTTTTATAGATTCTGGATATTAGCCCTTTGTCAGATGGGTAGATTGCAAAAATTTTCTCCCATTCTGTAGGTTGCCTTTTCACCCTTATGATAGTTTCTTTTGCTGTGCAGAAGCTCTGTTGTATAATTAGATCTCATTTGTCCATTTTGGCTTTTGCTGCCATTGCTTTTGCTGTTTTAGTCATGAAGTCTTTGACCATGCCTATGTCCTGAATGGTATTGCCTAGGTTTTCTTTTAGGGTTTTTATGATTTTAGGTCTTGTGTTTAAGTCTTTAATCCATCTTGAGTTACTTTTTGTATAAAGTGTTAGAAAGGGGTCCAGTTTCAGTTTTCTGCATATGGCTAGCCTGTTTTCCCAACACCATTTATTAAATAGGAAATCATTTTCCCATTGCTTGTTTTTGTCAGATTTGTCAAAAATCAGATGGTTGTAGATGTATGGTGTTATTTCTGAGGCCTCTGTTCTGTTCCATTGGACTGTATATCTGTTTTGGTACCAGTACCATGCTGTTTTGGCTACTGTAGCCTGGTAGTAGAGTTTGAAGTCAGGTAGCATGATGTCTCCAGTATTGTTCTTTTTGCTTAGGATTTTCTTGGCAATGTGGGCTCTTTTTTGGTTCCATATGAAATGTAAAGTAGATTTTCCAGTTCTGTGAAGAAAGTCAGTGGTAGCTTGATGGGAATAGCATTGAATCTATAAATTCATTTGGGCAGTATGGCCATTTTCACGATATTGGTTCTTCCTATCCATAAGCATGGAATGTTTTTCCATTTGTTCGTGTTCTCTCTTATTTCCTTGAGCAGTGGTTTCTAGTTCGCCTTGAAGAGGTCCTTCACACCCCTTGTAAGTTTTATTCCTAGGTATTTTATTCTCTTTGTAGCAATTGTGAATAGGAGTTCACTCATTATTTGGTTCTCTGTCTGTTATTGGTGTATAGGAATGCTAGTGATTGTTGCACAGTGATTTTGTATCCTGAGACTTTGCTGAAGTTGCTTATCAGCTTAAGGAGATTTTGGGCTGAGATAATGGGGTTTTCTAAATGTACAAACATGTCATCTGCAGACGGAGACAATTTGACTTCCTCTGTTCCTATTTGAATACCCTTTATTTCTTTCTCTTGCCTGATTGCCCTGGCCAGAACTTCCAATACTATGTTGAATAGGAGTGGTGAGAGAGGCCATCCTTGTCTTGTGCTGGTTTTCAAAGGGAATGCTTCCAGCATTTGCCCATTCAGTATGATATTGGTTGTGGGTTTGTCATAAATAGCTCTTATTATATTGACATACATTCCATCAATACCTAGTTTATTGAGAGTTTTTAGCATGAAGGGCTGTTGAATTTTATCAAAGGCCTTCCCTGCATCTGTTGAGATAATCATGTGGTTTTTGTCATTGGTTCTGTTTATCTGATGAGTTACATTTATTGATTTGCATATGTTGAACCAGCCTTGCATCCCAGGGATGAAGCCAACTTGATCGTGACAGACAAGCTTTTTGATGTGCTGCTGGATTTGGTTTGCTAGTATTTTATTGAGGATTTTCACCTTGATGTTCATCAGGGGTATTGGCCTGAAATTTTCTGTTTTTGTTGTGTCTCTGCCAGGTTGTGGTACCAGGATGATGCTGGCATCATATAATGAATTAGGGAGGAATTCCTCTTTTTCTATTGTTTGGAATAGTTTCAAACGGAATGGTACAAGCTCCTCCTTGTACCTCTGGTAGATTTTGGCTGTGAATCTGTCTGGTCCTGGACTTTTTTTTGTTGGTAGGCTATTAATTACTGCCTCAATTTCATAATTTGCTATTGCTATATTCAGGGATTAGACTTCTTCCTGGGTTAGACTTGGGAAGGTGTATCTGTCCAGGAATTTATTCATTTCTTCTAGATTTTCTAGATTATTTAGGTAGAGGTGTTTATAGTTTTCACTGATGGTCATTTGTATTTCTGTGGGACCAGTTGTGATATACCCTTTATCATTTTTTATTGTGTCTATTTTATTCTTCTCTCTTTTCTTCTTTATTAGTCTGGCTAGCGGTCTAATTTGTTGATCTTTTCGAAAAACCAGCTCCTGGATTCATTGATTTTTTTTGAGGGTTTTTTGTGTCTCTATCTCCTTCAGTATTGCTCTGATCTTAGTTATTTCTTGTCTTCTGCTAGCATTTAAATTTGTTTGCACTTTCTTCTCCAGTTCTTTTAATTGTGATGTTAGCATGTTGATTTTGGATCTTTCCTGCTTTCTCTTGTGGGCATTTAGTGCTATAAATTTCCCTCTAAACAATGCTCTAAATGTGTCCCAAAGATTCTGCTATGTTGTGTCTTTGTTCTCATTGGTTTCAAAGAAAATCTTTATTCCTACCTTAATTTCGTTATTTACCCAGTAGTCATTCAGGAGGAGGTTGTTCAGTTTCCATGTAGTTGTGCAGTTTTGAGTGAGCTTCTAAGTCTGGAGTTATTTTTCTTTTTTTTATACTTTAAGTTCTAGGGTACATGTGCACAACGTGCAGGTTTGTTACGTATGTATACATGTACCATATTGGTGTGCTGCACCCATTAACTCGTCATTTACATTAGGTATATCTCCTAATGCTATCCCTCCCACCTTCACACACCCCACGACAGGCCTTGAACTGTGATATTCCCCTTCCCATGTCCAAGTGTTCTCATTGTTCAATTCCCACCTATGAGTGACAACATATGATGTTTGGTTTTGTGTCCTTGTGATAGTTTGCTGAGAATGATGGTTTCCAGCTTCATCCGTGTCCCTACAAAGGTCATGAGCTCATCCTTTTTTATGGCTGCATAGAATATGTGCAACATTTTCTTAATCCAATCTATCACTGATGGACATTTCGGTTGGTTCCAAGGCTTTGTTATTGTGAATAGTGCCTCAATAAACATACATGCGCATGTGTCTTTATAGCAGCATGATTTATAATCCTTTGGGTATATACCCAGTAATTGGATGGCTGGGTCAAATGGTATATCTAGTTCTAGATCCTTGACGAATCGCCATACTGTCTTCCACAATGATTGAACCAGTTTACAGTCCCACCAACAGTGTAAAAGTGTTCCTATTTCTCCACATCCTCTCCAGAACCTGTTATTTCCTGACTTTTTAATGATCGCCATTCTAACTGGTGTGAGATGGTATCTCACTGTGGCTTTGATTTGCATTTCTCTGATGGCTAGGGATGATGAGCATTTTTTCATGTGTCTGTTGGCTGCATAAATGTCTTCTTTTGAGAAGTGTCTGTTCATATTCTTCACCCACTTTTTGATGGGGTTGTTTTTTTAATTCTAAATGTGTTTCGGTTATTTGTAGATTCTGGATATTAGCCCTTTGTCAGATGAGTAGATTGCAAACATTTTCTCTCATTCTGTAGGTTGCCTGTTCACTCTGATGGTAGTTTCTTTTGCTGTGCAGAAGCTCTTTAGTTTAATTAGATCCCAACTGTCAATTTTGTCTTTTATTATCATTGCTTTTGGTGTTTTAGACATGAAGTACTTGCCAATGCCTATGTCCTGAATGGTATTGCCTAGGTTTTCTTCCAGGGTTTTTATGGTTTTAGGTCTAACATTTAAATCTTTAATCCATCTCGAATTAATTTTATTATAAGGTGTAAGGAAGGGATCCAGTTTCAGCTTTCTACATATGGCTAGCCAGTTTTCCCAGCACCATGTATTAAATAGGGAATCCTTTCCCCATGGGTAGTTTTTGTCAGATTTGTCAAAGATCAGATGGTTGTAGATATGCGGCATTATTTCTGAGGGCTCTGTTCTGTTCCATTGGTCTATATCTCTGTTTTGGTACCAGAACCATGCTGTTTTGGTTACTGTAGCCTTGTAGTATACTTTGAGGTCTGGTAGCATGATGCCTCCAGCTTTGTTGTTTTGGATTAGGATTGACTTGGCAATGTGGGCTCTTTTTTGGTTCCATATGAACTTTAAAGTAGTTTTTTCCAATTCTGTGAAGAAAGTCATTGGTAGCTTGATGGGGATGGCATTGAATCTCTAAATTACCTTGGGCAGTATGGCCATTTTCACAATATTGATTCTTCCTACCCATGAGCATGGAATGTTCTTCCATTTGTTTGTATCTTCTTTTATTTCATTGAGCAGTGGTTTGAAGTTCTCCTTGAAGAGGTCCTTCACATCCCTAACAAAAAGAAAGGACATCCACACCAAAACCCCATCTGTATGTCACCATCATCAAAGACCAAAGGTAGATAAAACCACAAAGATGGGGGAAAAACAGCAGAAAAACTGAAAAATCTAAAAATCAGAGTGCCTCGCCTCCTCCAAAGGAACACAGCTCCTCACCAGCAACAGAACAAAGCTGGACAGAGAATGACTTTGAAGAGTTTAGAGAAGAAGGCTTCAGATGATCAAACTACTCCGGGCTAAAGGAGGAAGTTTGAACCCATGGCAAAGAAGTTAAAAACATTGAAAAAAGATTAGACAAATGGATAACTAGAATAACAAATGCAGAGAAGTCCTTAAAGGACCTGACAGAGCTGAAAACCACAGCACAAGAACTACGTGACAAAGGCACAAGCCTCAGTAGCCAATTCGATCAACTTGAAGAAAGGGTATAAGTGATGGAAGATCAAATGAATGAAATGAAGTGAGAAGAGAAGTTTAGAGAAAAAAGAATAAAAAGAAATGAACAAAGCCTCCAAGAAATATGGGACTATGTGAAAAGAACAAATATATGTCTGATTGGTGTACCTCAAAGTGATGGGGAGAATGGAACCAAGTTGGAAAACACTCTGCAGGATATTCTCCAGGAGAACTTCCCCAATCTAGCAAGGCAGGCCAACATTCAAATTCAGAAAATACAGAGAATGCCACGAAGATACTCCTCGAGAAGAGCAACTCCAAGACACATAATTGTCAGATTCACCAAAGTTGAAATGAAGGAAAAAATGTTAAGGGCAGCCAGAGAGAAAGGTCGGGTTACCCACAAAGGGAAGCCCATCAGACTACCAGCTGATCTCTTGGCAGAAACTCTACAAGCCAGAAGAGAGTGGGGGCCGATATTCAACATTCTTAAAGAAAAGAATTTTCAACCCAGAATTTCATATCAGCCAAACTAAGCTTCATAAGTGAAGGAGAAATAAAATCCTTTACAGACAGGCAAATGCCGAGAGATTTTGTCACCACCAGGCCTGCCCTAAAAGAGCTCCTGAAGGAAGCACTCAACATGGAAAGGTACTAGTCACTGCAAAAACATGCCAAACTGTAGAGACCATCGAGGCTGGGAAGAAACTGCATCAACTAACGAGCAGAATAACCAGCTAACGTCATAATGACAGGATCAAATTCACACATAACAATATTAACATTAAATGTAAATGGGCTAAATGTTGCAATTAAAAGACACAGACTGGAAAATTGGATAAAGAGTCAAGACCCATCAGTGACACACAAAGGCTCAAAATAAAGGGATGGAGGAAGTTCTACCAAGCAAATGGAAAACAAAAAAAGGAAGGGGTTGCAATCCTAGTCTCTGATAAAACAGACTTTAAACCAACAAAGATCAAAAGAGACAAAGAAGGCCATTACACAATGGTAAAGGGATCAATTCAACAAGAAGAGCTAACTATCCTAACTATATATGCACCCAATACAGGAGCACCCAGATTCATAGAGCAAGTCCTTAGAGACCTACAAAGAGACTTAGACACCCACACAATAATAATGGGAGACTTTAACACTCCACTGTCAACATTAGACAGATCAATGAGACAGAAAGTTAACAAGGATCTCCAGGAATTGAACTCAGCTCTGCACCAAGTGGACCTAATAGACATCTACAGAACTCTCCACCCCAAATCCACAGAATATACATTCTTTTCAGCACCACACCACACCACACCTATTCCAAAACTGACCACATAGTTGGAAGTAAAGCACTCCTCAGCAAATGTAAAAGAACAGAATTTATAACAAACTGTCTCTCAGACCACAGTGCAATCAAACTAGAACTCAGGATTAAGAAACTCACTCAAAACTGATCAACTACATGGAAACTGAACAACCTGCTCCTGAATGACTACTGGGTACATAACGAAATGAAGGCAGAAATAAAGATGTTCTTTGAAACCAACGAGAACAAAGACACAACATACCAGAATCTCTGGGACACATTCAAAGCAGTGTGTAGAGGGAAATTTATAGCACTAAATGCCCACAAGCGAAAGCAGGAAAGATCCAAAATTGACACCCTAACATCACAATTAAGAGAACTAGAGAAGCAAGAGCAAACACATTCAAAAGCTAGCAGAAGGCAAGAAATAACTAAGATCAGAGCAGAACTGAAGGAAATAGAGACACAAAAAACCCTTCAAAAAATTAATGAATCCAGGAGCTGGTTTTTTGAAAAGATCAACAAAATTGATAGACTGCTAGCAAGACTAATACAGAAGAAAAGAGAGAAGAATCAAATAGATGCAAAAAAATGATAAAGGATATATCACCACCGATCCCACAGAAATACAGACTACCATCAGAGAATACTATAAACACATCTATGCAAATAAACTAGAAAATCTAGAAGAAATGGATAAATTCCTGGACACATACACCCTCCCAAGACTAAACCAGGAAGAAGTTGAATCCCGGAATAGACCAATAACAGGCTCTGACATTGAGGCAATAATTAATAGCCTACCAACCAAAAAAAGTACAGGGCCAGATGGATTCACAGCTGAATTCTACCAGAGGTACAGGGAGGAGCTGGTACCATTCCTTCTGAAACTATTCCAATCAATAGAACAAGAGGGAATCCTCCCTAACTCATTTTATGAGGCCAGCATCATCGTGATACCAAAGCCTGGCAGAGATACAACAAAAAAAAGAGAATTTTAGACCAATATCCCTGACTAACATCAATAGTCCTGAGTTCTAATTTGATTGCACTGTGGTCTGAGAGGCTGTTTGTTATGATTTCTGTTCTTCTGCATTTGCTGAGGAGTATTTTACTTCCAAGTATATGGTCAATTTCAGAATAAGTGCGATGAGGTGCAGAGAAGAATGCATATTCTGTTGATTTGGGGTGGAGGGTTCTGTAGATGTGTATTAGGTCTGCTTGGTCCAGAGCTGAGTTCAAGTCCTGAATCTCCTTGTTCATTTTCTGTCTCATTGATCTGTCAAATATTGACAGTGGCATGTTAAAGTCTCCCACTATTTTTGTGTGGGAATCTAAATCTCTTTGTAGGTCTTTTAGAACTTACTTTATGAATCTGGGTGCTCCTGTATTAGATTCATATATATTTAGGATAGTTAGCTCTTCTTGTTGCCTTGATTCCTTTACCATTATGTAATGCCCTGCTCTGTCTCTTTTGATCTTTGTTAGTTTAAAGTCTGTTTTATCATAGACCAAGATTGCAACCCCTGCAGTTTTTTGTTTGTTTGTTTGTTTGTTTTGCTTTCCATTTGCTTGGTAAATTTTCCTCCATTTCTTTATTTTGAGCCTTTGTGTGTCTTTGCACGTGAGATGGGTCTTCTGAATACAGCACACCGATGGGTCTTGAATCTTCATCCAATTTGCCAGTCTGTGTCTTTTATTTGGATCATTTAGCCTATTTACATTTAAGTTTAATATCATCATGTGTAAATTTGTTCCTGTCATTATGATGCTAGCTGGTTATTTTGCCCATTAGTTGAGGTACTTTTTTCATGGTGTTGATGGTCTTTACAATTTGGTATGTTGCTGCAGTGGCTGGCACTGGTTGTTCTTTCCATGTTTAGTGCTTCCTTCAGGAGCTCTTGTAAGGCAAGTCTGGTGGTGACAAAATCCATCAGCATTTGCTTGTCTGTAAAGGATTTTATT
The DNA here is from genome assembly GCF_000001405.40 of Homo sapiens. NCBI lineage: Eukaryota > Metazoa > Chordata > Mammalia > Primates > Hominidae > Homo > Homo sapiens. The sequence continues at coordinate 75,262,204 of NC_000023.11, read as the reverse complement.
TCTCCTTCTCTTATGAAGCTTAGTTTGGCTGGATATGAAATTCTGGGTTGAAAATTCTTTTCTTTAAGAATGTTGAATATTGGCTCCCACTCTCTTCTGGCTTGTATCATTTCTGCGGAGGCATCTGTTGTTAGTCTGATGGGCTTCTTTTTGTGGGTAAGCTGACCTTTCTCTCTGGCTGCCCTTAACATTTTTTCCTTCATTTCAACCTTGGTGAATCTGAATATTATGTGTCTTGGAGTTTCTCTTCTCGAGGAGTATCTTTCTGGTGTTCTCCATATTTCCTGAATTTGAATGGTTCTGTTTATGTGATGGATTATGTTTATTGATTTGCATATATTGAACCAGCCTTGCATCCCAGGGATGAAGCCCACCTGATCGTGGTGGGTAAGCTTTTTGATCTGCTGCTGGATTCGATTTGCCAGTATTTTATTGAGGATTTTCGCATCAATGTTCATCAGGGATGTTGCTAAAATTCTCTTTTGTTTATTGTATCTCTGCCAGGCTTTGGTATCAGGATGATGTTGGCCTCATAAAATGAGTTAGGGAGGATTCCCTCTTTTTCTATTGATTGGAATAGTTTCAGAAGGATAGGTACCAGCTCCTCTTTGTACCTCTAGTCAAATTCAGCTGTGAATCATTCCGGTCCCAGACTTTGGTTGGTTGGTAGGCAGGCTATTAATTATTGCTTCAATTTCAGAGCGTGTTATTGGTGTATTCAGAGATTCAACTTCTTCCTGGTTTAGTCTTGGGAGGGTGTATGTGTCCAGGAATTTATCCATTTCTTCTAGACTTTCTAGTTTATTTGGGTAGAGGTGTTTATGGTATTCTCTGATGGTAGTTTGTATTTCTTTGGGATCTTTGGTGATATCCCCTTTATCATTTTTTATTGTGGATTCATTGATTTTTTTGTAGGGTTTTTTGCATCTCTATCTCTTTCAGTTCTGCTCTGATCTTAGTTATTTCTTGCCTTCTGCTAGCTTTTGAATTTGTTTGCTCTTGCTTCTCTAGTTCTTTTAATTGTGATGTTAGGGTGTCAATTTTGGATCTTTCCTGCTTTCTCTTGTGGGCATTTAGTGCTATAAATTTCCCTCTACACACTGCTTTAAATGTGTCCCAGAGATTCTGGTATGTTGTATCTTTGTTCTCATTGGTTTCAAAGAACATCTTTATTTCTGCTTTCATTTCGTTATTTAACCAGTAGTCATTCAGGAGCAAGTTGTTTAGTTTCCATGTAGTTGTGCAGTTTTGTGTGAGTTTCCTAATCCTCAGTTCTCATTTGATTGCACTGTGGTCTGAGAGACAGTTTGTTGTGATTTCTGTTCTTTTACATTTGCTGAGGAGTGCTTTACTTACAATTATGTGGTCAATTTTAGAATACATGTGATGTGGTGCTGAGAAGAATGTATATTCTGTTGATTTGGGGTGGAGAGTTCTGTAGATGTCTATTAGGTCTTCTTGGTGAAGAGCTGAGTTCAAGTCCTGGATACCTTTGTTGACCTTCTATCTCATTGATCTGTCTAATGTTGACAGTGGAGTGTTAAAGTCTCCCGTTATTATTGTGTGGGAGTCTAAGTCTCCTTGTAGGTCTCTAAGGACTTGCTTTATGAATCTGGGTGCTCCTGTATTCAGTGCATATATATTTAAAATAGTTAGCTCTTCTTATTGAATTGATCCACTTACCATTTTGTAATGTCCTTCTTTGTCTCCTTTGAACTTTGTTGGTTTAAAGTCTGTTTTATCAGAGACTAGGATTGCAACCTCTGCTTTTTTTTTGCTTTCCATTTGTTTGGTAGATCTTCCTCCATCCCTTTATTTTGAACCTATGTGCGTCTGCACGTGAGATGGTCTCCTGAATACAGCACACTGATGGGTCTTGACTCTTTATCCAATTTGCCAGTCTGTGTCTTTTAATTGGAGCATTTAGCCCATTTACATTTAAGGTTAATATTGTTATGTGTGAATCTAATCCTGTCATTATGATGTTAGCTGGTTATTTTGCCCATTAATTGATAGTTTCTTCCTAGCATCAATTGTCTTTACAATTTGGCATGTTTTTGCAGTGGCTGGTACCCGTTGTTTCTTTTCATGTTGAGTGCTTCCTTCAGGAGCTCTTGTAAGGCAGGCCTGGTGGTGATAAAATCTCTCAGCATTTGCTTGTCTGTAAAGGATTTTATTTCTCCTTCACTTATGAAGCTTAGTTTGGCTGGATGTGAAATTCTGGGTTGAAAATTCTTTTCTTTAAGAATGTTGAATATTGGCCCCCACTCTCTTCTGGCTTGTATGGTTCCTGCAGAGAGATCTGCTATTAGTCTGATGGGCTTCCCCTTTGTGGGTAACTCGACCTTTCTCTCTGGCTGCCCTTAACAGTTTTTTCCTTCATTTCAACCTTGGTGAATCTATTATGTGTCTTGGGGTTGCTCTTCTCGAGGAGTATCTTTGTGGTGTTCTCCGTACTTCCTGAATTTGAATGTTGGCATGTCTTGCTATGTTGGGGAAGTTCTCCTGGATAATATCCTGCAGTGTTTTCCAACTTGTTTCCATTCTCCCCATCACTTTCAGGTACACCAATTAAATGTAGATTTGGTCTTTTCACATAGTGCCATATTTCTCAGAGGCTTTGTTTGTTCCTTTTCATTCTCTTTTCTCTGATCTTCTTTTCTCGCTTTATTTCATTAAGTTGGTCTTCAATCTCTGATATCCTTTCTTCTGCTTGGTCGATTCAGCTGTTGATACTCGTGTATGCTTCAAAAGGTCTCGTTCTGTGTTTCTGAGCTCCATCCGGTCATTTCTGTTCATCTCTAAACTGGTTATTCTAGTTAGCAATTCTTCTAACCATTAGCTTCCTTGCATTGGGTTAGAACATGCTCCTTTAGCTCGGAGGAGTTTGTTATTACCCACCTTCTGATGCCTACTTCTGTCAATTCATCAAACTCATTCTCCATCCAGTTTTGTTCCCTTGCTGGTGAGGAGTTGTGATATTTTGGAGGAGTAGAGGCATTTTGGTTTTTGGAATTGTCAGGCTTTTTGCACTGGTTTCTCCCCATCTTCATGGATTTATCTCTTTTTGGTCTTTGATGTCGGTGACCTTCGGATGGGGTCTCTTAGTGGATATCCTCTTTGTTGATGTTGATGCTATCCCTTTCTGTTTGTTAGTTTTCCTTCTAACAGTCAGGTCCCTCTGATGCAGGTCTGCTGGAGTTTGCTGGAGGTCCACTCCAGACCCTGTTTGCCTGGGTATCACCAGCAGAGGCTGCAGAACAGCAAATATTGCTGCCTGTTCCTTCTTCTGGAAGCTTCATCCCAGAGGGGTGCCTGCCAGATGTCAGCCAGAGCTCTCCTGTATGAGGTGTCTGTTGGCCCCTACTGGGATGCGTCTCCCAGTCAGGATACATGGGGGTCAGGGACCCTCTTGAGGAGGGAGTCTGTCCCTTAGCAGAGCTCACTGTGCTGTGAGATCCGCTGCTCTCTTCAGAGCCATCATGCAGGGACATTTATTTCTGCTGAAGCTATGCCCACAGCCGCCCCTTCCCTGAGGTGCTCTGTCCCAGGAAGATGGGGGTTTTATCTATAAGCCCCTGACTGGGGTTGCTGCCTTTCTTTCAGAGATGCCCTTCCCAGAGAGGAGGAATCTAGAGAGGCAGTCTGGCCACAGTGGCCTTGCTGAGCTGCCATTGGCTCCACCCAGTTTGAACTTCCTCGTGGCTTTGTTTACACTGTGAGAGTAAAACCTCCTACTCATGCCTCAGCAGTGGGAGATGCCCCTCCCCAAACCAAGCTCAAGCATCCCAGGTCAACCTCAGACTACTGTACTGGCAGCGAGAATTTCAAGCCAGTGGATCTTAGCTTGCTGGGCTCCATGGGGGTGGGACCTGCCAAGCCAGACCAGTTGGCTCCCTGGCTTCAGCCCTCTTTCCAGGGGAGTGAATGGTCCTATCTCACTGGTGTTCCATGCGCTACTGGCGTATGGAAAAAAAAAAAAGAAAGAAAAAAGGAAAAAAAAAAAAAAAACACCTGCAGCTAGCTTGGTGTCTGCCGAAATGGCTACCTAGTTTTGTGTTTGAAACCCAGGGCCCTGGTGGCATAGGCTCCAGAGGGAATCTCCAGGTCTGCAGGTTGTGAAGACTGTGGGAAAAGCACAGTATCTGGGCCAGAGTGCACCATTCCTCAAGGCACAGTCCTCCATGGCTTCGCTTGGGTAGGGGAGAGAATTCCCTGACCAATTTTGCTTCCTGGGTGAGGTGACGCCTCACCCTGCTTCAGCTTGCCCTCCATGGGCTGCACCCACTGTCCAACCAGTCCCAGTGAGAGGGACCGGGTACCTCAGTTGGAAATGCAGAAATCACCCTTCTTCTGCATCAATCTCATTGGGAGCTGCAGACTGGAGCTGCTCCTATTTGGCCATCTTGCAAGCAAATCCCTCAGATTTTTTTTTAAGGGATCATAAAAGGGTTGAGTTCTTGATTTGATTCTCAGCTTAGTTGCTGTTGGTGTATATAAGAGCTACTGATTTGTGTACATTAATCTTGTATCCAGAAACTTTACTGAATTCTTTTATCAGTTCTAGGAGCTTTCTGGAGAAACTTTAGGGTTTTCTAGGTAAACAATCATATCATCAACAGTGACAGTTTAACTTTCTCTTTATCGATTTGGATGCCCTTTATTTCTTTCTCTTGCCTGATTGCTCTGGCTAGGACTTTTAGTACTATGTTGAAGAGGAGCAGTGAGAGTGGGCATTGTTGTCTTGTTCCAGTTCTCAGAGAGAATGTTTTCAACTTTTCCCCATTCAATATTATGTTGGCTGTGGGTTTGTCATAGATGGCTTTTATTACTTTGAGGTACGTCCCCTTTATGCCAGTTTTCGTGAAAGTTTCAATCATAAAGGGAGGCTGGATTTTGTTGAATGCTTTTTCTGCATCTATTGAGATGATCATGTGATTTTTGTTTTTGATTCTGTTTATGTGGTATATCACATTTATCTACTTGCATATGTTAAACCATCCCTATGTCCCTGGTGTGAAACCCACTTGATCATGATGGATGATCTTTTTGATATGTTTTTGGATTTGGTTAGTTAGTATTTTGTTAAGGATTTTAGCATCTATGTACATCAGGGATACTGTCTGTACTTTTCTTTTTTGGTTATGTTTTTTCCTGGCTTGGGCATTAGAGTGATACTGGCTTCATAGAATTATATAGGGAGGGTTCCCTCTTTCTCTATCTTGTGGAATAGTGTCAGTAGGATTGGTCGCAATTCTTTTCTGAATGTCTGGTAGAATTCTGCCATTAATCCTTCTTGTCCTGGACTTTTTTTTGTTGGTAACTGTTAAATTACCATTTCAATCTCACTGCTTGTTATTGTTCTGTTCAGGGTATCTAATTCTTCCTGATTCAAGCTGGGATGGTTATTTCTTTCCAGGAACTTATCCATCTCTTCTAGGTTTTCTAGTTTTTGCAAATACAAGTGTTCATAGTAGCCTTGAATGATCTTTTATATTTCTGTGGTGTCAGTTGTAATATCTCCCATTTCATTTGTTAGTGAGTTTATTTGGATTTTCTCTTTTTTTTTCTTGGCTAATCTTGCTAACGACCTATCGATTTTATTTATCTTGTCAAAGAACCAGCTTTTTGTTTCATTTATCTTTTGTATTTTTTGTTGTTGTTGTTTCAATTTCATTTAGATCTGCTCTGATCTTGGTTATTTCCTTTCTTCTGCTGGGTTTGGGTTTGGTTGGTTCTTGTTTCTCTAGTTCCTTGAGGTGTGATCTTAGATTGTCTGTTTGTGCTCTTTTAGTCTTTCTGATGTAGGTGTTTATGGCTATGAACTTTCCTCTTAGCACCAGCTTTGCTGTACCTAGAGGATTTGATATGTTTTGTCACTATTGTCATTCAGTTTGAAGAATTTTTTAATTTCCATCTTGATTTCATTTTTGACCCAATGATCATTCAGGAGCAGATTATTTAATTTTCATGTATTTGCATAGTTTTGAAGGTTACTTTTGGAGTTGATATCCAGTTTTATTCCACTGTGGTCTGAGAGAGTGCTTGATATAACTTCCATTTTCTTAAATGTATTGAGGCACCTTTTGTGGCTTATCATATGGTCTATCTTGGAGAAAGTTCCACGCACTGTTGAATATAATGTATTTTCTGTGGTTGTTGGATGGAATGTTATGAATATATCTGTTAAGTCAATTTGCTCCAGAGTACAGTTTAAATCCATTGTTTATTTGTTGACTTTCTGTCTTGATGACCTTTCTAGTGCTGTCAGTGGAGTATTGAAGTCCCCCACTATTATTGTGTTTGCTGTCTAACTCATTTCTTAGGTCTATTAGTAATTTTTTTATAAATTTAAGAGCTCCAGTGTTAAGTGCATATATGTTTAGGATTGTGATACTTTCCTATTGGACAAGGCCTTTTACCATTATATAATTTCCCTCTTTGTCTTTATTAACTGCTGTTGCTTTCAAGTTTGTTTTGTCTGATATAAGAATAGCTACTTCAGCTCGCTTTTGGTGTCCATTTGCATGAAATGTCTCTTTCCATCCCTTTACCTTCATTTTATGTGAGTCCTTGTGTGTTAGGTGAGTCTCTTGAAAACAGCAGGTAGTTGGTTGGTGAGTTCTTATCCATTCTGCGGTTCTGTATCTTCTAAGTGGAGCATTTAGGTCACTCCAATTCAATGTTAGTATTGAGATGTGGGGTAGCATTCCTTTAATTGTGCTATCTGTTGCCTATATATTTTTGATTTTGTTTAATTGTATTTTTCTTTTATAGGACATGTGAGATTTATGCTTTAAAGAGGTTCTGTGTTGATGTGTTTCCAGGATTTGTTTCAAGATTTGGAGCTCCTTTTAGCAGTTCTTGTAGCGGTGGCTTGGTAGTGGTGAATTCTCTCAGCATTTATTTGTCTGAAAAAGACTGTATCTTTTTTTCATATATAAAGCTTAGTTTCACTGCATACAAAATTCTTCGCTGATGATAATTTTTTTGTTTGAGGAGGCTTAAGATAGGGTTCCAATCCCTTCCAGCTTGTAGGGTTTCTTTTGAGAAATCTGCTGTTAGTCTGATAGGTTTTCCTTTATAGGTTACTTGGCGCTTTTGTCTCACAGCTCTTAAGATTCTTTCCTGGCCGGGCGCGGTGGCTCACGCCTGTAATCCCAGCACTTTGGGAGGCCGAGGCGGGTGGATCATGAGGTCAGGAGATCGAGACCATCCTGGCTAACAAGGTGAAACCCCGTCTCTACTACAAATACAAAAAATTAGCCGGGTGCGGTGGCGGGCGCCTGTAGTCCCAGCTACTCGGGAGGCTGAGGCAGGAGAATGGCGTGAACCCGGGAAGCGGAGCTTGCAGTGTGCCGAGATTGCGCCACTGCAGTCCGCAGTCTGGCCTGGGCGACAGAGCGAGACTCCGTCTCAAAAAAAAAAAAAAAAAAAAAAAAAGATTCTTTCCTTCGTCTTAACTTTATATAACCTGATGAAAATGTGCCTAGGCAATGATCTTTTTGAGGCGAATTTCCCAGATGTTCTTTGTGCTTCTTGTATTTGGATGTCTAAGTCTCTAGCAAGGCTGGGGAAGTTTTCCTCAATTATTCCCCCAAATATGTTTTCCAAACTTTTAGATTTTTCTTCTTCTTCAAGAATGCCAATTACTCTTAGGTTTGGTTGTTTGACATAATGCCGGACTTCTTGGAGGCTTTGTTTATGTTTTCTTAAATTTTTTTGTCTTTGTTGCATTGGATTAATTCAAAGACATTATCTTCGAGCTCTGACTTTCTTTCTTCTACTTCTTTGATTCTATTGCTGAGACTTTCCAAATCATTTTTGCATTTCTATAAGTGTGTTCATTGTTTCCTGAAGTTTTGATTGTTTTTTATTTATGCTATTTCATTGACTATTTCTCCCTTCACTTCTTATATCATTTTTTAAATTTCCTTCCATGAGCTTCATCTTTCTCTGGTGCATTCCTGATTAGGTTAATAACTAACCTCCTGAAATCTTTTTCAGACAAATCAGGGATTTCTTCTTGGTTTGGATCCATTGCTATTGAGCCTCCCAGGTGACAAAGCAAGTATGGCTTTCCTTTTTCCCCTACTTGTGGAGTCCACACACCAGATTCACAGCCTCCCCCGAGTTTTGGCTAGGAGACTTCTCAATGAGTTCAAGTTGTTACAAAGTTCAGCTGGAGATTTCTTGCTCCCAAAGGCCTTTTCCCTGTGCCTCTGGAACCCTTCTGAAAGACCCCTGTGAGGCCAGGCAGAGATGGGTTGCTAGTTTACCCAGGGAGCTCACAGGGCATTCTCTGCTGCTTCCTCTACCCCTGTATTTTGCTCAGCTCTCTAAATTGACTCAGCTCCAGGTAAGGTCAGAATCTTCCATAACCTAGACCTTCAGTTTCCCCAGTGGGGGTTTGTGTTTGGGGATGAATAATCTCCCTTTTCTATTTTCACACTTTTGGCACTCAAAGTATTTGCATTGTCTCTCAGGTCCTGCAGGGGCAATCTGCTTCCTTCAGAGGGTCTGTGGGTCCTCTTAGGTTACCTGATTTATTCCTGTAGTGGTCCTCTAGAAAAATTTACGATCTGAGGCTCCACGCACTGCTCTGTCCATCGGAGTCAGCACTGCAATCTACTCCTGCCTCCCATCTGCCATGATCCTCTAAAGAGACTTCGGTTTTTCTGTTTTTAGTTCTTTTAGAAATCACCACACTGTCTTCCACAATGGCTGAACTACTTTACACTTCCACTTACAGTGTATAAGCATTCAATTTCTTCCACAACCTTGCCAGCATCTGTTATTTTTTGACTTTTTATTAATAGCCATTCTTACTTGTTGGAGATGCTATCTCATTGTGGTTTTCATTTGCATTTCTCAAATGACCAGTGATGTTGAATATTTTTTCATATAATTTTAGGTTGCACATATGTACTCTTTTGAAAAGTGTCTGTTCATGTCCTCTGCCCACTTCTTAATTGGGTTGTTTGTTTTTATTCTTTTTTTAAATTTTATTATTATTATACTTTAAGTATTAGGGTACATGTGCACAACGTGCAGGTTTGTTAATATGTATACATGTGCCATGTTGGTGTGCTGCACCCATTAACTCATCATTTAGCATTAGGTATATCTCCTAATGCTATCCCTCCCCCCTCCTCCAACCCCACAACAGTCCCCACAGTGTAATGTTCCCCTACCTGTGTCCATGTGTTCTCATTGTTCAATTCTCACCTATGAGTGACAACATGTGGTGTTTCGTTTTTTGTCCTTGTGATAGTTTGCTGAGAATGATGGCTTCCCGCTTCATCCATCTCCCTAAAAAGGACATGAACTCATCATTTTTTATGGCTGCATAGTATTCCATGGTGTATATGTGCCACATTTTCTTAATCTAGTCTATCATTGTTGGACATTTGGGTTGGTTCCAAGTCTTTGCTATTGTGAATAGTGCCACAATAAACATATGTGTGCATGTGTCTTTATAGCAGCATGATTTATAATCCTTTGGGTATATACCCAGTAATGGGAGAGCTGGGTCAGATGGTATTTCTAGTTCTAGATCCTAGTGGAATCGCCACACTGACTTCCACAATGGTTAAACTAGTTTACAGTCCCACCAACAGTGTAAAAGTGTTTCTATTTCTCCACATCCTCTCCAGCACCTGTTCTTTCTTGACTTTTTAATGATCGCCATTCTAACTGGTGTGAGATGGTATCTCATTGTGGTTTTGATTTGCATTTCTCCAATGGCCAGTGTTGATGAGCATTTTTTCATGTGTTTTTTGGCTGCATAAATGTCTTCTTTTGAGAAGTGTCTGTTCATGTCCTTCCCTCACTTTTTGATGGGGTTGTTTGTTTTTTTCTTGTAAATTTGTTTGAGTTAATTTTTGTCAGATGAGTAGGTTGCAAAAATTTTCTCCCATTCTGTAGGTTACCTGTTCACTCTGATGGTAGTTTCTTTTGTTGTGCAGAAGCTCTTTAGTTGAATTAGATCCCATTTGTCAATTTTGGCTTTTGTTGCCATTGCTTTTGGTGTTATAGACATGAAGTCCTTACACATGCCTATGTCCTGAATGGTACTGCCTAGGTTTTCTTCTAGCATTTTTATGGTTTTAGGTCTAACATGTAAGTCTTTAATACATCTTGAATTAATTTTTGTATAAGGTGTAAGGAAGGGATGCAGTTTCAGCTTTCTACATCTGGATAGCCAGTTTTCCCAGCACCATTTATTAAATAGGGAATCCTTTCCCCATTGCTTGTTTTTGTCAGGTTTGTCAAAGATCAGATAGTTGTAGATATGCGGCATTATTTCTGAGGGCTCTGTTCTGTTCCATTGGTCTATATCTCTGTTTTGGTACCAGTACCATGCTGTTTTGGTTACTGTAGCCTTGTAGTATAGTTTGAAGTCAGGTAGTGTGATGCCTCCAGCTTGGTTCTTTTGGCTTAGGATTGACTTGGTGATGCAGGCTCTTTTTTGGTTCTATATGAAATTTAAAGTAGATTTTCCAATTCTGTGAAGAAAGTCATTGGTAGCTTAATGGGGATGGCATTGAATCTATAAATTACCTTGGGCAGTATGGCCATTTTCACGACATTCATTCTTCCTACCCATGAGCATGGAATGTTCTTCCATTTGTTTGTATCCTCTTTTATTTCATTGAGCAGTGGTTTGTAGTTATCCTTGAAGAGGTCCTTCACGTCCCTTGTAAGTTGGATTCCTAGGTATTTTATTCTCTTTGAAGCAATTGTGAATGGGAGTTCACTCATGATTTGGGTCTCTGTTTGTCTGTTATTGGTGTATAAGAATGCTTGTGATTTTTGCACATTGATTTTGTGTCCTGAGACTTTGCTGAAGTTGCTTATCAGCTTAAGGAGATTTTGGGCTGAGACGATCGGGTTTTCTAGATATACAATCATGTCATCTGCAAACAGGGACAATTTGACTTCCTCTTTTCCAAATTGAATACCCTTTATTTCCTTCTCCTGCCTGATTGCCCTGGCCAGAACTTCCAACACTATGTTGAATGGGAGTAGTGAGAGAGGGCATCCCTGACTTGTACCAGTTTTCAAAGGGAATGCTTCCAGTTTTTGTCCATTTAGTATGATATTGGCTGTGGGTTTGTCATAGATAGCTCTTATTATTTTGAGATACATCCCATCAATACCTAATTTATTGAGAGTTTTTAGCATGAATGGCTGTTGAATTTTGTCAAAAGCCTTTTCTGCATCTATTGAGATAATCATGTCATTTTTGTCTTTGGTTCCGTTTATATGCTGGATTACGTTTATTGATTTGCATATGTTGAACTAGTCTTGCATCCCAGGGATGAAGCCCACTTGATCATGGTGGATAAGCTTTTTGATGTGCTGCTGGATTTGGTTTTCCAGGATTTTATTGAGGATTTTTGCATCAATGTTCATTAAGGATATTAGTCTAAAATTCTCTTTTTTTGTTGTGTCTCTGCCAGGCTTTGGTATCAGGATGATGCTGGCCTCATAAAATGAGTTAGGGAGGATTCCCTCTTTTTCTATTGATTGGAATAGTTTCAGAAGGAATGGTACCAGCTCCTCCTTGTACCTCTGGTAGAATTCGGCTGTGAATCCATCTGGTCCTGGACTTGTTTTGGTTGGTAAGCTATTAATTATTGCCTCAATTTCAGAGCCTGTTATTGGTCTATTCAGGGATTGAACTTCTTCCTGGTTTAGTCTTGGGAGGGTGTATGTGTCGAGGAATTTATCCATTTCTTCTAGATTTTCTAGTTTATTTGCATAGAGGTGTTTATAGTATTCTTTCATGGTAGTTTGTATTTCTGTGGGATCGGTGGTGATATCCCCTTTATTACTTTTTATTGCATCTAATTGATTCTTCTCTCTTTTCTTCTTTATTAGTCTTGCTAGTGGTCTATCAATTTTGTTGATCTTTTCAAAAAACCAGCTCCTGAATTCATTAATTTTTTGAAGGGTTTTTTTTGTCTCTATTTCCTTCAGTTCTGCTCTGATCTTAGTTATTTCTTGCCTTCTGCTAGCTTTTGAATGTGTTTGCTCTTGCTTCTCTAGTTCTCTTAATTGTGATGTTAGGGTGTCAATTTTAGATCTTTCCTGCTTTCTGTTGTGAGCATTTAGTGCTATAAATTTCCCTCTACACACTGCTTTGAATGTGTCCCAGAGATTCTGGTATGTTGTGTCTTTGTTCTCTTTGCTTTCAAAGAACATCTTTATTTCTGCCTTTGTTTCGTTATGTACCCAGTAGTCATTCAGGAGGAGGTTGTTCAGTTTCCATGTAGTTGAGCAGTTTTGAGTGAGTTTGTTAATCCTGAGTTCCAGTTTGATTGCACTGTGGTCTGAGAGACAGTTTGTTATAATTTCTGTTCTTTTACATTTGCTGAGGAGTGCTTTACTTCCAACTATGTGGTCAATTTTGGAATAGGTGTGGTGTGGTGCTGAGAAGAATGTATATTCTGTTGATTTAGGGTGAAGAGTTCTGTAGGTGTCTATTAGGTCCGCTTGGTGCAGAGCTGAGTTCAATTCCTGGAGACCCTTGTTAACTTTCTGTCTCACAGATCTGTCTAATGTTGACAGTGGGGTGTTAGAGTCTCCCATTATTATTGTGTGGGAGTCTAAGTCTCTTTGTAGGTCACTAAGGACTTGCTTTATGAATCTGGGTGCTCCTGTATTGGGTGCATATATATTTAGGATTGTCAGCTCTTCTTGTTGAATTGATCATTTTACCATTATGTAATGGCCTTCTTTGTCTCTTTTGATCTTTGTTGGTTTAAAATCTGTTTTATCAGAGACTAGGATTGCAACCACTGACTTTTTTTTGTTTTCCATTTGCTTGGTAGATCTTCCTCCATCCCTTTATTTTGAGCCTATGTGTTTCTCTGCACGTGAGATGGGTTTCCTGAATACAGCACACCGATGGGTCTTGACTCTTTATCCAATTTGCCAGTCTGTACATTTTAATTGGAGCATTTAGCCCATTTACATTTAAGGTTAATATTGTTATGTGTGAATTTGATCCTGTCATTATGATGTTAGCTGGTTATTTTGCTCGTTAGTTGATGCAGCTCTTCCTAGACTTGACGGTCTTTACCATTTGGCATGTTTTTGCAGTGGCTGGTACTGGTTGTTCCTCTCCGTGTTTAACACTTCCTTTAGGAGCTCTTTTAGGGCAGGCCTGGTGGTGACAAAATCTCTCGGCATTTGCTTGTCTGTAAAGTATTTTATTTCTCCTTCACTTATGAAGCTTAGTTTGGCTGGATATGAAATTCTGGGTTGAAAATTCTTTTCTTTAAGAATGTTGAATATTAGCCCCCACTCTCTTCTGGCTTGTAGAATTTCTGCCGAGAGATCAGCTGGTAGTCTGATGGGCTTCCCTTTGTGGATAACCCGACCTTTCTCTCTGGCTGCCCTTAACATTTTTTCATTCATTTCAACTTTGGTGAATCTCACAATTGTGTGTCTTGGAGTTGCTCTTCTCAAGGAATTTCTTTGTGGTGTTCCCTGTATTTCCTGAATTTGAATGTTGGCCTGCTTTGCTAGATTGGGGAAGTTCTCCTGGAGAATATCCTGCAGAGTGTTTTCCAACTTGGTTCCATTCTCCCCGTCACTTTCAGGTACACCAATCAGACGTAGATTTGGTCTTTTCACATAGTCCCATATTTCTTGGAGGCTTTGTTCATTTCTTTTTAGTCTTTTTTCTCTAAACTTCTCTTCACACTTCATTTCATTCATTTTGTCTTCCATCGCTGATACCCTTTCTTCCCGTTGATTGCATCAGCTACTGAGAGTTGTGCATTTGTCACGTATTTCTCATGCCATGGTTTTCAGCTGCATCAGGTCATTTAAGGACTTCTTTACACTGGTTATTCTAGTTAGCCATTCGTCTAATTTTTTTTCAAGGTTTTTATCTTCTTTGCCATTGGTTTGAACTTCCTCCTTTAGCTCGGAGTAGTTTGATCATCTGAAGCCTTCTTCTCTCGTCAAAGTCATTCTCTGTTCAGCTTTGTTCTGTTGCTGGTGAGGAGCTGCGTTCCTTTGGAGGAGGAGAGGTGTTCTGATTTTTAGAGTTTCCAGTTTTTCTGCGCTGTTTTTCCCACATCTTTATGGTTTTATCTACCTTTGGTCTTTGAAGATGGTGACATACAGTTGGGTTTTTGGTGTGGATGTCCTTTCTGTTTGTTAGTTTTGCTTCTAACCGTCAGGACCCTCAGCTGCAGAGTTTACTGGAGGTCCACTCCAAACCCTGTTTGCCTGGGCATCAGCAACAATGGCTGCAGAACAGCGGATATTGGTGAACCACAAATGCTGCTGCCTGATCGTTCCTCTGGAAGTTTTGTCTCAGAGGAGTACCCGGCCCTGTGAGGTGTCAGTCTGCCCATACTGAGGGGTGCCTCCTAGTTAGGCTACTCGGGGGTCAGAGACCCACTTGAGGAGGTAGTCTGCCCATTCTCAGATCTCAAGCTGCGTGCTGTGAGAACCACTACTCTCTTCAAAGCTGTCAGACAGGGACATTTAAGTCTGCAGAGTTTACTGCTGCCTTTTGTTTGTGCCCTGCCCCCAGAGGTGGAGCCTATAGAGGCAGGCAGGCCTCCTTGAGCTATGGTGGGCTCCACCCAGTTCGAGCTTGGCGGCTTTGTTTACCTAGTCAAGCCTCGGCAATATCTGGTGCCCCTCCCCCAGCCTCACTGCCGCTTTGCAGTTTGATCTCAGACTGCTGTGCTAGCAATGAGCAAGGCTCTGTGGGCATAGGACCCTCTGAACCAGGTGCGGGATATAGTGTCTTGGTGTGCCGTTTGTTAAACCCATTGGAAAAGGACATTATTAGAGTGGGAGTGACCCGATATTCCAGGTGCCATCTGTCACCCCTTTTTTTTGACTAGGAAAGGGAATTCCCTTACCCCTTGCGCTTCCCGGATGAGGCAATGCTTCACCGTGCTTCAGCCCACACACGGTGTGCTGCTTCCACTGTCCTGCACCCACTCTCTGGCACTCCCCAGTGAGATGAACCCGGAACCTCAGTTGGAAATGCAGAAATCACCCATCTTCTGTGTCACTCATGCTGGGAGCTCTGTTTTTTTTCTTAAGCCACCCAGCCATTCTGATTTTTAAAAATCATACACTTTGACGAAGAGTGACTTACAGTCTCCCTTTTAAAAGAGGGATAACTTGAAAATTAGAGACCAACTAATTATGCTAAAAAATTGAGTGACATTTGACAAGTTTCTTCCTCTCTCTGTATTTCACTTTCCCTGTCTATAAAGTGACATGCTTATTCTCAATCAAGGTGATTATTTTAAAAATAAATAAGACATTTATGCAGCCAACAGACACATGAAAAAATGCTCATCATCACTGATCATCAGAGAAATGCAAATGAAAACCACAATGAGATACCATCTCACACCAGTTAGAATGCCGATCATTAAAAAGTCAGGAAACAACAGGTACTGGAGAGGATGTGGAGAAATAGGAACACTTTTACTGTTGGTGGGACTGTAAACTGGTTCAACCATTGTGGAAGACAGTGTGGCGATTCTTCAAGGATCTAGAACTAGAAATACCATTTGACCCAGCCATCCCATTACTGGGTATATACCCAAAGGATTATAAATCATGCTGCTATAAAGACACATGCACACATATGTTTATTGCAGCACTATTCACAATAGCAAAGACTTGGAACCAACCGAAATGTCCATCAATGATAGACTGGATTAAGAAAATGTGGCACATATACACCATGGAATACTATGCAGCCACAAAAAAGGATGAGTTCATGTCCTTTGTAGGGACATGGATGAAGCTGGAAATCATCATTCTCAGCAAACTATCACAAGGACAAAAAACCAAACACTGCATGTTCTCTCTCATAGGTGGGAATTGAACAATGAGAACACATGGACACAGGAAGGGGAACATCACACACCGAGGCCTGTCGTGGGGTGGGGGGAGGGGGGAGGGATAGCTTTAGGAGATATACCTAATGTAAATGACGAGTTAATGGGTGCAGCACACCAACATGGCACATGTATACATATGTAACAAACCTGCACATTGTGGACATGTACCCTAGAACTTAAAGTATAATAACATAAAATAAAATAAAAGATCAAAAACAATTAATTTAAAATATAAAATGAGATTCATTTAGTATTTGAAACTTAAATTTTCTTCCAATGTTGACATTCTCTATTTTGTCTTCTGAAAAGTCAATTCGTTTTTATATATTAAGTTTAAATTATATTTATTTGTTTTTAACTATTATTTTGGTTCAAGGGTACATGTGCAGGTTTGTTATTCAGGTAATTTCCGTGTCACATGGGTTGATATACAGATTATTTCATCACCCAGATGATAAGCATAGTACCTGATAGGTAGTTTTTTTATCCTCACCCTCCTCCCTTTCTCCACCCACAAGTAGGCCCCCATGTCTATTGTTTTCCTCTTCGTGTCTATATGTACTCAGTGTTTAGCTCCCACTTATAAGTGAGAACATGTGGTATTTGGGTTTTTGTTCCTGTATTAGTTTGCTAAGGATAATGGCATCCAGCTCCATCTCTGTTGCTGCAAAGCACATGATGTCATTCTTTTTTATGGCTGCACAGTATTCCATAGTGTGTATGTACCACATTTTCTTTATCCAGTCTACTGTTGATGGACATTTAGGTTGATTCCATGTCTTTTCTATTGTGAATAGTGCTGCAGTGAACATAAATTTGCATGTTTCTTTATGGTAGAATGTTTTATATTTCTTTGGGTATATACCCAGTAATGGGATTTCTGGGTCAAATGGTAATTGTTCTTTGACTTATTCGAGAACTCACCAAACTGCTTTCCACAATGGCTGAACTAATTTACATTTCCACCCGCAGTGTGTTCTCTTTTCTCCTCAACCTCTCCAGCATCTATCTGTTTTCCTTTTCTTTTTTTTTTTTTTTTACTTTTTAGTAATAGCCATTCTGACTAGTGTGACATGGTATCCCATTATGGTTTTGATTTGCATTTCTCTAATGATTAGTGATGTTGAGAATTTTTTATATGCTTGTTGGCCACATGTATGTCTTCCTTTGAAAAGTGTCTGTTGATGTCCTTTGCCCACATTTTAATGGGGTTGTTTGCTTTTTGCTTGTTGATTTGTTCAGTTTTTTTTAATAGATTCTGGATATTAGACTTTTGTTGGATGTATAGTTTGCAAATGCTTTCTCCCATTCTGTGGTTGTCTGTTTACTCTCTTGATAGTTTCTTTTGCTGTGCAGAAGATCTTCAGTTTAATTAGATCCCATTTGTCAATTTTTGTGTTTATTGAAATTGCTTTTGGTGTCTTCATCATGAAATATTTGCCAGGTCCTATGTCCAGAATGGTATTTCCTCATTATCTTTCAGGGTTTTTTTTATGGTTGTAGGTTTTACGTTTAAGTCTTTAATCCTTTTTTAGTTGATTTTTGTATATGGCATAAGGAAGGGGCCCAGTTTTAATCTTCCGCATATTACTAGCCAGGTATCTTTGAACCATTTATTGAAGAGGGAGTCTTTTCTCTGTTGCTTGTTGTGGTCAACTTTGTCAAAAATCAGATGATTATAGGTGTGTGGCATTATTTCTGGGCTCTCTATTCTGTTCCATTGGTATATTCTGTTCCACTGGTGATACTTTTTGTATCAGTATCATGCTATTTTGGTTACTGTAGCCTTTTAGTATAGTTTGAAGTCAGGTAATGTGATGCCTTTTTTCTTTTTGCTTAAGATTGCCTTGGGTACTCTGGCTCTTTTTCAGTTCCATATGAAACTTAAAATAGTTTCTTCTATTTCTGTAAAGAATGTCATTGGTAGTTTGATAGGAATAGCATTGAATCTGTACATTGCTTTGGGCAGTATGCCAAAAAGCCAATTCTTAAAATTATTTTTCCATACAGGAATCTTACCAACACATTCAGAGATTCAAAGAAGTATGAGTAACAGGTAAAAGGAATATCCCAGTTTTTGGTGGGATTTGAGCCTTGGTCTGGCTCTCTGTTTTCCATTGTTTTGTTTGTTTGTTGTTTTGGTATTGGTATCAGTGGTATTTTTCTCCCTTTATTTTTCTGCTTTTTGTCTGATTTTCCAGGTCAGTACACTGTTAGCTATAATTACAAAGTAGAGAGTTTAAATTGGATTGGATGATAAGAATTGCAACCTAGAATTGTAATATCACTCACTTTTGAAAACCTGTGCATCTTTTCACCTGGCACATAATGCAAATTAAAGGGTCTCTCATTTGAAAAGTGGCATCAACTAACTTGAAATGGGCAGGAACAATTGAATGGCTACTTTGCCAATGAGTACTCTAAGGAAAAACATTGAAACAAAGTATAGTATTATTAGCAGTAATCGAAATGCAGTAATGAATTTTAAATGTTATTGTAGGGCATTCCGGGATGAAAACTGCACTATAGTTTTGTTCAGTGTCTCATTAGGCAAGTAGCCTTATTCTCAATGCCACAGAATATGAATTAGAATAGTACAATTGCCTTTGTGCCTTGTGTTTTCACTTTCATAGAAAACATTTATGCATACATTTACCTATATTAGCTAATAAGCATTTGGTCTATTCATCCAGCCAGTTTAATTATTTAAGACTCTATTAAAGCAAAATTCACTAATGACTAATCATAACACCTTAAATTTGGTGTTTTATAATTTACAAAAAAAGTTTCATCTACGTTCTCTTAATTCTCCAAAAAACTTGAGGATTGCCAATCCTCATTTACAGAAAATATTTGTGTAATTCTCTTTCCTTAAGTGACTTGTACATGGTTAAACATCCAAATGGAACAGATCCAAGACAGGAACCCTAGTCTTTTGACTCTAAATCCAGTTTTCTTTATACACTCCCATAGATTCATGAAATAATTTAGTTAAAAAATACTGGTCAAGCCCTTACTATTTGCCAGGCATGTTGCTAGATGCTAGAACAGACACAGGAAAAAATGAGAGAAGATCTTGAACTTCTCCATGGTTACAGAGGTCATGGATAGCATGTTTTTTAAAAAATGAAAGGATAATGTTAGGCAGCATGGAAACCTTCACCAAAGATACTAACAGCAGAATTGACAAATTTGAGTTTAACTCTCTTGCTTCCCACATTTTGATGAAGGCACAAAACCAAATAAAGAAAAAAAAATGAGAAATTTCTCCTGAAATAATTAAGATGACTATAAACTTCATTTTAGGTTTTAAGCTGTAAATTTGAGATGATCCCTAAAAATCATTGAAAACAGCAAACCATTTGCATGTACTAATAGGAATCACTCTCATTTATCTATACAGTGCCTTTACAAAACACTTTTATATAGGTTATCTCATTTGACATTGTGGAGTAATTAGGCCCACAATTATTATTCCTGTTTTACAGGTAAGAAAAATTGACTTGGTGCCTAATTTGAAGTCACATCATAAGGAGTAGAGTTGGGAGAAGACAAAAGAGAATTAATATTAAACCCTATTTTCTATGCAATATGTTTTATCTCACTTAAACCTTCCAACAACCCTAGGAGGTAGGACCTATTGTTATCTCGATTTTACAGATAAGAAAACAGATCTATTGATTTTTAAGTAACTTGATAATGGCATACAAGCAGTAAGTGCAGGAGCAGACAATGGAAACTAAGTTTGATCACGTCGATATGGCTTTCTAGAACCCAGGTCCTCAAATTAGTCCAGGTTACATTATTCTACTGTATATCACACTTTATGTTTGTACTAGATAGTATTTCACATGAAATACTAGATTTAGCCTATGAACCAAAAATTGCACTGTATAGCTGGGAAAGGGAAGTCTGATATGATTTTCTATTAATACTTAGTCCTCTGATGAACAATTTGGCAGTATCTTTTTGCACTAAGCTCCCAGAATCCCTTAATTGAAGTTGACTTTGGTGATGCTCAAGCCACTGCACTGTAATTTTAAATTTCTTATGAACAAAAATCTATTAACTAAAAGGATAGCCAATGTTCTGAACAAATACTGTTGATTCACATTTATTCCAAATGATTATTTGTATCACCTTGCATATGTCTATCTTACCTTATTTCTTAGATCTCAAAATGTCTACTGGGTATATTTTCTTTTATGTTGTTGTTGTGCTTTTTATTATTATTATTTCATTCCTTTTTGGGAAACAGGTAGTGTTTGGTTACATGGATAAATTCTTTAGGTATGATTTCTGAGATTTTGGTGCATCCATCACCCAAGCAGTGCACACTGTACCCAGTGTGTAGTCTTAAATCCCTCAGCCCCTTCCCACCCTTCCTCTCAAGTCCCCAGAGTCCATTGTATCATTCTTATGCCTTTGTATCCTCATAGTGTAGTTCCCAATTATAAGTGAGAATATATGATGTTTGGATTTCCATTCCTGAGTTACTTCACTTAGAATAATGGTCTCCAACTCCATCTAGGTTGCTGTGAATGCCATTGATTCATTCCGTTACATGGCTAGGAACAATTCCATGATATATATGCACGTTTTCTTTATCCACTCGTTGGTTGATGGGCATTTATTCTGGTTTCACATTTTTGCAATTGTAAATTGTGCTGCTATAAACATGCCTGTGTAAGTGTCTTTTTTATATAATGACTTCTTTTTCTCTGGGTAGATACCCAATAGTGAGATTACTGGATCAAATGGGAGATCTACTTTTAGTTCTTTAGGGAATCTCCATACTGTTTTCCATAGTGGTTATACTAGTTTACATTCCCAACAGCAGTGTAAAAGTGTTCCCTTTTCACCACATCCATGCCAACATGTATTATTTATTTATTTTAATTATGGCCATTCTTCCAGGAGTAAGGTGGTATTGCATTGTGGTTTAGATTTGCATTTCCCTGATCATTAGTGATGTTGAGCATTTTTTTTCCTGTTTGCTAGACATTTGTATATCTTCTTTTGGGAATTGTCTAGTCATGTTCTTAGCCCACTTTTTGATGGAGTTGTTCATTTTATTCTTGCTGATTTGTTTGAGCTCCTTGGAGATTCTGGATATTAGTCCTTTGTTGGATGCATAGCTTGTGAAGATTTTCTCCCACTCTGTGGGTTGTCTGTTAACTCTGCTGATTTTTTTTTTTTCTGTGCAGAAGCTTTTTACTTTAATTAAGTTCCATCTATCTTTATTTTTGTTCCATTTGCTTTTGGGTTCTTGGTCATAAATTTTTTGCCTAGGCCAATGTTTAGAAGAGTTTTTCTGATGTTATCTTCTAGAATTTTTTGGTGTCAGGTCTTAGATTTAAGTTTTTGATCTATCTTGAGTTGATTTTTGTATTAGGTGAGAGATGAAAATTCAGTTTCATTCTTCTAGTTTTGGATTGCCAATTATGCCAGCACCATTTGTTGAATAGGGTGTCCTTTCCCCACTTTAGTTTTTGTTTGCTTTGTTAAATATGAGTTGATGTTAAGTATTTGGCTTTATTTCTGGGTTCCCTATTATGCTGCATTAGTCTATGTGCCTATTTTTAAACAAATACCATGTTGTTTTGGCAACTACAGCCTTGTAGTATACTTTGAAGTCAAGTAATGTGATACCTCCAGATTTGTTCTTTTTGCTTAGTCTTGCTTTGATTATGCGGGCTCTTTCTTTGTTCCATATAAATTTTAGAATTGTTGTTGCTAGCTCTGTGAAGAATGATGGTGGCATTTTGATGGGAATTGCATTGAATTTATAGTTTGCTTTCAGCAGTGTGCTCCCCATCCATGAGCATGGGATGTGTTTCCATTTGTTTGTATCATCAATAATTTCTTTCAGCAGTGTTTTGTAGTTTTTCTTATACAGATATTTTACCTCTTTGGTTAGGTATATTCCTAAGGGCTTTGTTTTTGTTTTTTGCAGCTGTTGTATAAGGGGTTGAGTTCCTGATTTGATTCTCTGCTTGGGCACTGCTGGTGTATAGCAGTGCTACTGATTTGAGTGCATTAATTTTGTATCCTGAAGCATTACTGAATTCAGTTATCGGGTCTCTGAGCTTTTTGGGTGAGTCTTCAGGGTTTTCAGATATATGATCATGTCATCACCAAACAGCAATAGTTTGATTTTCTCATTACCAATGTGGATACCCTTTATTTCTTTCACTTGTCTGATTGCTCTGGCTAGGACTTCTGGTACTATGTTGAATAGAAGTGGTGAAAGTAGGCATCTTTGTCTTGTTTCAGTTCTCAAGGGAAATGCTTTCAACTTTTCCCCCATTTAATATAATGTTGTCTGTGGATTTATCATAGATAACTTCTATTACCTTAAGGTATGTCCCTTTTATGCCAGTTTTGCTGAGAGTTTTAATCATAAAGGGATGCTAAATTTTGTCAAATGATTTTCTGCATCTATCGAGATGGTATGATTTTTGCTTTTACTTATGTTTATGTAGTGTATCTCATTTATTGACTTGCATATGTTAAACCAACTCTGCATCCCTGGTATGAAACCCACTTAATCATGATGTATTATCTTTGTGGTATCGTGTTGAATTCATTTAGCTGGTATTTTGTCAAGGATATTTACATCTATGTTCATCAGGATATTGGTCTGTAGTATTCTTTTTTTGTTATATCCTTTCCTGGTTTTGGTATTAGGGTGATCATGGCTTCATAAAATGATTTAGGGAGGATTCCCTCTTTCTCTATCCTTTGGAATAGTTATAATAGGATTGGTACCAATTCTTCTTTCAAGGCTTGCTAGAATTCAGCTGTGAATGCATCTGCTCCTGGACTTTTTGTTGTTGGCAATTTTTTTTATTACTGTTTCAATCTTGCTACTTATTATTGGTATATTCAAAAGTTATATTTCCTCATAGTTTAGGGGGGTTGTATATTTCAAGGAATGTATCCTTCTCTAGTTTTCTAATTTTCGCACATAAAGTTGTTCACAGCAACCTTGAAAGATCCTTTGTATTTCTGTGCTATGGGATGTAATATCTCCCATTTTATTTCTAATTCAGCTTATTAGGGTCTTCTTCCTTTTTTTCTGGTTAATCTTGCTAATGGTCTATCACTTTTGTTTATCTTTCAAAAGAACCATCTTTTTGTTTCATTTATCTTTTGTATTTTTTTCTTTCAATATTATTTAATTCTGCTCTGATCTTTGTTACTGCTTTTCTTCTGCTGGGTTTGGGTTTGATTTGTTCTTGTTTCTCTAGTTCATTGAAGTGTGAGCTTAGCTGTCTGTTTGTGCTCTTTCAGACTTTTTGATGTAGGCATTTAATACTATGAACTTTTCTTGTAGCACTGCTTTTGCTGTATCCCAGAGGTTTTGACTGTCTGTGTCACTATTATTGTTCAGTTCAAATGATTTTTTAATTTCCATCTTGATTTCGTTGTTGACCAAAGGATCATTCAGAAGATTATTTAATTTTCATGTATTTGTATACTTTTAAGGGTTCCTATTGAAGTTGATTTCTAATTTTATTCCACTGTGGTCTGCAAGAGTACTTGATATAATTTTGATTTTCTTAAATTTCTTGAGTCACTTCTTGTGGCCTATCATATGGTCTATCTTGGAGAATGTTCCATGTGCTGATGAAAAGAATGTATATTCTGCAGTTGTTGGGTAGAATGTTCTGTATATATCTGTTAAGTCCATTTCTTCTTTTAAGTCCATTGTTTCTCTGTTGACTTTCTGTCTTGATGACCTGTCTAGTGCTGTCAGTAGAGTACTGAAGTTTCCCACTATTGCCATTTATTTCATTTCTTAGGTCTGGTAGTAAATATTTTATAAATTTGGAAGCTCCAGTGTTAGGTGCATATGTATTTATGATTGTGATATTTTCCTGTTGGTCTAATTCTTTTGTCATTATATAATGCCCCTCTTTATCTGTTTTAACTGTTGTTGCTTTAATGTCTGTTTTGTCTGATATAAGAATAGCTACTCCTGCTTGCTGTGGGTGTCTATTTGTATGGAATATCTTTTTCTACCTCTTTACCTTAAGTTTATGTGAGTCCTTATGTGATAGGTGAGTCTGTTGAAGACAGCAGGTACTTGGTTGGTGGATTTTTATCCACTCTGCCATTCTGCATCTTTTAAGCAGAGCATTTAGGGCCATTTGCATTCAATGTTAGTATTGAAATGTGAGGTACTGCTCTATTCATCATGCTAGTTGTTACCCAAATACCTTGTTTTTCTTATTGTATTATTGTTTTATAGGTTCTGTGAGATTTATTCTTTAAGGAGTTTCTATTTTGGTGTATTTCAAGGTTTCGTTTCAAGATCTAGGATTCTTTTTAACATTCCTTTTTTTATTATTGTTATACTTTAACTTTTAGGGTACATGTGCACAATGTGCAGGTTAGTTACATATGTATACATGTGCCATGCTAGTGCGCTGCACCCACTAACTCGTCATCTAGCATTAGGTATATCTCCCAATGCTATCCCTCCCCCCTCCCCCCACCCCACAACAGTCCCCAGAGTGTGATGTTCCCCTTCCTGTGTCCATGTGTTCTCATTGTTCAATTCTCACCTATGAGTGAGAACATGCAGTGTTTGGTTTTTTGTTCTTGCGATAGTTTACTGAGAAGGATGATTTCCAATTTCATCCATGTCCCTAAAAAGGACATGAATTCATCATTTTTTATGGCTGCATAGTATTCCATGGTGTATATGTGCCACATTTTCTTAATCCAGTCTATCATTGTTGGACATTTGGGTTGGTTCCAAGTCTTTGCTATTGTGAATAATGCCGCAATAAACATACATGTGCATGTGTTTTATAGCAGCATGATTTATAGTCCTTTGGGTATATACCCAGTAATGGGATGGCTGGGTCAAATGGTATTTCTAGTTCTAGATCCATGAGGAATCCCCACACTGACTTCCACAATGGTTGAACTAGTTTACAGTCCCACCAACAGTGTAAAAGTGTTCCTGTTTCTCCACATCCTCTCCAACACCTGTTGTTTCCTGACTTTTTAATGATTGCCATTCTAACTGGTGTGAGATGGTATCTCATTGTGGTTTTGATTTGCATTTCTCTGATGGCCAGTGATGGTGAGCATTTTTTCATGTGTCTTTTGGCTGCATAAATGTCTTCTTTTGAGAAGTATCTGTTCATGTCCTTTACTCACTGTTTGATGGGTTTGTTTGTTTTTTCCTTGTAAATTTGTTTGAGTTCATTGTAGATTCTGAATATTAGCCCTTTGTCAGATGAGTAGGTTGAGAAAATTTTCTCCCATTTTGTAGGTTGCCTGTTCACGCTGATGGTAGTTTCTTTTGCTGTGCAGAAGCTCTTTAGTTGAATTAGATCCCATTTGTCAACTTTGGCTTTTGTTGCCATTGCTTTTGGTGTTTTAGACATGAAGTCCTTGCCATGCCTATGTCCTGAATGGTAATGCCTAGGTTTTCTTCTAGGGTTTCTATGGTTTTAGGTCAAACGTTTAAGTCTTTAATCCATCTTGAATTGATTTTTGTATAAGGTGTAAGGAAGGGATCCAGTTTCAGCTTTCTACATCTGGCTAGCCAGTTTTCCCAGCACCATTTATTAAATAGGGAATCCTTACCCCATTGCTTGTTTTTCTCAGGTTTGTCAAAGATCAGATAGTTGTAGATATGCAGCATTATTTCAGAGGGCTCGGTTCTGTTCCATTGATCTATATCTTTTTTTTGGTACCAGTATCATACTGTTTTGGTTACTGTAGCCTTGTAGTATAGTTTGAAGTCAGGTAGTGCGATACCTCCAGCTTTGTTCTTTTGGCTCAGGATTGACTTGGCAATGCGGGCTCCTTTTTGGTTCCATATGAACTTTAAAGTAGTTTTTTCCAATTCTGTGAAGAAAGTCATTGGTAGCTTGATGGGGATGGCATTGAATCTGTAAATTACCTTGGGCAGTATGGCCATTTTCACAATATTCATTCTTCCTACCCATGAGCATGGAATGTTCTTCCATTTGTTTGTATCCTCTTTTATTTCCTTGAGCAGTGGTTTGTAGTTATCCTTGAAGAGGTCCTTCACATCCCTTGTAAGTTGGATTCCTCGGTATTTTATTCTCTTTGAAGCAATTGTGAATGGGAGTTCAATCATGATTTGGCTCTCTGTTTCTCTGCTGTTGATGTATAAGAATGCTTGTGATTTTTGTACATTGATTTTGTATCCCGAGACATTGCTGAAGTTGCTTATCAGCTTAAGGAGATTTTGGGCTCAGACAATGGGGTTTACTAGATATACAATCATGTCTTCTGCAAACAGGGACAATTTGACTTCCTCTTTTCCTAATTGAATACCCTTTATTTCCTTCTCCTGCCTCATTGCCCTGGCCAGAACTTCCAACACAATGTTGAATAGGAGTGGTGAGAGAGGGCATCCCTGTCTTGTGGCAGTTTTCAAAGGGAATGCTTCCAGTTTTTGCCCATTCAGTATGATATTGGCTGTGAGTTTGTCATAGATAGCTCTTATTATTTTGAGATACATCCCAGCAATACCTAATTTATTGAGAGTTTTTAGGATGAAGCGTTGTTGAATTTTGTCAAAGGCCTTTTCTGCATCTATTGAGATAATCATGTGGTTTTGGTCTTTGGTTCTGTTTATATGCTGGATTACATTTATTGATTTGCGTATATTGAACCAGCCTTGCATCCCAGAGATGAAGCCCACTTGATCATGGTGGATAAGCTTTTTGATGTGCTGCTGGATTCGGTTTGCCAGTATTTTATTGAGGATTTTTGCATCAATGTTCATCAAGGATATTCAAGGATATTGGTCTAAAATTCTCTTTATTGGTTGTGTCCCTGCCCGGCTTTGGTATCAGTATGATGCTGGCCTCATAAAATGAGTTAGGGAGGATTCCCTCTTTTTCTATTGATTGGAATAGTTTCAGAAGGAATGGTACCAGTTCCTCCTTCTACCTCTGGTAGAATTCGGCTGTGAATCCATCTGGTCCTGGACTCTTTTTGGTTGGTAAGCTATTGATTATTGCCTCAATGTCAGAGCCTGTTATTGCTCTATTCAGGGATTCAACTTCTTCCTGGTTTAGTCTTGGGAGGGTGTATGTGTCCAGGAATTTATCCATTTCTTCTAGATTTTTCTAGTTTATTTGCATAGATGTGTTTATAGTATTCTCTGATGGTAGTCTGTATTTCTGTGGGATTGGTGGTGATATATCCTTTATCATTTTTTTTGCATCTATTTGATTCTTCTCTCTTTTCTTCTGTATTAGTCTTGCTAGCAGTCTATCAATTTTGTTGATCTTTTCAAAAAACCAGCTCCTGGATTCATTGATTTTTTGAAGGGTTTTTTGTGTCTCTATTTCCTTCAGTTCTGCTCTGATCTTAGTTATTTCTTGCCTTCTGCTAGCTTTTGAATGTGTTTGCTCTTGCTTTCCTAGTTCTTTTAATTGTGATGTTAAGGTGTCAGTTTTGGATCTTTCCTGCTTTCTCTTGTGGGCATTTAGTGCTATAAATTTCCCTCTACACACTGCTTTGAATGTGTCCCAGAGATTCTGGTATGTTGTGTCTTTGTTCTCGTTGGTTTCAAAGAACATCTTTATTTCTGCCTTCATTTCGTTATGTACCCAGTAGTCATTCAGGAGCAGGTTGTTCAGTTTCCATGTAGTTGAGTGGTTTTGAGTGAGTTTCTTAATCCTGAGTTCCAGTTTGATTGCAATGTGGTCTGAGAGATAGTTTGTTATAATTTCTGTTCTTTTACATTTGCTGAGGACAGCTTTACTTCCAAGTATGTGGTCAATTTTGGAATAGGTGTGGTGTGGTGCTGAAAAAAATGTATATTCTGTTGATTTGGGGTAGAGTGTTCTGTAGATGTCTCTTAGGTCTGCTTGGTACAGAGCTGAGTTCAATTCCTGGGTATCCTTGTTGACTTTCTGTCTCATTGATCTGTCTAATGTTGACAGTGGGGTGTTAAAGTCTCCCATTATTAATGTGTGGGAGTCTAAGCCTTTTTGTAGGTCACTCAGGACTTGCTTTATGAATCTGGGTGCTCCTGTATTGGGTGCATATATATTTAGGATAGTTAGCTCTTCTTGTTGAATCGATCCCTTTACCATTGAGTAATGGCCTTCTTTGTCTCTTTTGATCTTTGTTGGTTTAAAGTCTGTTTTATCAGAGACTAGGATTGCAACCCCTGCCTTTTTTTGTTTTCCATTTGCTTGGTAGATCTTCCTCCATCCTTTTATTTTGAGCCTATGTGTGTCTCTGCACGTGAGATGGGTTTCCTGAATACAGCACACTGATGGGTCTTGCCTCTTTATCCAATTTGCCAGTCTGTGCCTTTTAATTGGAGCATTTAGTCCACTTACATTTAAAGTTAATATTGTTATGTGTGAATTTGATCCTGTCTTTATGATGTTAGCTGGTTATTTTGCTCATTAGTTGATGCAGTTTCTTCCTAGTCTCGATGGTCTTTACATTTTGGCATGATTTTGCAGCAGCTGGTATTGGTTGTTCCTTTCCATGTTTAGTGCTTCCTTCAGGAGCTCTTTTAGGG
Source organism: Homo sapiens (assembly GCF_000001405.40). NCBI lineage: Eukaryota > Metazoa > Chordata > Mammalia > Primates > Hominidae > Homo > Homo sapiens. The sequence goes on along the minus strand of NC_000023.11, from coordinate 75,233,761 downwards.
CAGGCCTGGTGGTGACAAAATCTCTCAGCATTTGCTTGTCTGTAAAGGATTTTATTTCTCCGTCTCTTATGAAGTTTGTTTGGCTGGATATGAAATTCTGGGTTTAAAATTCTTTTCTTTAAGAATGTTGAATATTGGCCCCCACTCTCTTCTGGCTTGTAGAGTTTCTGCTGAGAGATCCGCTGTTAGTCTGATGGTCTTCCCTTTGAGGGTAACCCGACCTTTCTCTCTGGCTGCCCTTCACATTTTTTCCTTCATTTCAACTTTGGTGAATCTGACAATTATATGTCTTGGTGTTACTCTTCTCGTGGAGTATCTCTGTGGCATTCTCTGTATTTCCTGAATCTGAATGTTGGCCTGCCTTGCGAGATTGGGGAAGTTCTCATGGAGAATATCCTGCAGAGTGTTTTCCAACTTGGTTCCATTCTCCCCGTCACTTTCAGGTACACCAATCAGACGTAGATTTGGTCTTTTCACATAGTCTCATATTTCTTGGAGGCTTTGCTCATTTCTTTTTATTCTTTTTTCTCTAAACTTCCCTTCTCGCTTCATTTCATTCATTTCATCTTCCATTGCTGATACCCTTTCTTCCAGTTGATCGCATCGGCTCCTGGGGCTTCTGCATTCTTCACGTAGTTGTCCAGCCTTGGTTCTCAGCTCCATCAGCTCCTTTAAGCATTTCTCTGTATTGGTTATTCTAGTTATACATTCTTCTTAATTTTTTTCAAAGTTTTCAACTTCTTTACCTTTGGTTTGAATGTCCTCCCGTAGCTCGGAGTAATTTGATCTTCTGAAGCCTTCTTCTCTCAGCTCGTCAAAATCATTCTCCGTCCAGCTTTGTTCTGTTGCTGGTGAGGAACTGCGTTCCTTTGGAGGAGGAGAGGCGCTCTGCTTTTTAGAGTTTCCAGTTTTTCTGCTCTGTTTTTTCCCCATCTTTGTGGTTTTATCTACTTTTGGTCTTTGATGATGGTGATGTACAGATGGGTTTTTGGTGTGGATTTCCTTTCTGTTTGTTAGTTTTCTTTCTAACAGACAGGACTCTCAGCTGCAGGTCTGTTGGAGTACCCGGCCGTGTGAGGTGTCAGTCTGCCCCTGCTGGCGAGTGTCTCCCAGTTAGGCTGCTTGGGGATCAGGGGTCAGGGACCCACTTGAGGAGGCAGTCTGCCCATTCTCAGATCTCCAGCTGCGTGCTGGGAGAACCACTGCTCTCTTCAAAGCTGTCAGACAGGGACATTTAAGTCTGCAGAGGTTACTGCTGTCTTTTTGTTTGTGCCCTGCCCCCAGAGGTGGAGCCTACAGAGGCAGGGAGGCCTCCTTGAGCTGTGGTGGGCTCCACCCAGTTCGAGCTTCCAGGCTGCTTTGTTTACCTAAGCAAGCCTGGGCAATGGCAGGCGCCCCTCCCCCAGCCTCGCTGCTGCCTTGCAGTTTGATCTCAGACTGCTGTGCTAGCAATCAGCAAGACTCCGTGGGCATAGGACCCTCCGAGCCATGTGCGGGATATAATCTCCCTGTGCGCCGTTTTTTAAGCCCATCGGAAAAGCGCAGTATTCGGGTGGGAGTGACCCAATTTTCCAGGTGCCGTCTGTCACCCCTTTCTTTGACTAGGAAGGGGAACTCCCTGACCCCTTGCCCTTCCCAAGTGAGGCAATGCCTCGCCCTGCTTCGGCTCATGCATGGTGAGTTCACCCACTGACCTGCGCCCACTGTCTGGCACTCCCTAGTGAGATGAACCCGGTACCTCAGATGGAAATGCAGAAATCACCCGGCTTCTGCGTCGCTCATGCTGGTAGCTGTAGACCAGAGCTGTTCCTATTCAGCCATCTTTCTAGCATTTCTTTTAGTGCTGGCTTGGTTGTGGCAAATTCTCTTAGCATTTGTGTGTCTGAGAAAGACTTTATCTCTCCTTCATTTATGAAACTTAATTTCACTGGATACAAAATTACTGATAATTTGTTTAAGGAGTTTATCAATAAGACCTGGATCCCTTCTGGCTTGCAGGTTTTCTGCTGAGAAATCTGCAGTTAATCTTACAGGTTTTTCTTCATATGTTACCTGATCCTTTTGCTTCATAGCTCTTAAGATTCTTTTCTTTGTCTTGACTTTAGATAACCTGATGACTGTGTTCCTAGGTGATGATCTTTTTGCAATGAATTTCCTGGGTGCTCTTTGAGTTTCTTATATTTGGATGCCTATATCTCTAGCAAGACCAGGGAAGATTTTTCTTGATTATTCTCTCAAATAAGTTTTCCAAACTTTTAGATTTCTCTTTTCCTCAGGAACAACAATTATTCTTATGTTTGGTCATCTAACATAATCCCAAATTTCTTGGAAGCTTTGTTCATTTTTTAATTCTTTTTCCTTTGCTTTTGTTGGATTGGGTTAATTCAAAAGCCTTTTCTTTGAGTGTGGAAGTTTTTTCTTCTAATTGTTTTATTTTATTGTTGAAAGTTTCCAATGTATTTTGCATTTCTCTATGTGTGCTTTCACTTCCAGAAGCTGTGATTGTCTTTTCTTTATGATATCTATTACTCTGGAGACTTTTTCATCCATATTTTGTTATTTTCTAAAAATTTCTTTAAGTTGTTTTTCACCTTTGTCTGGTGCCCCTTGAGTAGCTTAATAATCAACCTTCTGAATTCTGTATCTGCAATTCAGAGAGTTCTTCTTGGTTTGGATCCACTGCTGGAGAGCTAGTGTGATCTTTTGGGGTTTTATAGATCCTTGTTTTGTCATATTACCAGAATTACTTGTCTGGTTTCTTCTTATTTGGGTAGACTGTTTCAGTGGAATGTTCTGGAACTCAAGGGCTGCCGTTCAGATTATTTTGTCCCATAGGGTGATTCATTGATGTGGTTCTCTCCCTCTTCCTCTAAGGATAGGGCTTCCTAAGAGTCAGACTGCACTGATTGTTATTGCCTTCTTTGGTCTAGCCACCCAGTGTGGCTACTGGGATTTAGGCTGGTGATGGGGTATGTCTGCAAAGAGTCCTGGGATGTGATTCATCTTCAGGTCTCCCAGCCACAGATACTAGGACCTGCTCCAGTGGAAGTGGCAGGGGGTGAAGTGAGCTCTGTGGGAGTCCCTGGTTGTAGTTTTGTTTAGTGCACTGGTTTCCACAAATGCTAGTTATGCTAGCAGTCAAGTTGTCATGTGGACAGACTCAGGATCTCTGACTAGCCAGGGTGTTGCAAGTGGTAAAAAGAGCTGTTGTTTTCTCCTTCTTTGGAGCAGGATTTTTCTGTTATTAGTTGATGTAATGGCTTGGTTGGCATCCAGCCAGCAGGTGATGCTTTCAAGAGGGCACCAGCTGCAGTAGTAGAAGGGGGATATAATCTTGCCCTATGTTGGCCAGGATGAGTACTAGGGTTTTTTGTTGATGGGTGGGGCCATACAGCTCCCAATAGCTTATGTCTTTTGTCTTAGGCTACCAGGGCAGGTAGAGAAAAATCATCAGGTGGCTGTAGGGTAGGCAGGTCTGAGATCAGACTCTCCCTGAGTGGAGCTTGCTCTGGCCACTTTGAGTGTTGGGGGTGAGAGGGTTCTCAGGCCAATGGAGTTATGTTCCCAGGGGCACTATGGTTGCCTCTGCTGTGTCATACAGGTCACCAGGAAAGTGGAGGAAAGCCGGCAGTGACAGACCTCACCTAGCTCTCATGCAGCCTGCAAGGCCAGTCTCACTCCCACTGTGCCCCACCAATAGCAGAGTTTATATCCAGGCAGCTGGAGAGGAGGGCTGTGATCTTGCCCCAGGCCACAAGCCTCCTTGCTGAGAAAGCAAGCAGGGCTTTCAGGCTTCACCTCACCACCTGCCTGCAACTTCTGCTGTGGCTTCTGCACTCATATCTGCACTTCCTGTTCACCTCTCCCTAACCCTGGATTCTTCTCAGGAAAGTTTGTGCTCAGTCAAAATTATTACAGAAGTTCAGCTAGGACCTTCTTTCACCCTGTGGCCCCTCCCCAATTCTGCTGGCTGCCATCCCTTCCCCCAGGACTTCTGTGAGATAAGACCAGGAATGGCTTCCCTGGGGCTCAAGCTGAGGACTGGGAGTGCCTACAAGGCTCTTCAAACTGCTTCTTCTACTTTTATATTTCACTCAGCTCCCTAAATCTGTTTCAGCTCTAGGTAAGGTTAAATCCTTCTCCCATGATCTGGATTTTCAGGTTCCCCAGTAGGGATGGATGTTCAGAGGCTGACTTTTTCCCCTCTCACACTTTGGGAACTCAGTTTTTCAGCTGTCTCACCAGCGTTTGCAATGGCAAGCTGCTTCTTTGAAAGGGTCTGCGAATTCTCTCAGTTTTCCTGGTATGTTCCTGTGGTAGTTCTTGGAGCAAGAATTGGGTATTTTTTAAATGTATATCTCATCTTCTTTACTATTTACTTTCCTGGCTTTCAAAATTTTTTCTTTAATGCCTGATCCTGTTACTGTTTGTTTATTTGCTTTTTTCCAGGTTTCCTGAGGCATAATGACAAATAAAGTTATATATATTCAAGGTATACACGATGATTTGACATACATATCCAATATGATATGATTACCACAATAAAGCTAATTAATACATCCATCACTGCATATAGTTACCATTTTGTTTGGGTGTGGTGATAACACTTAAGGTCTACTCAATTCACAAATTTCAAGTCTACAGCGCAGTATTATTAACTATAGTCAACCATATGGTACATTAGACCCTCAGAACGTATTCATTTCAGAACTGAAAGTTTGCACGCTTTTACCAACATATCTCCAATCCACCTTCCTATGCAGCCTCTGGCAACCAACATTCTACTCTCAGCTTCTATGAGTTTGACTTTTTTGGATTCCACAAATAAGTGATATGACACAGTATCTTTTTTCTGTGTCTGGCTTATTTCATTTAGCATAATGTTCTCCAGATTCATCTATTTTTCACAAATGGCAGGATTTCAAAATTTTAAAATCATTTTCAAATACATATTGCCAACTTTTTGAAGTTAGTTTACTTGAAAGTACAATGTCTAAAAGGTATATAAAAAAGAGAACCTGTTAAATTAATATATTAAAAACTAAGCTGTTATGGTTCCCAGGTTATGGCTACTTCTTCTTGCCTATAGAACTCAATTATCAACAAAAGCTATATTTCACCCTCCAAGCAAGTCTTCTGGAGGATATATAAAAAAAGAAGAAAAAGCAATATTTCAAAACCAAAGAGAAAGAGAATGCAATTCTGCTGAACACTGCTATAGGCATAATAATGCAAAGAGTAAGGCAAGGAAGGAGTGAAATAAACCATTTGATGATGCTGGTGTGGGGAAGTCAAGGAAGGCCAAATCTAAATGAAGGGAAATGTGATGGATACTGTACAACCCTCATCCTCCATGAAGAACTCAGGCAGTCATGTCTAGCTTGACTAGACATGAGTTACAAGGTGTAACTAATTCCTTTCCTAGGAATTGTCCTAGGCTGAGGGATCTGCCCTATTCAACATTATGCATCCTTTTCTTCAGGTGCAGACTGCATCCATTGACAGATCCATGTGAAAATACAAAGACCTAGAGCCCTTGCCTCAATTTGAAACATCTTTGAAGGGCTGTCTCAATCTCAGAACTCCTCATGAAGTTGGATGAGTCCTTTGTTGCAATTTCTCTCTCTTCTTAGTCCTGCTTCTTTTAGTCCCTCTCAGATATTGTTCTCAAGAGCACTCCCCAATAAACTTCCTGCACAAACATCTTTATCACAGAGTCTGTTTCCAGAGGTACCCAGCTTATAACAGATAAAAAGCTTAATTCCAAATAACCTTACTATCAATGTGCCTGTGTGAATTTGATGCTTTAAACTATTTAAAAAAATAAAAAGAAAAGAGGCAATGCTGAAGTTGACTAAACTACTTTGCAAATTGCAGTATCAGACCTACTTATCAGGGAGTCTGACTGACAAGATTAATTGACTGAGTTCTGGCTTTGATTTGTTAAAATGAAGTTAGAAGCCTGAACTAACATGTACCTGCTTGCAAAAGTCTCAACATATGTCCCTTAATTATTGCTGAGATGAAATTCTCTTTGTAAGTATATGCACTATGTATTATATTGCATTTGGCTTCTTTTACAGTATTTCTGCTGATTTTAGGGGTTCTCTTCAGTTGGGGTACCCCATGAAAAAGAATTCAATGTCTCCTATTTGAAACAGCATCAGACTACGAGGCAAGAAGCAAGGATTTTGATTCCTTCCATTAGCTATATTCAGGAACTTCGGCAAGTTTTTCCCCTCTCTGGGCCTCAGGTTCTTCATTCATCGAATGTGGAAATAGGGCTCCAGGGTTCCATGTAGATCTCTTTATTATCTTATTATGATATTTGTTCAATGGCACGTCTGTGGAAGATTCCTGAGTGGAATACTGAAGTTCTGACCAAAGTAATAACTGGGGCTGAACTTTGACTTTGACTCCAGGCCCACAACACATATATTCCAAACACTACCCCTGCCACCCTCATCCGCTTCCCTTTAATCTCATGTATATTGTCATACAAAGTCATGTAACTAAATAGTTGATAAAATGTGGAGGAGATTAGAAAACCACCAGTTTGTTTATATCTGTTTAGTGGGAGCCTATGCCCATGGCCATTGGGAAGCATTGCCATGGCCCAAGTCAAGTGATTTACATATCAAATACCTAAAGACTTGACTGGACGATGGAGTGGAAAAGGCAGTACTGGGCACTGAGGTACACCTAAGCTCACATACATGCCCAAAGCTTGTTTGTGCCCAATTTGCAATGAGAATAAAGAGGTCTTAAGCCTTCTGTTTCTATTCCCTATTCTCCCATACCAGAAGTGCCTTTATGCTCCTTCCCTCCATTGAAATCAGTTCATTCATTCATTCAACAAGTATTTATTGAGAACCAACTTTGTGCCAGACAGTGTTCTCAGATGTTGAGTGGTGAACAAAAGAGAAAATTATCCCAGCCCTCATGGACGTTACAGTCAATTGGCAGGGAAACAGACAATATACAAAATAAATAAGTGAAACATGCATTACATTAAATGATGGCAAGCAGGGAAAGGGAATCGAGAGTGATGGCAGAGAGAGTACATTAATTTTAAATGTGGAGGTCAGAATAGGCCCCACTGAAAAGATGCCATAAGAACAAAGACCTGAAGTAGATAAGAATGCAATCTCGGGAAAGTATTTCTGGCAGAGGGAATAACACGTGCAAAGGTTCTGAGATAAATGTGAGGTTAGTGTGTTAATTAGCAGAGTGACTAGGATGGAGCTGAGTGGTTGAGGGAAAACAGTAATAGCAGATAAGATCATAGAGTAAACTGGGTATGGAGTGGAAAGATTGTGGAGTCTTTTAGGACATTGTGAGAACATAACTTTCCGTGTGATTAGAAGACAGCAAATGGTTTTAATCGGAGGAGTAACATGATATGGTTTAGGTTTTAACAGAATCACTCTGGCATGTTAGGAGATAGAAGGGTAGACACATCTTAAGGGTAGGCACAAGTTTACAATAGTTAAGAAGCTACTGCAATAATCCACAGGAGAGATAATAGTGGCTTGAGCTGGCTGCAGGGGGTGAGAAGTGGTCAAATCTTGATATATTTTAAAGATAGATCTTTTAAATTTTGCTGGTAGATTGCATGTGGGATAAGGAGGGGAAAAGAGTCAAGAATAATACCAAGGTTTCTGTCCAAAGCAACAGGAAGATAAAAATTTGTATACACTATAAAAAAGAAGAACATTCTATTTACTGAGATAGAGAACACTATGGATAAAGCAGGTTTTAGGGTGAGGTATAGATCAAGAGTTCAATTTTAGACATGTTAAGTTTGAGATGCCTATTAGATATCTGAGTGGAGATGTTAACTAGGAAGCCGCATACAGTATTTAACTCAAGTTTAGGGGGATAGGTCCTTGGAGATGTACATTTGAGAGAAATCAGCGTATAGTTTATATTTAAAGCCATGAGACTGGATGGAATAAAAAGAGTGGATATACAGAAAAATAGAAGAGGTTCAAAGACCTCTGAGGGATTGACTTCTGGAATGATACCATGAGTAGCTCTGCTAACCCATTTTCCAGAATAACTGGTGACAATTGTTTAAAAAACAAAACACTTAAAGCCTCTGGAAATGGTCCTAAGGTCAAACAGCAAGTGAAGAAATATCTGCTCAAGTCTGTGGCATATGAATCAAGCCTGCTCTCTCTTCCCTCCTCCCAGATCAGCAAGGTAGAAACTTCACTCCAGGCTACAGCAGCCAAGAATATAGGACTGCCTCTCCCCCAACTGGAAGCATTATTCTCAGGAGGAGTAAAACTGCATTTCTCATTCTGCCCCCAGCTACTGGTTGCTGAGGCTGTTCCAGGTAACTGTGGTCAAGAGGTAGGAGCTCCCTTCTTATGCCCATTCCCCACCTAGGGTGTGTGTGTGTGTGTGTGTGTGTGTGTGTGTGTGTGTGTGTGGTTTTTGGTTTTGGTTTTGTTTTTGTAGAGATGGACTCTATGTTGACCAAGCTGGTCTCAAACTCCTGGCCTCGAGCAATCCTTCTACATCAGCCTTCCAAATTGCCGGGATTATAGGCATGAGTCTCTACCAACCCCCACTTGTGAAATGAAGGCTCTAACTTGAGCATGACATGCTGAGAATACTGGGGACCCAATAGCCCTTTCCTTGATTTTTGAGGCAGTGGTTCCACATCAGAAGAGGTAAGCTGAGATCTCAAACTACTGCGACCGCTCCACTGAGTGTTCTGCTCCTAGAGTGAAAGTGTTACTCAGAAGCTTGCCATTGTTCTCACCTCCAGCTACAGAACCTTGCTTAGAGATTTTGCCTGAGTGTGGGGAGAGTGAGAGAAAGAAGCAGGCTATCAAACAGGTAGTTCAAGGAGCTTGATTTATTTGCAACAGAGTGTAGAGGCATTTAAACCTAAGAGCCCTCTCAAAAACAGTGAAAGTTGTGGTGAAAGGGAATCAAGAGGATATTCATTCCTCTAATGAAAATATAGCCTAGAATATAGGCCAGTAAGTATGCAGGAGAGAACCAGGGAATAAAACATGTAGGAGGAGCCTGCCTGGGTTCAGAATAAGTACTACCTCAGGAACTATTCCTTAGAAGGAGATACAAGTTGATTAGATTAGTTAATAGTTGAATTTGTGCTCCAAGACATTGTAAAGATAGGAACTCAATGGCTGGGTGTGATCAGGAAAAAACGTGGAAGAGAACTATACCAATAACACCATGATTCCAAGGTAACTGTGGAATACTCAAAACTTTGCCCTCCTGAGGATTAACGTCAGAGACCTAACAATGTGAGTGGTAAGGAGGAGGGAAGGGAGATAGAGGTCACTGAAATAATTTATTCTAAAAAAAAAAAGAAGGAAATAATAATAAGCTGTGGGAGCAGTACCAATATTTGCTACAATATGTTCTCAAATGTCCAGTTTCCAATAAAAAATTTTGAGGCATGCAAAGAAACAGGAGAGTATGACACATATATTTGGGGAAAATAAACAGGCAACAGAAGTTGCCTGTGAGAGTGACTAGAAACTGGATTTAACAGGAAAAGTTTGCAAATTAGCCATTATAATATATTCACAGAACTAAAGTAAAGCGTGATTAGAGACATAAAGGAGATATAATGACAGTGTCACATCAAATAGAGAATATCAATAAAGAGAATTTTTTTTAAACAACCAAATGGGAATTCTGGAGTTGAAAGTACAATAACTGACATATAAAAAAAATCACTGTAGGACCTCAACAGTAAATTTGGATTTGCAGAAAAAAGAAATAATGAGCTTGGAGAACTATTGATAGAGATTATGCATGCAGAGAAAAAAAAGAATGAAGAAAAATAGGAGGTAAAGCAAGATGACTGAATAGAAGCCTCCACTGATCTTCCCCTCCACAGGAACACCAAATTTAACAATGATTCACACACAAACCTTCATGAGAACCAAAAATCAAATGACTGATCACAGTACCTGCTTTTAACTTCATATCACTGAAAGTGGTACTGAAGAGGGTAGGAAATACAGTCTTGAATTGCTGACACCACCCCGCCTCCATCCCCCAGCAGTGACCACGTGATACAGAGAGATAATCTGTGCATTTGGGAGAGGGAAACTGCAGTGATTGTGGGACTTTGCATTAAAACTTACTTCTGTCCTGTCAGTGGAAAGCAACATGATGCAGAACTCAGCTGATGCCCACAGAGAGAGCATTTACAGACGTTCCAGCCAGAATGGAATCACCAATCTCTGCAGTAAGAACTTGATATTCAGCAAGCTTCACCACTGTGGGCTAAAGTGCTCTGGGGTCCTAAATAAACATAAAAAGTAGTCAAGGCCACAAGCAACGCAAGTCTAGGAAAGTTCTAGTGCGATGCTGAGCTTGAAGCCAGTAAACTCGGGGGGCACATGGCCTAGTGTGACACCAACCAGGGAAGCTTAAAGAGTGCCTTTGCCACCCCTCCCCCAACACCAGACAGCCAGCCTAATGTGAAGCTCCAAAAAGACTACTTCCTTCTGCTTGAGGAAAGGAGAGGGAAGAGTCAAGTGGATTTTGCCTTGCAACTTGGTCACTAGCTTAGCCACAGCAGGATAGGGCAGCTGACAGAGTCATGAGGACCCCATTCCATGCCCTAGCTCCTGCATAACATTTTGAGACACACCTTTGGCCAAAAGGAAACCCAATGCCTTGAAGGGAAGGACCCAGTCCACAAAAGATTCATCAACTGTTGACTAAGGACCCCTTGAACCCTAAATAATCACCAGCAATAGCCAGGTACTACTTGCCGTGGGCCTTTGGCAAGACTCCAAAAATGTGCTGGTTTCAGATGTGACCCAGAACATTCCTACATGTGGTGGCTATGGGAGAGACTTCTGCTTGAGAATAGCAGAGGAAAGAGTAAAGGGGATTTTGTCTTGTAGGTTAGGTACCAGCTCAGCCACAGTGGGAAAGAACACCAAGTGGGCTCTTGCAGTCACTGATTCCAGGCCTTGGCTCTTAGATGGCATTTCTGGACCTGCATTGGGCCAGAGGTAAGCCCACTGCCCCAAAGGGTGAATCCTAGACCAGGCAGAATTTACCACAGGCTGACTAAAGAGCCCTTGGGCCTTAAGTGAATGCCAGTGGTAGCCTGGCAGTGTTCCCCATGGGCCTGTGGGGTGGTGGCCATGGGAAGAGAATCTTCTGCCTGTGAAAATGGGAGGAAAAAGAAGGAAGGACTTTGTCTTGTGGTTAGGTGCCAGCTCAGGTGCAGTAGAGTAGAGCACATGGCAGATTTCTAAGGCTTCTGACTCCAGGTCCTAGCTCCTGGATGGCATCTCTGAACATACCCAGGGCCCAGGGGAACTTGCCACCAGAAGGGAAGAACAGAAGCCTGGCTGGCTTTGTCACCTGCTGATTGGAGAGCCCTAGAGCCTTGAGCATACATAGGCAGTGGCCAGGTAGTGGTTACAGTGGGTCTTGAATGAGACTCAATGCTGTGCTGGCTTCAGTTCTCATCCAGTACAGTCCTAGTGTGATGGCCACAGCAGTACTTGTGTCACTCCTCCTCCTCCCCTAGCTCTAGGCAGCTTAGCACAGGGGGAGAGACTCCATTTGTTTGGGAGAATGTAAAGGAAAGAATAAGAGTCTCTGCCTGGTAAACCAGAAAATTCTTGCCAATTTTATCCAAGACAACAAAGGCAGTACTTCTATGAGTCTGCAAGAACCACAGCACTGCTGGACTGGAGGGCCCTCTAATGCAGATATAGAAGCAGTGACCAAAAACTTTGGTCACAACAACTAAGTACTTACAAATACCTGAAAAGCCTTCTCAAGAAGGACAGGTACAAACAAGCCCAGACTGCAAAACTACAATAAATACCTAACCACTCAGTGTCCAGAAACTGTTCATCAAACATCCACAAGCATCAAGACTATCCAGAAAACATGACCTCACCAAATGAATTAAATTAGGTAACAGGCATCAATCCCAGAGAGAGAAATAAATGTGACCTTTCAGAAAGAGAGTTCAAAATGGCTGTTTTGAGGAAGCTCAAATAAATTCAAGATAACACAGAGAAGGGAATCAGAATCCTATCTGATAAATTTAACAAAGATATTGAAATAATTTAAAAGAATCAAGCAGAAATTGTGGTGTTGCAAAAAGCAATTGATGTATACTGAAGAATGCATCAGGATTGATCAACCAGAAGGAAGAATTAGTGAGCTTGAAGACAGGCTATAGGAAAACACACAGTCAGAGGAGACAAAAGAAAAAAGAATATAAAACAATGAAGCATCCCTATGAGATCTAGAAAATAGCCTCAAAGGGGGAAATATAATAGCTATCAGCCTTAAACAAGAGGTAGAGAAACAGATATGGGTAGAAAGTTTATTCAAAGGGATGATAACAGAGAATTTCCCAAACCTACAGAAAGATATCAATATTTATGTACAAGAAGGTTATAGAACACCAAGCAGATTTAACCCAAAGAATACTACCTTGAGACATTTAATAGTCAAATTCCCAAAATGTCAACAATAAAGAAAGAATGCTAAAAGCTGCAAGAGAAAAGAAAAAAAAAACAAACAAAAAACAGACAACACAGCATCTGGCAGCAGGTTTTCCAGTGGAAATCTTACAGGCGAGGAGAGAGTGGCATAACATATTTAAAGTGCTAAAAGAAGAAACATGTTTACACTAGAATAGTATATCCCATAAAAATGTCTTTTAAATGTAAAAGAAAAATACTTTCCTAGACAAATGAAAACTGAGGCATTTCATCAACACCAGACCTGTCCTATAGGAAATGTTAAAGGAGTTATTTAATCATAAACAAAATGATGTTAATAAGCAACAAGAAATCATCTGAAAGTACAAAACTCACTGATAATAGTGAGTATGGAGAAAAACACATAATATAACATTGTATTTGTGTTGTGCAAACTATTTATATCTTAAGTAGAAGGACTAAAAGATGAACAGATCAAAAACAACTACAAAAACTTTTTAAGACGTAGACAGTACAATAAGACATAAATAGAAAAAACAAAAAGTTAAAAAGCAGGGGTTGAAGTTAACATGTAGAGTTTATATTAGTTTTTTCATTGCTTCTCATTTAATTTTTTATGCAATCAGTATTAAGTTGTAATCAGTTTAAAATAATGGGTTATACAATAGTATTTGCAAGCATCAAAGCACCCTCATATCAAAAAATGTACAATGGATCGAAAAACATAAAAAGCAAGAAATTAAAACATACCATCAAAGAAAATCACCCCCACTAAAAGGATTACAGGAAGGAAGGAAAGAAGGAAGGGAAGATCACAAAACAACCAGAAAACAATAAATAAATGGCAAGAGTAAGTCCTTATTTATCGATAATAACATTGAATGTAGATGGACTAAATTCTGTAATCAAATGAGAAAGAGTGGCTGAATGGATTAAAAATCAAGATGCATTGATCTGTTGCCTACAAGAGACACATTTCACCTATAAAGACACATATAGACTGAAAATAAAAGGATGAAAAATGATATTTTATACTAATAGAAACCAAAAAAGAACAAGTGTAGTTATATCAGAAAAAAAATAGATTTCAAACAAAAGATATAAGAAGAGACAAAGAAGGTCACTGTATAATGATAAAGAGATCATTTCAGCAAGAATATATAACATGGTAAATATATATGCACTCAATACTGGAGCACCCACATATATAAAGCACATATTGTTAGAGCTAAAGAGAGAGACCCCAAAAACAATGATCGTTAGAGTCTTCAACACTCCACTTTCAGCATTAGACAGATCATCCAGGCTGAAAATCAACAAAGAAATATCAGACTTGATATTCACTATAGAACAAATGGATCTAATCAATATTTACAGAACACTTCATCCAATGACTGCAGAATACACATTATTTATGTTATATTATAGTGCAGATTAAGTCTGGTGTTTTTTGTTGACTTTTTTATCTGGAAGATCTGTCCAATGCTGAAAGTGGGATGTTGAATTCTCCAGCTATTATTGTATTGGGGTCTGCATTTCTCTTTAACTCTAATAATAATGGCTTTATATATCTGGGTGCTCCAGTGTTGGGTGCCATATATTTACAATTCTTAGATCCTCTCACTGAATTGGCCCCTATCTGTTTTTTGCTTTCCTGTTCATTAAAATGTTGTGTCATTGGAAAGAGGAAGAATGTATTGAATTCCAGTGGTATCATTGTTTAGTCTTATATTTATTTATTATATTTATTATAGTTTGGAGTAAAGCATTCCATAGTTTAGAATTACAACAAAAACTCTTGATGAAGCCCACTTATTATCTCTCTGTTACTGAAACCACACAAAAGAGTTTTGTTGTCTACATCTAAGAATGATAGCATCAAGATCCTTGCAGAAAAAACCTTCTGTTTTTGCATTTAGCCTAATACAGTATGGAATTCACACCTCTTTACCTTCTTATATTTCATACTGGGGAAATTTAAATCCAGCTGTGTCCATGGCATGAAGCCTTGCCTTTCAATTACTTTGTCTTTCCGAGATCCTTATGGACTACTTACTACTTATTGATCATGAATTAAATTGAACTCCATTCAGAGGCAAATGAAATGAGCTGTTAGGCAGAGAATTCAATTAGAAGGCAGAAGACCTGTCAATACTTGAAGGCCTGTGCCACAATATCCAAGTGTTTTATCATAAACTCCCTCCATTTTAGTAACAACACTCTTTTTTTTTAAATTTTATTATTATTATACTTTAAGTTTTAGGGTACATGTGCACAATGTGCAGGTTAGTTACATATGTATACATGTGTCATGCCGGTGTGCTGCACCCATTAACTCATTATTTAGCATTAGGTATATCTCCTAAAGCTATCCCTCCCCCGTTCCCCCACCCCACAACAGTCCCCAGAGTGTGACGTTCCCCTTCCTGTGTCCATGTGTTCTCATTGTTCAATTCCCACCTATCAGTGAGAATATGCGGTGTTTGGTTTTTTGTTCTTGCAATAGTTTACTGAGAATGATGATTTCCAATTTCATCCATGTCCCTACAAAGGACATGAACTCATCATTTTTTATGGCTGCATAGTATTCCATGGTGTATATGTGCCACATTTTCTTAATCCAGTCTATCATTGTTGGACATTTGGGTTGGTTCCAAGTCTTTGCTATTGTGAATAGTGCCGCAATAAACATACGTGTGCATGTGTCTTTATAGCAGCATGATTTATAGTCCTTTGGGTATATACCCAGTAATGGGATGGCTGGGTCAAATGGTATTTCCAGTTCTAGATCCCTGAGGAATCGCCACACTGACTTCCACAATGGTTGAACTAGTTTACAGTCCCACCAACAGTGTAAAAGTGTTCCTGTTTCTCCACATCCTCTCCAGCACCTGTTGTTTCCTGACTTTTTAATGATTGCCACTCTAACTGGTGTGAGATGGTATCTCATTGTGGTTTTGATTTGCATTTCTCTGATGGCCAGTGATGGTGACCATTTTTTCATGTGTTTTTTGGCTGCATAAATGTCTTCTTTTGAGAAGTGTCTGTTCATGTCCTTCACCCACTTTTTGATGGGGTTGTTTGTTTTTTTCTTGTAAATTTGTTTGAGTTCATTGTAGATTCTGGATATTAGTCCTTTGTCAGATGAGTAGGTTGTGAAAATTTTCTCCCATTTTGTAGGCTGCCTGTTCACTCTGATGGTAGTTTCTTTTGCTGTGCAGAAGCTCTTTAGTTTAATTAGATCCCACTTGTCAATTTTGGCTTTTGTTGCCATTGCTTTTGGTGTTTTAGACATGAAGTCCTTGCCCATGCCTATGTCCTGAATGGTAATGCCTAGGTTTTCTTCTAGGGTTTTTATGGTTTTAGATCTAACGTTTAAGTCTTTAATCCATCTTGAATTAATTTTTGTATAAGGTGTAAGGAAGGGATCCAGTTTCAGCTTTCTACATCTGGCTAGCCAGTTTTCCCAGCACCATTTATTAAATAGGGAATCCTTTCCCCATTGCTTGTTTTTGTCAGGTTTGTCAAAGATCAGATAGTTGCAGATATGCGGCGTTATTTCTGAGGGCTCTGTTCTGTTCCATTGATCTATATCTCTGTTTTGGTACCAGTACCATGCTGTTTTGGAAAATCAATGTACAAAAATCACAAGCATTCTTATACACCAACAACAGACAAACAGAGAGCCAAATCAGGAGTGAACTCCCATTCACAATTGCTTCAAAGAGAATAAAATAACTAGGAATCTAACTTACAAGGGACGTGAAGGACCTCTTCAAGGAGAACTACAAACCACTGCTCAAGGAAATAAAAGAGGATACAAACAAATGGAAGAACATTCCATGCTCATGGGTACGAAGAATCAATATCATGAAAATGGCCATACTGCCCAAGGTAATTTGTAGATTCAATGCCATCCCCATCAAGCTACCAATGACTTTCTTCACAGAATTGGAAAAAACTACTTTAAAGTTCATATGGAACCAAAAAAGAGCCCGCATCGCCAAGTCAATCCTAAACCAAAAGAACAAAACTGGAGGCATCACGCTACGTAACAACACTCTTTTTATGCTGCTCAATACCTTAACCAAAATTAACTTTTCCTGCCCATCAAGACTCCACTCATGACTACAACAATGTCCCTAAAATGCTCCACTGACTCATACACCAGGTCTTCTCAGACCAAGGCCACCATGTCCTAATTCTTTTTTTTGAAAATACTTATTTCTCGGCCAGGCGCAGTGGCTCACGCCTGTAACCCAGCACTTTGGGAGGCCGAGGCAGGCGGATCATGAGGTCAGGAGATCGAGACCATCCTGGCTAACACGGTGAAACCCCGTCTCTACTAAAAACACAAAAAATTAGCCGGGCATGGTGGCGGGCGCCTGTAGTCCCAGCTACTCAAGAGGCTGAGGCAGGAGAATGGCGTGAACCCAGGAGGCGGAGCTTGCAGTGAGCCGAGATTGCGCCGCTGCACTCCAGCCTGGGAGACAGAGCGAGACTCCGTCTCAAAAAAAGAAAAAAATTACTTATTTCTTCTCCTCTAGGGTAAAGTTTGCTTAAGCTTAGTATATTATTCTCCAGCTGGATGGTCAAACAGAATGTGCCAAAATGTATATCCAAACTAGTCATCCAGTGTTTCTCAAAACCTTAAAAAATGAATGCTATCCTTTCCAGGGCACAGCTTTCATTCAAAACCAAAAATACTCCTGTGCAATACAGAATATACTATTTCATGTAATTAATGCTTTTATCTTCTATATTTTCTGGCTGCTACCACCAGCACCACAACCCACGAGTAGACTTCAGAGAATTATCCAGCCATTCTTGCTTTGTTCCTGATCTTACAGGGAAAAGTTCTTGTTTCTCACTGGTAAGTATGATGTTAACTGTGCATTTGGTGTACATATTCTTATGAAGTTGAAGAAGTTCCCTTCTATTCTGAATTTGCTGAGACTGGTTATCATGGGAGTTGAATTTTGTCAAATATTTTTTTCTGTGCTTATTGAATATGATTATGTGATTTTTCTTCTTTAGCTTACTGATTTATTACATTAATTGATTTTCAAATGTTGAACTAACTTTGCATGCCTGGGAAAATTACCACTTGATTGTGGCATATAATTATTTTTCTGTATTGTTAGATTTGATGTGTTAATGTTTTATTGAGAATTTTTGCATTTATGTTCATCAAAAATATTGGTCTATAGTTTTCTTTTCTTGTAATGTCTTTGATTTTGGTATTAGGGTAATGCTGGCTTTATAATAAGAATTAGAAATTATCTCTGCTTTTATCTTCTGAAAAATATTACAAATAATTGGTATTATTTCTTCCTTAAATGTTTATAGAATTCCCCAGTGAATGTAACTGGACCTGGTACTTTTGGTTTGGGGAGGTTATTGATATTTATTTAATATATTTTAAAATTATTTTTAGTATTTCTTTAAATTTCAACTTTTATTTCAGATACAGGAAGTACGTGTGCAGATTTGTCACATGGTTATATTGCATGAAGCTGAGGTTTGTGGTATGGATCCTGTCACCAGGGAGTGAGCATAGTAGCCAATAGGTAATTTTAATATCTGTAATGGATATAGGGCTAGTCAAATTATATATTTATTTTGGATGAGTTTTGTTAGATTGTGCCTTTTAAGAAATTGGGTCACCCAGGTTATCAAATAATGAATATAGAGTTGTTCATAATATTTCTTTATTACCCTTTTAATGTCCATAGGATCTTTAGTGATGTCCCCTCTTTCATTTCTGATATTATTAATTTGTGTCTTCTCACTTTCTTTCTTAGCCTGGCTACAGGCTTATCAATTTTATTGATCTTTTCAAAGAACCAGCTTTTCGTTTTGCTGATTCTCTTTATTAATATCCTGTTGTCAATTTCATTGATTTCTGATGTGATCTGTATTATTTCTTTTCTTCTGCTAACTTTGGATTTAATTTGCTTCCTTTTTTCTAGTTTCTTAAGGTGTAAGCTTAAGATTATTGATTTTGTGTCTTTTTTCTTTTCTCATATGTGCATGCAGTACTATAAATTTCCCTCTCAGCACTGCTTTCACTGCATGCCACAAATTTGGATCAGCTGTCATTTCATTTTCAATTAGCTCATAATATTTTTAAATTTCTATTAAGATTTCTTCTTCTAAAAAAAAGATATCTTCTTTAAACAAAACCATGTTATTTGGAGATAAGTATACATTCATGAAACTATCAGCACAATCTATGCCATAAAACTACCTGTCACTTTCAAAAGTTTTCTCCTGCCTTATTTGTGTGTGTGTGTGTGTGTGTGTGTGTGTGTGTGTGTGTGTGTTGAGAATACTTAATATAAGATCTACCTTCTTGGCAAATTTTTTTGAGACAAAGCCTTACTCTTTCACCCAGGCTTGAGGGCAGTGGCACAATCATGGCTCACTGCAGCCTTGAACTCCTGGGTTCAACCAATCCTCCCATCTCAGTCTCCTGAGGAGCTGGAACTGCAAGTGCACACTGCCACACTGAGCTAATTTATTTTTTATTTTTTGTAGAACCAAGGTCTTGCTATGTTTCCCAGGCTGGTCTCAAACTGCTGGACTCAAGTGATCCTCCTGCCTCAGCCTCTCAAAGTGTTGAAATTACAGGCATGAGCCACCACACCTAGCTAAAATTTTAAGTACACAATACAGTATTATTAACCATAGGCTCTATGCTGTACAATATATCCCTAGGACTTATTCAACTTATGTAACTGAAAATTGTATTCTTTGTCTAATAACTTTGATTCCACCTCATCATGTTCCCTTCAACAACTATTCCACTCTCTGCTGCTATGAGTTTGACTATTTTAGATTCATCACATAGGTGGTATTATGTAGTATTTGTCCTTGTGTGTTTGGCTAATTTCACTTAGCCTATTATCCTCCACACTCATCCATATTTCACAAATGGCAGGATTTCCTTCTTTCATAAGTCTGAATAATATTTCATTGTATGTGTATACTACATTTTCTTTATCCATTCATCTATCAATAAACATTTACATTGAGTCTCTTTGGCTCGTGTGTTATTTAGAAGTCTGTTGTTTGATTTTCAAGTATTTTGGGATTTTCCAGCTATCTTTCTGTTATTAACTTCTCATTTAATTCCATTGTGGTTTGAGAGCAGACATTGTATGATTCATATCCATACAAATTTGTTAAGGTGTTTTGTGGCCCAGAATGTCATCAGTCTTGGCGAATGTTTTGTGTGAGCTTGAGAACAATGTATAATCTACTGTTGTTTGATGAAGTGCCCTTTAATTGGTGTTAATTAAATCTATTTGATTAATGGTGATATTGATTTCCTCTAGGTCCTTATTAATTTTCTGCCTGTCAAATCTGTCCATTACTGAAAAAGACATGTTAAAGTCTCCAACTATAATAGTGAATGTATCTATTCCCTTTTACAGTTTTATCATTTTTTGCCTCATGTATTTTGATGCTATCGTTAGGTGCATACACATTAAGGATTGTTAGCCCTGTTGTATAATTGGCCCTCATCATTATGTAGTAAACCTCTTTATCCTGATACTTTTTTTTTGCTCTGAAGTCTGCTTTGTCTTAAATTAATACAGCTACTACCACTTTCTTTTTATTAGTATCAACATGGTATGTCATTCTCCATCCATTTATCTTTTTATCTATATGTGTGTTTATATTTAACGTGGATTCCTTGTAGAAAACATATGTTTGGGCATTGCGTCTTGACTCCCTCTGACAATTTCTGTCTTTTAATTGGTGTATTTAGACCATTAACATTTAAAGTGATTATTTGTAAAGGTCTAAACTTTTACTTTGTTTAATAAAACTCATAGATTCTGTTGCCAAAAATAGGATTTTTAAAGCCTGAGAAAAAGTAATCATTTTTTTAAATCTGTTATAGACCAGTCTCAAGAGACACATTTATATCAATGTTTAACAGAAGTTCAAGATTCAGACCAAAATGCACGCATATATAACCCCTTACTTGACTCTCGCAATAAATTCAGATGCTAAAAGACCATTTAATGTTTATAAAATCCATTATTTAACTACAGTACTTTGGCTCTATCATGTATGTTACTGGCATGTGTGAGTTATTAAGTCAGACTGCATTCCAAATAGCACACAGCTGCAATTCAGTGTGAGGAGACTGCCTATAAAACACCTGCTTAATCCCATTCACTCTTTATAACCAGAGACTTTCTGATTTCACTTTACAAAGAATGTGCCCAGTATCTTGATTTCCTATATGTCTAAATTCCGCAATGTCTATATTGCAAAATGTAAACCTAGCCAACTACTTTATTTTTTATTTTATATTGTTTTATTTTAAGGTCAGATGATACATGTGCAGGATATGCATGTTTGTTACATAGGTAAATGTGTGCCATGCTGGTTTGCTGCACCTAACAACCCATCACCTAAGTATTAAGCCCTGCATACATTAGCTATTTACCCTGATGTTCTCCCTCCCCCACACCCCTGACAGGCCCCAGTGTGTGTTGTTCCCCTCCCTGTGTCCATGTGTTCTTATTGTTCAGCTCCCACATATGAGTGAGAATATGCAGTGTTTGGTTTTCTGTTCCTGTGTTAGTTTGCTGAGGATAATGGCTTCCAGCTTCATCCATGTCCCTGCAAAGGACATGATCTCATTCTTTTTTAAGGCTACATAGTATTCCGTGGTGTGTATGTACCACATTTTCTTTATCCAGTCTATCATTGATGGGCCTTTGGGTTGATTCCATGTCTTCCCTATTGTGAATAGTGCTGGTATGTTGTCTCTTTGTTCTCATTTGTTTCAAAGAACTTCTTGATTTCTGCCTTTATTTCATTATTTACCCAGTTCAGGAGCAGGCTGTTCAATTTTCATGTAGTTGTGTGGTTTTGAGTGAGTTTCTTAATCTTGAGTTATAATTTGATTGCCCTGTGGTCTGAGAGACTGTTTATTATTATTTCAGTTCCTTTGCATTAGCTGAGGAGTGTTTTACTTCCAATTATGTGATCGATTTTAGAGTAAGTGCCATGCGGCACTGATAAGAATGTATATTCTGTGGTTTTTGGATAAAGAGTTCTGTAGATATCTAGCAGGTTTGTTAGTCCAAATTGCATCATTTTGTAAGCCGCCTGCCATTTTGCAGATCTTGATCAAAGTGAAACATTCCATGGTAGTTTGGGCTATGAGAAACAGCCTGCTTCTTATCATATTCTGCTGAGAGAAAGTGCAAGGAACACCACATTCTGCCAGAACAAGGGCCAGAACCACCTCATCCTATGAACAGGTTATCAACATTTTTCCAGGCAGCAAGCCATGCCCCCACAGTCCCCTCCCACTCAGACCTATGAATTGCCCAAGCCTATAAGCCACGGTGGGCTCTGGCATTAAGCTGGTCCCCCACCTTAACAGGTTTTTGCGATATACTGGTATTGCAGTTAAGCTGCCCTCTCTCTGTGTGTGTGTCTTTCTTTAACTCTCAACTTCCCTTCAAAACCTAACATTTTGGTGCCAAAACCTGGGATGGGGATTGGGTTCTAAACAGGTAAGTCTTCTCTTGCAACCTGGAAAGCAGCAAGCAGCAAAAACTAGACCCAGGACTGCTTCCAGATCCTGAGTGGACTCCTTGTTCCTAGCCCTGCTTCCCTCATTTTCTCATCTTCTCCAGCCCTGGGCTGACCTCCAGATCCTGATCAAACTCTCCATCCTCTTTTTCTTTCTTTCCCTTTTCTGGGTGGCTCTGACAAGGATCACCCCCATTGCTGGACATCACATCCAACACCAATCTCCAATTAGTGGGTGAGTCTCCCTTTTCCTCCTTTCCGAATTCCTCTCTATTTCTGATGGTTCACCAGAAAATCCCAACTCTGGGTGAGAGGTCTCCTCTGTCACCAGGTGACCACGGCCTGCCTTCTCAGGGGTGCCCTTGAATGCTCACCACTCCAGCCACTCCGGCCTCTGGGGGACTGCAAAGAGCTGTGGGGATGCTCCAGCTCAGCTATCCTATGTTCCTTCTCCCGGAGGAATTCGGGTACTCACTCCTCTCCAGGGTACTCACTTTCCTTTGGAGTATTCACTCCCCTCTGGGGTACTCACTCCCCTCTTCTAAATTTCTCACCCTTCCAGCCACCAGTATGGGGCAAGTCTCCTCAAACCTCCTCAAGACACCACTCTCGGGTGTCTCATCTGGAACCTCCCAGCCCAGGGCTTAGTGGACTCCATTAAAACTGAATACCTTATTCACTCCTCCCAAATGTCTCATCTGGATCCTCCAAGCCCAGGGCTTGGTGGACTCCATTAAAACAGAACGCCTTACTTTCCTCTCTTATATTGCCTAGCCCTAGTGTAACCTGGACAACAATAGTCAATGGCCAAAAAACAAAACATTCAATTTCCAAATTCAACATAATCTAAAAAACTTCCTCCAACGCAATGGTAAATGACGTGAGATGCTTTGCTTATCTCTGTTTGCAGCTCTCTCTCTCTACCAATCATGTTCACCTTTTCAAATCCTCCTCCTCAACAAAAAACCCGCAAAAATGCCTCCTCCTTTGGACAATCCCTCCTCTAATTTCAACCTGGCAAACAATCCCCCTCCCTCGGTCCCCCTCCCACCACCATCCCCTCCTTATTCTCCTTTGGCTGCGGCTCCTCCACCCCCTTACTTTTGCCCTCCGTCCCCCTTTCCTTCTCCACTGCAAATCAGCTCTCACACCCAACCCCCTTTTCCTGAAAACCAGGCACACATCCAAAGGCCTTCCAAAGTCCTTTCCTTGCAGGAGGTGGCAAGGGTCAAAGGCATAATCTGAGCTCATGTTCCCTTCTCCCTAGCCATCCTCTCCCATCTTAAAAAGATAATTGGCTCCTTTTCCAAGGATCTCACATCTTTCCACAAGGAATTTCTGTATGTCACTCAATCTTATAACCTTACCTGGCATGACATATATGTAATCCTCTCCTCCACCCTCACCCTGGAGGACAGGGGACACATCTGGATGAATGCCCAGGCCCATGCAAACAACCTCTACCAACAAGATGTTGCTCATAACCCAATAGGGATCCTGGCTGTCCCCAAAACTAACCCCAATTGGGATTATCAGGCAACTTCTGCAGAGACAGCAACAAGGCCATATAATATCAAGCCTCCTAGCTGTCATAAATAAAGCTGCCCCTGCTCTTTTCCTCTCCTCCCTTTCAAAGGCCATGACTAAATATACCACCTTAAGCCCTAATACCAATAAGGGCAGAATCTACCTTCATTTATACTTCATCTCCCAGTCAGCCCCACACATCCGAAAGAAATTTTTAAAATTGGAGAATAGCCCTCAAACCTCCCAAAGAGACTTAATCAAAGTGGCCTTTAAGGTCTTTAACAATAGAGAGGAAGAACTAAAAACCCAAAAACTAAAAAGAGACCAGGCTAAATACCAGATGCTGGCAGCTGTCATTCAACAGGGTTCCCAATGCATACAGAAGTCCTCAACTTTGCAACAGTCACTGCCAGAAGCCTGTTTTTAGTGTGGCCAACAGGATCACTGGGCAAAAGCCTGCCCTAATCCCAGGCCACCCTCAAAACCTTACCCTATCTGTGGTATCAAGAAACACTGGGCCAGGAACAGTAGCTCATGCCTGTAATTCCAGCACTTTGGGAGGCCAAGGCAGGTGGATCACCTGAGGTCAGGAATTTGAGACCAGTCTGGCCAACATGGTGAAACCCCGTCTCTAATAAAAATACAAAAATTAGCTGGGCATGGTGGCGGATGCCTGTATCCCAGCTACTTGGGAGGCTGAGGCAGGAGAATCACTTGAACCCAGGAGGCAGAAGTTGCAGTGAGCTGAGATCATGCCATTGCACACCAGCCTGGGCGACAAGAGCGAAACTCTGTCTCAAAAAAAAAGAAAAAAAGAAACAACACCGGAAGTCGGACTGTGCTCAGCCAAACTCTTCCTCCCGCTTCATCACCTCTAACTGAAGACTGACAGGGCCTGGAATCCATTGGCCCATCACCACTACCACCTCGGAACCCAGGGTAATGCTGTCGGTCTCTGGTAAGCCCATATCTTTCCTATTAGATATGGGGGCTAGTTACTCGGTTTTACCAGAATATTCTGGAACCCCTCTTAGTTCTTCTATCTCTATTATGGGAATTGATAAACTCCCCTCTAGGCACAAATAGACTGGTCCTCTATTATGCAACCTATTTAACACTCCCTTTACCTACTCCTTCCTGGTTAATCCTCAGTGCCCTACTCCTATCTTGAGGCAGGACAGATTAAGTAAATTCCACGCCTCCATACAATTTGCCTCCGGCAATTCTACCCATTTTATTTTACTCTGCAGCCCAGATGCTTCCCTCTCCTCCCCCTCATCCTCATTATCCACTCTGTTACTTTCTGTTAATCCTGAAGTTTGGAATGTTTCTAAACCCACAATAGCCACACATCACATCCCAGTTAAAATAACCCTCCAAAACCCCTCCATTTTTCTTCATCAGTCTCAATATCCCCTTAACCCAGCCAGCCTCAGGGGCCTCAAACCTATTACCTGTAAACTTTTACAAGCTCAAATTCTCAAGCCTGTAAACTCTTCCCACAACACCCCTATCGTGGCTGTCAAAAAGACAGATGGGTCTTACCACTTTATCCAGGATCTCTGAGTTGTAAACCAGGTGGTGGTGCCAATCCATCTGGTGGTCCCCAAGCCATATGCTCTACTCTCCCATATTCCCCCATCTACCACACACTTCTCTATATTGGATTTAAATGATGCCTTTTTCACTATTCCCTTAAATCTAGCTTCCCAAAGTCTTTTTGGTTTCACTTAGTCAGATCCTGATACTCAAACATCCATCCAACTAATATGGACTGTACTTCCACAGGGGTTCTGAGATAGCACCCACCTATTTGGACAGGCCCTCACCAAGGACTAGGCTGAACTTCCCCTTGCTCCTAGCACCCTCCTCCAATAATCAATAACCTCCTTCTCTGTAGCCCCTCCATCTGTCCATGCAACACACCACTTAGCTTTTAAACTTCCTCCATAGCTGAGGATATTTGGTCTCACCCACAAAGACTCAAGGTAGCCCAAACCCAGATTACTTACCTTGGGCTTGTCCTAACCCCTAACTCTCCAGCCATCCCAACCCAATGCAAGGAGCTAATTTGGGACATGCCCCTTCAAAGGACCTCCTCTCCTTCTTGGGCCTTGTGGGATACTTCTGACTGTGGATTTCCAACTTCAACTTGCTGACCAAGCTGCTCTACATGGCCTCACATGGGCCCATCCTAGAACCCCTGAACCTAGCTTGCCCCATCAACTCTCACTTTAAAAAATGAAAAAGTGCCTAAAATGGTCCCAGTACTGAGACTGCCCAACCACACCAAGCTCTTTCCTCTGTATATACATTGTGACAGAGGCCTTGCTCTTGGACTACTCTGCCAAACATATGGCAATGCCCCACAAGCCACTGCATACCTCTCAAAACAACTGGACTTTGTCATCCAAGGCTGGCCACCCTGCCTAAAAATATTGGGTGCGGTCACATTGCTGGCCTCAGAGGCACAGAAACTCACTCTCTACCAACACATTACTATGGCATCTTCCCATAACTTGCAGAACTTCATAAGCTACCAATCTCTTCTATACCTCCCATCATCCCGTTTACAGCAGGTGCATGCCTTATTCATAGGAAACCCTCTAATCACCTTCCAGAGATGTAAAGCTCTCAAGCTAGCCACCCTCCTACCTGTAAACACTTCCAGCTCTGAGCTCTATTGCTCCTGCCTGAACCTCTTGAACTCCCTTTCCTCCCACTTCCAAAACAACTCGGAAGCTCCTTTGCAGGGAAACACCTACATGGTTCATTAATGGAAGCTCTTTTAGGGAGCCATGGCTATACTATCATTGCTGAAAATAAACTCCAAGAATCCAATGCTCTTTCACCCCATAATACCTCTCAACAGGCAGAATTACCTCTCAACAGGCAGAACTACCTGTAAACAGGCAAAGATAGTTGCCCTAACCAGGTCCCTCATCCTACTAAAGGGAGTGTTAACATTTACATCAATTCCAAATAAGCATTTCACATCCTACACTCTCACACCTTAATCTGACAGGAAAGGGGTTTTCTAACTACAAAAGGAACACCCATAGAAAATGGCAAACTCATACACAGGCTGCTGGAGGCAGCTAAACTACAACTACAGGCTGCCATTATCCATTGTAAGGGATACCAAAAGGCTACAAATGCCATAACCAAGGAAAAGGTTTTAGCAAATTTGGCAGCCCAGCAGGCAGCTCTTAAAACCCCATCATTGGCCAAGTGTGGTGGCTCACGCCTGTAATCTCAACACTTTGGGAGGCCAAGGCGGGCAGATCACGAGGTCAGGAGATCGAGACCATCCTAGCTAACACGGTGAAACCCCATCTCTACTAAAAATACAAAAAATTAGCCAGGCATGGTGGTGGGCACCTGTAGTCCCAGCTACGTGGGAGGCTGAGACAGGAGAATGGCATGAACCCAGGAGGTGGAGGTTGCAGTGAGCCAAAATCATGCCACTGCACTCCAGTCTGGGCAACAGAGCAAGACTCCATCTCAAAAAAAAAATCATTATTGCCCATTTTTCCCAGCATACTCCCTGTATATACCCAGGCAAAACAAACCTCACTCACCCAGGCTGGCACGGTTCAGGAAGGAAAATAGTTCTACCTCAATGATAAAATTTTTTCACAAGTCCCAGAAACCTTCTGTACTTTCATATGTGCACAACCATTTTTATGCCGGTTATTGGCCCCTACTCCAGCTCTTAAAAACTTGTATAGATTCTCCCACCATGGCTGCCAATCTCAAAGATATTACTAAGGCATGTCCCCTTTGCACTCAAACTTACCCTCAGGAAATTATCAAATGACCTCCTTTCCCCACACATCAGGCCCGAGGGCACCTGGCAGGGCAGCACTGGCAGATCGACTTCACCAACATGCACCCCGTAAAACAAGTTTGGTACCTTCTAACAATAGTAGATACATTCTCTGGATGGATAGAAGCTTTCCCTACCACCACCGAAAAGGCACACACTGTCACTTCTATTCTCCTCACCCCATATTATCCCCCAGTTTAAACTCCCCTCTTCCATCCAGTAGACAACGGGTCAACATTTGTTTCACAGGTTAACCAACAGCTGGCAAAGGCTGTAAACATTAAATGAGCTTTTCATATTCCTTACTCCACCCAATCTTTAGGTAAAATTAAATGGGCCAATGCCCTTTTAAAACAACAACTAACCAAACTCTCCTTAGAGGTTAACATGGTCTGGACTTCACTTCTCCCATTGGCCCTCATGCGTTTGCGAGCCATTCCCCAAAAGCCCCTCAGCCTAAGCCCATTTAAACTCATGTACAAATGCCATTTTATCCTCCAGAATCTCCCTGTATCTGCTCCCCCTTATGTACAGGATACTTGGCTGGCATTACACCTCACTCAACATCTAATAAGACAGCACGCAAATGCTTACTTGCCCCAGTCTAAAAGTCCATCCTCCAAACACTCCTCCCTGTCCCTACAACCAGAGAGCTGCATCTGGATTGCAGGCTGCTCCTCCTAACCTCTCCAACCTAAATGGATGGGTCCTAACCAGGTTATCTTAACTACTCCCACAGTGGCAAAAGCTAATGTCCCTTCCACACTGGATACACCATTCCAAGCTAAAAAGAGCACAAGATCCACATCCAGAAATTTTCTCACCCCCAAAATATTCTTCCTTCTTCACAGGACCAACCTCATTGTGCTTAACAAGAGTTCCAGAAGTTGCCAATCCAGAAGGCCCTGGTCCATAACACTCTCTGCCTCTAATTTCAAATCTTCTCTTTTTTTTTTTTTTTTTTTTTTTTTTTTTTGAGACGGAGTCTCGCTCTGTCGCCCAGGCCGGACTGCGGACTGCAGACTGCAGTGGCGCAATCTCGGCTCACTGCAAGTTCCGCTTCCCGGGTTCACGCCATTCTCCTGCCTCAGCCTCCCGAGTAGCCGGGACTACAGGCGCCCGCCACCGCGCCCGGCTAATTTTTTGTATTTTTAGTAGAGACGGGGTTTCACCTTGTTAGCCAGGATGGTCTCGATCTCCTGACCTCATGATCCACCCGCCTCGGCCTCCCAAAGTGCTGGGATTACAGGCGTGAGCCACCGCGCCCGGCCCAAATCTTCTCTTATACCTTGTTTCAGATCTTTCCTGGTATTCCCTCCCCACATCCCTAGGCAGTCCACACACATTCTTCACATTAATCCAGGATCTATGGCTGCAGGACACCTTCCAAAATTTCACTCCTACTCAAATCTCCTTTTTCTCCTTGTGTCCTCTTTGTCCGTGGGATACTCTAAGTCCCCACCCACAACCTCTGAGAGCTGGACCCCCTTCGTCAACCTCACACATTGCCTCTTAAATCAGTCACACTCCCCTCTTTCTTCCAACTGTTAAACACCTCTTACTAACCCCTCCCCTCTCTGCTGGCGCAGCTCTCCGTGTAGCCAAATCAAGGGCTCTCCTTGGAAAAAATGCACAAACAGTTCTCTCAACTGCAACCTATATCCTTCTGCCCTATCAGAACCGCAATGGCTATTAGTTAACAAAAATCCATTTCTCTATCTCTCTCCAAAACCAAACAACCTTCACCTCCACCCCCACCAACATTCCCTATCAGGCCCTCACAGGGGTTACCCTTGTTAACAGCTATTCAACCTAGAAAAACAAAAAAGTTGGGACAAAAAGTTTGTCCAGGATTCAACCCCCATCTTCTCATGGCTCACTGCCTTCACTTACAACTCTTGCCTGTCAACCCCTGGTCTTTTTTCCTGTGTGGCAAAAAAGCTTATCTTTGCCTGCTGGCAGGTGAGTTAAGAACATACACTCTGGTGTTTTAATCTCCAAACATTAACATTTTGCCTAACAACCAAACCATTCAGGTTCCTTTAGTAATCCCTATTTCCTCCTCCTCCACATATACCCAACAGCCTGTACACTTAATTCCCCTGTTAGCAGAACTAAACATCTCTGCTGCACTCAGCACCGGGATAGCAGGTTGCCCCTTTCTTAGGGTCCCTAATCTTCCTCCTCCTAATACTAATAATTGGCCCATGTATACTCATCTTCATATCCTGCTTTATCTCCCGAAGGCTGAACTCCCTTGTCCAGGCAACCACCCAGAAACACATTGATACCATCCTTCTCCACCAAGTCCAGTATCAGTGCCTCCAGGAAAACAACTCTGAAGTCGGACACCCACTGCTTAAAAACCCAAACCCTGATTACAGGGCCCCTATTCAGCAGGAAGCAACCAGATAATCAACAACACCCCTCTTCCTTTTATATTAAAATAGAAGGCAAGAATATTAGTCCAAACTGCACCATTTTGTAAGTCCCCCCACCATTTTGCAGACCTTGGTCAAAGTGAAACATCCCACTGGATATTTGGGCCATGAGAAACAGCCTGCCTCTTATCATATTCTGCTGGGAAAAAGTGCAAGAAACACCACATTCCAACAGAACAAGGGCCAGAACAGCCTCATCATGGGAACACATTATCAACATTTTCCAGGCAGCAGCCCATGCCCCCCCAGACCCTGCCCATCCAGGCCTATAAATTGTCCAAGCCTGTAAACAGTGGTGGCACTGGCATTAAGCTGGTCTCCCACTTCTGTAGGCCTTACGCTGGACATAAAGCCTGCATTTGCTGTTAAGCTACCGTGTGTGTGTGTGTGTGTGTGTGTGTGAGTGTGTGTGTGTGTGTGTGTGTGTGTGTGTGTGTCTTTAACCCTTGCCTTCTCTTCAAACCCTAACATGGTCCACCTGATCCAGAGCTGAGTTCAAGTCCTGAATATCCTTGTTAATTTTCTGTCTCATTGATCTGTCTAATATTGACAATGGGGTGTTAAAGTCTCCGACTATTATTGTATGGGAGTCTGAGTCTCTTTGTAGGTCTCTAAGAACTTGTTTTATGAATCTGGGTGCTCCTGTATTGGGTGTTTATATATTTAGGATTGTCAGCTCTTCTTGCTGAATTGATTCCTTTACCATTATGTAAGGCCCTTCTTTGTCTTTTTTGATCTTTGTTGGTTTAAAGTCTGTTTTGTCAGAAACTAGGATTGCAACCCCTGCTTTTTTCTGCTTTCCATTTGCTTGGTTAATTTTTCTTCATCCCTTTATTTTGAGGCTATGTGTCTTTGCATGTGAGATGGGTCTCTTGAATACAGTACACTGATGGGTCTTGACTTTTTATCCAGTTTGCCAGTCTGAGTCTTTTAATTGGGGCATTCAGTCCATTTACATTTAAGGTTATTGTTATGTGTAAATTTGATCCTGTCATCATGATGCTAGCTGGTTATTTTGCAAACTAGTTGATACAGTCTCTTCATAGTGTCATTGGTCTTTGTACTTTAATGTGTTTTTTCAGTGGCTGGTACCAGTTTTTCCTTTCCATGAAAATATGGAATGCTTCACAAATTTGCATGTCATCCTTGCACAATGGACATGCTAATCTTCTCTGTATCTTTCCAATTTTAGTATATGTGCTGCCAAAGTGACCACTTAAAGTGATTATTGATATGATTGGGCTAATATCTACAATGTTTGCTGCTGTTTTCTATTTGTTGCCCTTGTTTTTTGCTTCTATTTTTATCTTCCATGTTCTTTTGCATCTTGTGGTTTTAACTGAGAATTTTACATGATTCCATTTTCTCTGACATAAAACATATCAGTTATAATTATTTTTTTCTCCTTTTTTATTTATTCAATTGAGTTTGCAATATAGATTTAAAACTAATCCAAGTTCATTTTCTTTTCTTTTTTAAAATAGAGACAGGGTCCCTCTATGCTGTCCAGGCTGTGTCTCCAAATCCTGGGCTAAAGGGATCCTCTTGCCTTAGACTCCCAAAGTGCTAGAATTACAGGCATGAGCCAGCACGCCGGGCACAAGTTCACTGTCAAGTAACACTGTACCACTTCATGGATAGTGTGAGTTCCTTATAATAATAAAAGAATCTTAGTATCTCCCTCCCTTCCCTTCTATAATTGCTGTCATTCATTTCACTTATATATAAACATATATATTTAAACATATATATGAACATATTGATATTATTTTTAGCAAACTTAACTGTTAGATTAAGTGTAAGAAAATAAAAGTTTTAATTTTACCTTCACTTATTGATTTTCCCATGGTCTTCCTTTTGTTATGTGAATCCAAGTGCCTAACCTATAATTTTCATTTTTCTGAAGAACTTCTTTTAACAGTTGTTTTCCCCCCAAGAGGTTTAAAGTTTTTATTTTTACAAATCACAGCTGATGGAGAGCAAAGCCTTCACCTATAGAGACCATGCTCCAACTAAGGCCTAGGGCATTGCTCTAGGAGAAGAGTTGTTCCCAGGAAATGGGACGACAACAGGCAGGAACGTGCAAAGTCCAGAGTCCAGGGTGGAGAGGGGTCAGGGCCCAAGGACCTCAGCTAGAGCAGCCCTGGCAGCCACAGTGCATGCACTCAATGATGCAGCCCACTTCTATCTTTGTTTTAGGAACACAGCAATTGCAGTTTGTCCCAAAATTGGTGTTCCATGTCTGAAGGCACAGCAGCCAGCACAAGTTCTCATAGCCTTGCTTTTTCCATATTGTGATTAGGTTTTTTCCTGCATAGCCTTCTTTAATACAATATTCATAGAGTGCTCTGGTTATGACTTTCCACTTATAAACAAAGTCAACGATATGGTATATTTTCTGGTGGTAGATCCTGAAGATGGGCAACAGAGATTCCACTTTCCACTTTCCTTGAGCATCCTCAATGTTCCAGGCACTATGATACCTCCAGGAATACAGCAGTCAATACAACACTATTTCTGTCTTCAAGAAACTTGCAGTTTATTGAAGTTCACAGTCATAAACACAAATAATTATGATATAAGGAATTTTGAAACAGGTGCCATAAAAGAAGTCCAAGTAGTCTGCTAGGGGAGCAGAAAGAGAGGAACAAATTACTTTCTAGTGAAGCAAATAGGATTGACTTTATTAAAAAGCTGATATTTTAGTTGGGTTCTAAAGGGTAAGCATTTTAGTGACTGAGAGAACAAATGCAAAGACATTACAGGCTTAAGAACTGCAGGAGACAAAGGTCAGAAGATGTGAAATGGACTGACCTAGCTCCAAATAGAAATTACAGGAATTTAGGATAAGTGGAGGATCTTGTAGATGATGACTCGAGCAAGGCCAGATCATGGAACACTTGAAAAGCATGTTAAATATTTGGACTTAAATCTATAGGCAGATTGGTTTTTTGTTTGTTTGTTTTGTTTGTGAAACAGGGTCTCACTATTTCACCCAGGCTGGAGTGCAGCGGAATGATCATAGCTCACTGCAGCCTTGATCTCCCAGGCTCAAGCAATCCTCCCACCTCAGTGCCTGCTGAGTAGCTAGAACTACAGGCATTAGCCACCACATCTGGCTAATTTTTTTGTTTTTTATCTATTGTAGAGACAGGAACTCACTATGTTTTCTAGGCTGGGCTCTGGCAATCCGCCCGCCTCAGCCTCCCAAAGTGCTGCGATTACAGGCATAAGCCAATGCTCCTGGCCTATATGCAGAGTTTTGGAAGAAAAAAAAAAGAATGATGTGACTCAAACTCTGTTTATAAAGAATAATTTTCTTTTTGAGACAGGGTCTCACTCTGTTGCCAAGGCTGGGGTGCGGTGACGCAATCTTGGCTCACTGCAATCTCCGGCTCTTGGGTTCAAGTGATTCTCATGCCTCAGTCTCCTGAGTAGCTGGGACTACAGTCTCCACCACCATGCCTGGCTAACTTTTGCATTTTTTGGTAGAGACCAGGTTTCACCATGTTGGCCAGGCTGGTCTCAAACTCCAGACCTCAAGTGCTCCTCTCGTCTTGGCCTCCCAAAGTGCTGGGATTACAGGCAAGAGCCACCATGCCCAGCCAAAAAAGAATAATTCTGACAGCAATATGTACCTTGTAGCACAGGATAACAAGACTAGAAGCAGGAAGAAGCTATTACAAAAGTCCAGATGAGAGATAATGATTATCGGGCCTAGGACAATAGCAGTGGAGATGGAAGAAAGGAACTAGATCATAAAGATACTGTGGAAGCAGAAAGAACGCAATAGGAAAGTTAGTGTTGCTGGTAAGGGAAAAGAAGAAAACAAGGAATTTCATCTGAGTGACTGGTTGAACCACCATTAGTAAAAGTAGGGAATAAAGAGGAGAAACAAGTTTGGGAGGTGGAAAGATATGAACAGACACTTCTCAAAAGAAGACATTTATGCAGCCAACAAACATGACAAAAAGCTAATCATCACTGGTCACTAGAGAAATGCAGATGAAAACAACAGATGCTGGGGAGGATGTGGAGAAATAGGAACGCTTTTACACTGTTGGTGACGGGTTGAAGGGTGCAGCAAACCATTATGGCACGTGTATACCTATGTAACAAACCTGCACATTCTGCCCATGTATCTCAGAACTTAAAGTATAATAATAAAAAAAAATTTTTTTTAAAGAATTGCGGACCCCAAGAGCCCACTTGGTGCTCTACACCCCTGTGGCTGAGCTGGTACCTGCAGTGCAAGACAAAGTCCCCTTTATTTTCCCTCTGTTTTTCTCAACCAGAAGGAGTCTTTCCCTGTAGTTACCACAGCTGGGAATGTGCTGAGTCTCCCCTGCAGCAAGCAAGTCTCAGAGTCTCACCGAAGGCCCACAGTGTACTATCTGAGTATTGCTGCTGATTATTCAGTGACCAAGGGCTCTTTAGTCAACAGGTGATGAGTCCTGCCAGGACTGGGTCTTTCCCTTCAAAGCATCATGTTCCCTTCTGTCCCAGGATATATCTAGATATATCCAGGAGCTAGGGCTTCGAATGGGGGCCTCATGACTCTGACTGATGGCTTACCCTACTTGGATATCTAAGATGCAAGACAAAGTCATCTTTACTCTTCCTTCTCTCCTCAAGTGGAAGGAAGGGGTCTCTTTTGGAGCCACAAGCTGTGCAGCCTGGGGTTTGCGGACAGCTGGTGCAAGCACTTTCTTAGCCTCCCTGGCTTGTGTATCAGTATGTTGCATGCCCACCGTGTCCTCTGGCTATAAGCCTAGCTCAGCACTAGGACTTGCCTAGGAGTTGCAGTCCTTGTGGCACAGACTGCCTTTCAAGTTTATTTAGAGCCCCAGAGCACTTTAGCCCATGGTGGTGAGGTTTGCTGTAAATCCAGTTCTGATCACTGGGATGTGTGAATCCCCTCAAGGCAGGGCTGGCCTATATGCTTCTTCTGTGGACAGGCTAGGGCTGAGTTTAGCCCTGTTTTGCTTTCTGCTGTGATAGGGCACCACTAGGTTCAATACAATCTCATAGTCACTGCGCTCTCCTTCTCCCAAGTGCAGAGATTCTCTCTTCGTGCCACAGAGCTGCTGCTGGGGGATGGGGTTGGGGTGGCATTGGTGATTCCAGACTGTCTTTCCTACACTCTTCAGTTCCTCTTTCAGTGATATAAACTAAAAACCACATACTGGGTGCTCACCTATCTGCATATATGATAGAACATATGTGCATATGTTCTGCATTTTTATCATTTCTTCAGGTTTATCTTCTAGTTTATCAATTTTTCTCTATCAAAAGTGCTACCAGTTCTAATAAAATTGTAAAGCTTTTTATTATGAAAAATTTTAAATGTGTACAAAGTAAACAAAATAGTAAAATGGATGCCCATAAACTTATCACCCAGCTATAACAACTTTGATACTTCTGCCATTCTTGTTTTATCTATACTGGCTCCCTGCCCCACCCTCAATTTGATTATTACTTTCATAGATATTTTAAAGTAAAATGTACCTGCACTGAATTACACTAATCTTAATTGCATACTTTTGGAAAATACCATGCAACTTATACCCCTATCGAGCTATTTGACATTTTCATATCCCCAGAAATCTTCCTTATGCTACTTTCCAGTCTCTCACTGGCAGCTTTAGAACTCCATATAAAATGGTATAATACAGTATGTCTAGCTTCTTTCACTCAACATAACGTCTGGGAGATGCCTCCATATTGTTTAAATATCAGTAATTCAGTCCCTTCTATAGCTGGGTAGTATTTTATTGTGTGAATATACCACAATTTTTTTATGCAGTTTATGCATTCTCCTGTTGATAAACATTTGATGTGTTTCCAATTTGGAGCTATTATGAATGAAGCTGCTGTAAGCAGTCTTCTAAAACTTTTAGTGGACATATTTTTTGTTGTCATTTCTTTTTGATAAATACCTAGGAGTGCAATTGCTGGATCAAAGTAGGTTTATGCTTGCCTTTATAAGAAACTGCCAAAATTCACTTCAAAGTTCTTGAACCATCTAACATTCCAATCAGAAATGTGTGAAGGTTTTGGTGGCTCCAGCTCCTTTCCAGTACTTGGTATTTTTAGTCTTTTCAATTTTAGCCAGTCTAGTGTATATTAATTCATATCTCATTATGTTTTTCATTTGCTTTTCTCTGAAGACTAATTATTTTGATCACTTTTTCATGTCTTATTGGGCTTCTATAGAGCATCTGTTAAGTTTCTTGTCCATTCATTATTGGAGGATATTTCCCATTTATTATCTAGTTTTAGAAGTGTTTATATAGGATACAAGTCTTATGTCTGATATATGTTTTAATTATTGCAGTTTTATTTCTGGAAATTTTTTGGATTACTTTTGGAAACATCTTGAATATGTCTTATACTCCCTAGATCTTTATTCATATTTCAATTGTTTTATTTTTTAAACATTGTAAATATTATCATTTCAAATTCTGTGTTTGATCATTCTAATATCTAAAATCCTCACGAATATGATTCTGTTGCCTGTATTTTCTGATAACTTTTATTCATGTTGTCTTGTGTATTTAAATGTTTTGTAACTTTTAACTGTGAATTCATAATTCTTGGAGCTTAATCTGTGTTGATTCTTTAAGTCATAGGATGAAGCGGGTTTCTCCAGAGAAATTTGTGTTTGCCACCGCAAACCAAAATTCTTGGTTTCAGGTACTTTAAATGATTAAGTATTGTAAATTTGGAGGTGGTTGCTGGCCTTTGCTTAAGAAGTCTTAAGGAGGATTATTTTTTCTTTTTCACCTTGTGCCAATATTTCAGACAATTTCCCCTGTTCAGTGAGTGGGGAGGGAGGTGGGTGTATTTCTAATTCACTGTTCTTGAAGGTATCACCAGTGGAATCTCAAATCTACAATGGGTCACTTCACTTTTTCTCTCATCCCCTAACATCCCAACGGATTGCAAAAAACGAAGCCCGATTTACTAGAAACAGCAAATTCTCTCATTGCAAAAGCTAGATCAGTATTTTACTTTCCTCCCTTAGTTTCATTCATCACTTTTATTATTATTATTATTATTATCTTTTTTTGAGAAAGAGTCTCACTTTGTCACCCAGGCTGGAGTGCAGTGGCACGATCTCGGCTCAGTGCAACCTCCACCTCCCAAGTTCAAGTGATTCTCATGCCTCAGCCTCCCGAGTGGCTGGGATTATAAGCACGTGCCACTGTGCCCAGCTAATTTGTGTATTTTTAGTAGAAACAAGGCTTTGCCATGTTGGCCAGGCTGGTCTTGAACTCCTGGCCTCAAGTGATCCACCTGCCTTGGCCTTCCAAAGTGCTGGGATTACAGGAGTGAGCCACCAACTCGGCCTCTTTCTATTATTATTTCTTAATATATTTTGAACTCACTGATGCATCTATCCATTATTATTAGTTTTCAACAAGAAAGTTTGTCAAGATATCTAATCAGTCCTAGACCACTGTATTGCTAGAAACAGGGATATAACAGTTGAGCTTTTGATCAATAATTCGTCTCAGACTTCTCATTTGTAATACTCAGATAATTAAATTTACTCATTATCAAAACATGTATTAAAAACTCATTTACCTGGGTGTGGTAGCATGTGCCTATAGTCCCAGGTACTCAGGAGGCTGAGGCAGGAGGATCACTTGAGCCCAGGAGTTCAAAGCTGCAGTGAGCTATGATCGCACCACTGCACTCCAGCCCGGGCAACAGAGTGAGACTGTCTCTTTAAAAAAAGTTTTTAATAACAAAATTTCAAAAACTCATATTCGTGGATTGGAAGTATTAACATTGTTAAGCTGGTAATATTCTACAGATTGATCCACAGACTTAATACAGTGCTTATCAAAATTCCAACGACTTTTTTTTTCAGTACGGAAAAGCTAATCCTAAAATATACATGGAATTGCAAGGGACACAGAATAGCCAAAACAATCTTGAAAAAGAACAAAGTTGGAGGACCCACATCCTAATTGTATTTTATTTTTTAAGTTTTTTCCATCACTCCAAGGTTAATTTTAAAACTTGATAGAGATAGCCAACTAGACTCAGCCAGGAGGAACATCTAGCACCAAGGGACTAGGACATTGGGAAGACTGGTGCACTCCTAGCAGATCTTCAGAGGAAGACACTGAAAGTGGGTGGAGGGAAGACACAGATCCTGGGCTGAAAGGGGAGGAAGCTGGGAACCCTGAACGGGGTTACTGCACACCAGGACTCATTCCTGGTACCCAGTGACTCCTGGGGAAGGGGTGAATTGAGCAGGCAAGGAGCAACTTTTTCTCGCCATAGGCCTCTGGATTACTGGCAGCAGGAGACCCCACGACCTTCATGGACACTTCAGCTGGCAGTGAGAACTGCTTAGAGAAGTGGCAGGGGCAGAACTCTGGCTGGTGCAGAGCTCTGAGGGTTTGGTGAGAGAGCATCTATGAGGAGCACTGCCAGGGATGCCCACCCCCCAAACCTTACATTGCTCCCCTAGGAGACTTTAGCCCTATGGGAACTGTTGGACCTGAACAGTGCAGGGCAGTCTTGCCCATGAGATGGTGCCAGTTCAACCTGAGCACCCCTTGCTCTGCTGGCCTCTCCTGGGGCCCCAGCCTGGCCACATGTGCTTGCAATGGATCCTTGGATGCCCAGGTGGGGTGACTCTTAGAGGCCCACATCATAGTTCCTGCACTGGCAAACTGTGCATGACTGGCGAAGAGCTCCAGCAGAGTGGCCCCCATGGGCACATACCAGCCCACCCATGCCATCACCCCACCACACCATCCCCCATGCCACTTTACCTACACACACTTGCCCACGGCCACCTCCTACACTGCTTAGCTGGTGTCTGTGTGTAGGGGGGTGAAACTTTCCCCCTCCTTCACCACCAGCATGCATGTGCACATGCACCCTACCATGCCCCTGCTGCCAGTGTGAGTGCACCGTGCCCCCCGCCATGCTGCCATTGCCATCAGAGTGTCCAAGGGCATGGAAACTGCCAGCCACACACCCACCAGCTCCCCACCCCCATACTGACACTGCTGCTTGCACAAAACTAGGCATGCAGGCCAATGTCCCCACCCATGCACTGTGCGGCTACTGCTGCCTGCATGAACGTGCACAAAGAGGACTCTGGTCAAGCACCTGCCAGCACCTTGGCCCTACACAAACACTTTTGTTGGTGAGAAACTATGCACGGAGACCATCAGACCCACCCCTACTCTGAGCAGGCACCATCACCCGTGTAAAAACATGCTCAAAGGGCACTCATAGTCCCATGCCTACCAGCATGTCAACCCCAAACTAACACCACCATCAGTGCAAATGTGCATAGAGACTCCAGTGGGACATCCTGCCCCCCTACAAAATACTTCAACCACCACCCCTGAAAACACCTTCATGGAGGATGGCACCCCTGAACCCACCAGGACTCTTGACACAGCTGAGGAGCATGCACCCTGCTGTGCTGCCTCTGTTGTTGGCATGTGCAAATGAGGACAGATCCAGGTACCGCCACCCTACAAAGCACTCTGGCTGACATCACCCATCAGAGTGTTGTCACCAGCATTCTGAGAACACTTTGGCCTCTCTAGTGCAGCAGGTTCCAAACCTCAAGGGGCCAGAGAAAAAAGCCAGGGGCATGATACCCACTCCTAAGAGTTAGAGCATGCAATTCAGGAATCCTGAGCTGAGCCTTTGGCCCTGAAAATCTTTCAGAAATGAAGCCAGCTGACAGAACCCACCTTATACCACAA
This sequence comes from Homo sapiens, assembly GCF_000001405.40. Classification (NCBI taxonomy): domain Eukaryota; kingdom Metazoa; phylum Chordata; class Mammalia; order Primates; family Hominidae; genus Homo; species Homo sapiens. The sequence goes on along the minus strand of NC_000023.11, from coordinate 75,194,169 downwards.
CCAAACTCCCAAGGACATCAAATAGGATAAAAGAGAAAAAACTCAACCAAAGCACAGCAACTTCTAAGATTAAAGGAAACATTAGCCCACAAAGGTGAGAAAGAACCAGCACAAGAACTCTGGCAACTCAAAAAGCCAGAGTGTCTTCTTACCTCCAAATGACCATACTACTTCCCCAGAAATAGTTCTTAACCAGGTGGAGATGGCTGAAATTACAGGAATAAAATTCAGAATATGGACAGTAACAAAGATCATTGACATACAGGAGAGAAAGTCAAAACCTAATCCAAGGAATCTAGGGATTATAATAAAATGATACAGAAGCTGATAGATGAAATGGCAATTATAAGAAAGAACCTCACAGATATGATAGAGTTGAAAAACACACTACAAGAATTTCATGATGCAATTTCAATTATTAACAGAATAATTGACCAAGCTGAGAAAAGAATCTGAGGGTTTGGAGACTGGCTCTCTGAAGTAACTGAGTCACAGAAAAATAAAGAAAAAAACAATAACAAAGAATGAACAAAACCTCCAAGAATAATAAAATAATGTAAAGAGACCCAATCTATGACTCACTGGCATACCTGAGAGGGAGAGAAACCAAGGAACTTGGAAAACATATTTTAGGATATCATCCATGAACCTCACTAGAGAGGCCAAAATCTAAATTCAGGAAATGCAGAGAAGCCCTGCAAAATACTACACAAGAAGACCATCCTCAAGACACATAGTCGTCAGATTCTCAAAGGCTAAAATGAAAGAAAAAATGTTAAAGATAGCTAGAGAAAAGGGACAGAAAAGCTACAAAGGGAAGGCCATCAGGCTAACAGCAGACCCATCAGCAGAAACCCTACAGAGCCAGAAGAGATTGGTGGTCTATATTCAGCATTCTTAAGAAAAGAATTTTTGACAAAGATTTCATATCTGGCCAAACTAAGCTTCATAAGTGAAAGAAAAATAAGACCCTTTTCAAACAAGCAAATACTAAAGGAATTTATTACTACCAGTACTGCCTTAAAAGAGGTCATGAAGGAGTGCTAAATATGGAAACAAAAGGCCATTACCAACAACTACAAAAACATACTTAAGTACGTAGACCAGGAAAAATATAAAGCAACCACACAAACAAGTCTGCGTAATAACCAGCTAACAATATGATGACAGAATCAAATTCACACATATCAATATTAGTACTAACCTTGAATGTAAATGGGCTTAATGCATCAAATAAAAGGCACAGAGTGGCAAGTTGGATAATGAAGCAAAACACAATGGTATGCTGTATTCAAGAGACCCATCCCCCATGCAATGATGCCCATAGGCTCAAAGTAAAGGAATGGAGAAAAATCTGCCAAGCAAACAGAAAACAGAAGAAAGAAGGGGTTGCTATTTTAATTTCAGAGAAAACAGATTTTAACTAATGAAGACCAAAAAAGACAAGGAAGGGTATTACAGAATGGTGAAGAGTTCAATTCAATGAGAACAGTTAACTACCCTAAATATATACACAGCCAACACAGGAGTATCCAGATTCATAAAGCAAGTTCTTAGAGACCTACAAAGAGATTTAGATAACCACACAATAATAGTGGGAGACTTTAACACCCCATTGACCATGTGAGACATATTATCAAGGCAGAAAACTAGCAAAGACATTCAGGACCTTAACTCAATGCTGAGACAAATAGACCTAATAGACATGTACAAAACTCTCCACCCAAAAACAACGGAATATACATTCTTCTCATCTGCACATGCCACATACTCTAAAATAGACAATACAGTTAGGAATAAAACAATCCTCAGCAAATTAAAAAAAAAACTGAAATCATGTCAATCACACTCTTGGACCACAGTGCAATAAAAATAGAAATCAATGCTAAGAAAATCAGTCAACACCAGACAATTACATAGAAATTAAACAACCTGCTTCTGAATGACTACTGGGTAAATAATGAAATTAAGGCAGAAATCAAGTTCTTTGAAACTGATAAGAAAAATACAACATACCAGAATCTCTCGGTTACAAACAAAGCAGTGTTAAGAAGGAAGGTTATACGCGGTTCCAAGATGGCCGAATAGGAACAACCCCAGTCTACAGCTCCTAGCATGAGTGACGCAGAAAACAGGTGATTTCTGCATTACCAACGGAGGTACCAGGTTCATCTCACTGGGGCATGTCAGACAGTGGGTGCAGGAGAGTGGGTGCAGCCCACCAAGCGAGAGCCAAAGCAGGGTGAGGCATCGCCTCACCCAGGAAGTGCAAGGGGTCAGGGAATTCCCTTTCCTAGCCAAGGAAAGCTGTGACACACAGCACCTGGAAAATAGGGTCACTCCCACCCTAATACGCTCTTCCAAGGGTCTTAGCAAATGGCACAGCAGCAGATTATATCCCGTGCCTGGCTTGGAGGGTCCCACGTCCATGGAGCCTCGCTCATTGCTAGCACAGCAGTCTGAGATCCAACTGCAAGGTGGCAGTGAGGCTAGGGTAGGGGCACCCACCATTGCTGAGGCTTGAGTAGGTAAACAAAGCGGCCAGGAAGCTCGAACTGGGTGGAGCCCACCACAGCTCAAGGAGGCCTGCCTGCCTCTGTAGACTTCACCTCTGGGGGCAGGGCATAGCCGAACAAAAGGCAGCAGAAACCTCTGCAGATTTAAATGTTCCTGTCTGACAGCTGTGAAGAGAGTAACAGAGTTTGAGATCTGAGAACAGACAGACTGCCTCCTCAAGTGGGTCCCTCACCCCCGAGTAGCCTAACTGGGAAGCACCCCCTAATAGGGGCAGACTGACACCTCACACGGCCGGGTACCCCTCTGAGACAAAGCTTCCAGAGGAATGATCAGGCAGCAACATTTGCTGTTCAGCAATATTCGCGTTCTGCAGCCTTCACTGCTGATAACCAGGCAAACAGGGTCTGGAGTGGACTTCCAGCAAACTCCAACAGACCTGCAGCTAAGGGTCCTGATTGTTAGAAGGAAAACTAACAAACAGAAAGGACATCCACACCAAAACCCCATCTGTACGTCGCCATCATCAAAGATCAAAGGTAGATAAAACCACAAAGATGGGGAAAGAAACAGAGCAGAAAAGCTGAAAATTCTAAAAATCAGAGGACTTCTCCCCCTCCAAAGGAACACAGCTCCTCACCAGCAACAGAGCAAAGCTGGATGGAGAATGACTTTCACAAGTTGAGAGAAGAAGGCATCAGACAACAAACCTCTCCAAGCTAAAGGAGGAAGTTCAAACCCATCACAAAGAAGATAAAAACCTTGAAAAAAAAATAGACAAATGGATAACTAGAATAACCAGTGTAGAGAAGTCCTTAAATGACCTGATGGAGCTGAAAACCATGGCATGAGAACTATGTGATGAACGCACAAGCTTCAGTAACCAATTCAATCAACTGGAAGAAAGGGTATCAGCGATGGAAGATCAAATGAATGAAATGAAGCGAGAAGAGAAGTTTAGAGAAAAAAGAGTACAAAGAAATGAACAAACCCTCCAAGAAATATGGGACTATGTGAAAAGACCAAATCTACATCTGACTGGAGTACCTGAAAGTGACAGGGAGAATGGAACCAAGTTGGAAAACACTCTGCAGGATATTCTCCACGAGAACTTCCCCAATCTAGCAAGACAGGCCAATATTCAAATTCAGGAAATACAGAAAAGTCCACAAAGATACTCCTTGAGAAGAGCAACTCCAAGACACATAATTGACAGATTCACCGAAGTTGAAATGAAGGAAAAAATGTTAAGGGCAGCCAGAGAGAAAGGTCGGGTTACCCACAAACGAAAGCCCGTCAGACTAACAGCAGATCTCTCGGCAGAAACTCTACAAGCCAGAAGAGAGTGGGGGCCAATATTCAACATTCTTAAGGAAAAGAATTTTCAACCCAGAATTTCATATCCAGCCAAACTAAGCTTCATAAGAGAAGGAGAAATAAAATACTTTACAGACAAGCAAATGCTGAGAGATTTTGTCACCACCAGGCCCACCCTACAAGAGCTCCTGAAGGAAGCACTAAACATGGAAAGGAACAACCGGTATCAGCCACTGCAAAAATATGCCAACATGTAAAGACCATCGATGCTAGGAAGAAACTACATCAACTAATGAGCAAAATAACTAGCTAACATCACAATGACAGGATCCAATGCACACATAACAATATTAACCTTAAATGTAAATGGGCTAAATGCTTCAATTGAAAGAAGCAATTGGCAAATTGGATAAAGAGTCAAGACCCATCAGAGTGCTATATGCAGGAGATGCATCTCACGTGCAGAGACACACATAGGCTCAAAATAAAGGGATGGAGGAAGATCTACCAAGAAAATGAATAAA